>NC_000010.11:38918269-39229918 GCF_000001405.40 Homo sapiens
GAATTCAATGGAGTGGAGTGGAGTGGAATGGAATTGAATGGAGTGGAATGGAATCGAATGGAATGGAATGGGAAGGAATGGAATTGAACGGAGTGCAGTGGAGTGGAGTGGAATGGAATGCAATGGAATGGAATAGAATGGAATGGTGAAATGAAATGTGAGCTGAGATTCTGCAGTGCAATGCAGCCTGGGTGACCTAGTGTGATCCTGTCAAAAGAAAGAAATGGAATTGAATGGATTTAAAATAGAATGTAATGGAATTGAGTGGAGTGGAGTGGATTAACGTGGAGTGGAGTGGAGTGGAATTGAATGGGAAGGAATGGAATTGAATGGAGTGGAGTGGAATGAAATGCAATGGAATGGAATTAAATGGAATGGTGAAATGAAATGTGAGCTGAGATTGCGCACTGCACTTCAGCTTGGGAGAAAGAGTGAGATCCTGTCGAAAGAAAGGAAGGGAATGGAATGGATTTAGAATGCAATATAATGGAATGGATTTAGAATGGAATATAATGGAATGGAGTAGACTGGAGTGGAGTGGAGTGGTGGGGAATGGAGTGGAGTGGAATGGAGTGGAGTGGAATGGAATGGAATGGAATGGAAAGGAACGGAGTGGAAAGAAGTGAAATGGAGTGGGGTGGAATGGCATGGAATGGAGTCGAGTGTAGTGTAGTGGAAGGGAGTGGAGTGCAGTAGAATGGAATTGAGTGGAATGGAATGGAGTGGAATGGAATATAATGGAAGGGAATGGAATGGAGTGGAGTGGAATGGAGTGGAGTAGAGTGGAATGGAGTGGAGTGGAATGGAGTGGAATGGAATGGAATGGAATAGAATGGAATGGAATGGAATGGAATGGCATCGAATGGAATTCAATGGAATGTGGTGAAGTGGAGTGGAGTGGAATGGAGTGGAATGGAATGGGGTGGAATGAAATTTAATGGAGTGGAGTGAAGTGGAGTGGAATGGAGTGGAGTGGAATGGACTGGGAAGGAATGGAATTGAACCGAATGGAGTGGAGTGGAATGGTGTGGAATGGAATGCAATGGAATGGAATGGACTGGAATGGTGAAATGATATGTGAGCTGAGATTGTGCACTGCACTCCAACCTGGGTGACAGAGTGATATCCTGTCATAAGAAAGGAATGGAATGGAATGGATTTACAATGGAATGGAATGGAATGGAGTGTAGTGGAGTGGCGTGGAGTGGAGTGTAACGGAAAGGTATGGATTGTTATGGAATGGAATTCAATGGAGTGGAGTGGAGTGCTGTGGGGTGGAGTGGAGTGGAGTGGAATGGAGTGGAATGGCATGGGATGGAATGGAATGGAGTGGAGTTGAGTTGAGTGGAGTGGAAAGGTGTAGAATGGAATGGAGTGGAATGGAATGGAGTGGACTGGAATTGAGTGGAGTGGAATGGAATGGAGTGGAGTGGAGTGGAATGGAGTGGATTGGAGTGGAATGGAGTGGAGTGGAGTTTAGTGGAATGGAGTGGAGTGGAGTGGAATGGAGTGGAGTGGAGTTTAGTGGAATGGAGTGGAGTGGATTGGAATGAAAGGGAGTGGAGTGGAGTGGAATGGCGTGGAATGGAATGGAATGGAGTGGAGTGGAATGGAGTGGAGTGGAGTGGAATGGAATGGAATGCAATGGAGTGGAATGGAATGGAATGGAATGAAATGGAATGGAATGGCATGGAATGGTGAATTGAAATGTGAGCTGAGATTGTGCACTGCACTCCAGCCTGGGTGAGAGAGTGAGATCCTGTCGAAAGAAAGGAATGGAATGGAATGGATTTAGAATGGAATGGAATGAAATGGAATGGAATGGAATGGAATGGAATGTGGTGGAATGGAGTGGAGTGAAATGGAGTGGAATGGAGTGGAGTGCAGTGGAATGGAGTGGACTGGAGTGGAATGGAATGGAATGGAATGGAATGGAGTGGAGTGGAGTGGAATTGAATGGAGTGGAATGGAATGCAATGCGGTGAAGTGGAGTGCAGTGGAGTGGAATGAAGTGGAATGGAATGGGGTGGAATGGAATTGAATAGCGTGGAGTGGAATGGAGTGTAGTGGAATGGAATTTCGCTGTAGATAAAAACTAGTATTTCCGCCTACCATTGAGTGTACTTATAGCTAACCAAAACGGCACTCTGTCTCGGGAATACAGATTTGCCTAGAGGTATCCTATTGCAGTCAACGAAAGAGCAATGAGGGATAGAAAAGGTTAGTGATGGAGTGACCAAAGCTGCATTTTACAAAAAACAATGTAAAAACCTTACGGATTGGTTCTGCTAACTTACTACAGTTTACATTCCTCTCAGGTGGCAGAATTGTTGAGTTTTTTCTTAAGATAGAAAAGCAATTCAGATAATCTGAAATCTCCACAAGAAGGATAAGAAGCACAACGGAAACTGTTCTAGGCAGGAAGTCAATCTTTTCAACTGTCTGTGCTCCATAGAAACAATTGTCTGCACTGGGAGTCATATGCGGTACAGAAAACAGCCAGACCTCTGATCCTCTCATTTGTGATTTCAGAAGAAATTACCAGTCAACTGAGTAATTCACTGACTAAAGTATACATTTGGCACTGAAAGAGGTTAGACGGATAACTATTTGTATCACCATATTCATGAAGCTGGAATATTTTCCATTACTCGTATCACATCCGAATGGAAGATTTTAAAAGCTCTCTCATCTTGTAAGATGGATATGAAATAACATTTTCTGAAAAATGAAATCATTAACACACCTGCGAGGTGGATGGAAGAGAAAAAAAAGAATAATCAGCTTGAGTTCTTCTCCTTGATAAGACAACTCACTAAAAACATAGAGAGAAAAATACAAGTTTAAAATAATTAACCAGAAGAAGACAATTTTGGAGTTTTTAAATGGCTGATAAGATTTTAATTTGCTGCAAGTTGAAAATAAGTATATTACTTGTGTTTTAAGGCACATAATGAGCAATTATATCACACATGATAGATTCAGCAGTAAAATATTATCCGTTAACAGCTGGTACTCATAAAAGCATAGCACAATGTGAAGATGGAATTTGCTAAAATAAACCATCTTCTGAAAACTACTATTCTGTAAATTTAAAAACAAACTTTATATGTTATTTGTCTTATTTAATAGGTCTTTGATAAAAATGAGATATTTGAAAGTAGGTGCTACCTTAATTAGTTCTTTATATTAGACAGCTGGTTACAGTAATGCACAGTAAGGTGCTACATACAAATATTGCTAAATTTTCTGCATATACTATGTATTTAGCTTAAATTATTTGAAATTTTATAGTTAAAGTAATAAATGTATATTTAAATGTTTTGACACAAATTGCAAATATACCTTAAAAAGCGTCTTACACTCTAAATATTATTTGTCACCTATATATTTGTCTTTTCTCTAAAGGAAAGTTTCAATTTTTCCCTTGAAGCTTTAATTATTTCAGTCTATAAAACAAACTGATAATGTTCAAATTAACAGGAAAAAAAGGTTTACAGATATGTTCACAAGTATGCACTTGGAGTTTACATAATATATATAAATATATATACAAATATTTGTATATTATAAATAGATATACAAATATATGCTATATATATAAAAACTCCAGGAAAGGCAAGGTAGTCCACACGCCTATGCTGTCTTGAGGTTACAGAAAACACAGACCTGTACATAGGTCAATCAGCATTTGCAGAAGACAAGTGACGACAAGGAAGACAGAGGAGCCTGGCAGCAGAGGTTGTCTTGTTACACGGATGAAACCTCACAGGGAGCAGCCCTCCTCTTGGGAAGTATAGATAGGAAATGGTTTTTAGAAATGTAAACGTGCCAGACTCAGTTAATCTTTCCTAAACACAGACAAGGGAGTATCTCAGGGAAAGCCTGTCTATATCAATGCAGATTTTCTCTACAAATGAAAATCTCCCCAACAAACACAACTTTTCAGCTATTCTTGTAGAAGAAGCTATTTCCAGTCTTCCGTGTAGCCATCTTGAAATATGTCAAAAAGTTGGCCAGGCGCATGCCTGTAATCCCAGCATTTTGAGAGGCTGAAGTGGGTAGATCACCTGAAGTCAGGAGTTTGAGACCAGCCTGACCAACATGGTGAAAACCCGTCTCTACTAAATACAAAAAATTAGCCAAGTGTGGTGGCACATGCCTGTAATCTCAGCTACTTGGGAGGCTGAGCTAGGAGAATTACTTGAACCTGGGAGGCTGAGGTTGCAGTGAGCCAAGATTGTGCCATTGCACTCCAGCCTGGGCAATAAAAGCAAAACTCTATCTCAAAAAAAAAGGCATTTTAGGGTAATATTTTGAGTATCTTTACCTCCATATGTACAATAAATATTATTGTGATTTTTAATCTTTACTCTTCTGTGGAGAAAACACAGGTGTGATTTCTAGTGTAGCTGAACATCACATTTATTTGACAATATTGCACTTGTGTGTGTGTGTGTGTGTGTGTAGCTACTCTTTACCTTTGTTCTCACTTAATGATTAGATATTAACAATTAATTCAGTAACATGCATGTTTTGCAATTTTTCTCCATGTTATGCTTTAAATTAGATTAATCATGCCCCTATAATGTGTACACTTTAACCTTTGACTATAGGTCTCAATCTTACTTTGGCTCCTGTATTTGAATTTATGCTAATAAAGTCCTCAGCTAAAAAGGATTATATAAACTTATCTACATTTTTACTAGTATTCTGGTGTCATTTTAAATTATGTAATTAAATCAAATTTTAATTTGGATTATTGTTATCTGAGTTAAGGATCTAAATTTTTAATTTTCTTATAGATGTTACGTAACTATTTCTGAACCATATATTGACTAATCTGCCCTTTATATGATGTGCAGTATAAGAGCTTGGGATTGATTCATTTGCAAAGATGAATGCTTGAGAAGTAGATATTTAATCTTAACATTTCAAAGTCTACTCAATAACCTAGAATGGAAAAATAGCCTATAGGTTGAAAAACTCCTGTAGTGAAGAAAGAAAATAACTAATATAAAGTGACAATATAAATAAGTATTTATTTTATTATCACCCTGAAATTTGATAATACAAACATGTAATATCTACATATCATCCATATATCAGGTCATAAAAAATCAATACATTCTTCAAAAATTTAGCATAACAGAAAATGCACTCTCTCTCCTTGATGGAATTAAGTTACAAATAAAAGTAAAAATAAGTAGATAAGTAGATGGAAGTAGATGTTTAAAAACAAAGAAAAATATTTGTTTTGGATAACATAAAAACTCAATTGACAATTCCAATATTTCAAGAACTTTGGCTATCAACCGGTGGAGAGTTTTCCCCAGGAGACATTTGTCAATGTCTAGGGTTATTGTGGGGATGTCAAGACTGGTGGAGGTGTGAAATTTAGAGGTCAAACGAATCACCTAGCATTGCTTAGGGCAGCCTCCCACAACAAAGAATCCTCTGGTCCTAAAGGTAAGTACACCAAGGTTGAGAAACCATAATATAGAAAGTAAACATTATGTAGCTATTACAAGTGCTCAGGAAAACACATCAGTGCCCTCGAGGGGAAAAGTGTAAACACTTTAATTGCTGTACATGGTGACACAAATGCATGTTGTTAATCTAAGTGGAAGAGGCTGAAGCACAAAACGTAATTCAAAGAGTTTACTTGAGCCAAAATGGGGACAGCTGCCTGGAACAAACAGACCCAAGTATCCCTGGATATGAACTCCATTTGGAGCTTTGCAACAAGCAGTTTCTTAAAGGCAAAAAAGGGATAAGAAGTGGGATGATGCAAAGAGGTTTGTCACAAATTCTCATTGGCTTATGGAAATAACATTTATTAGTGACTGGCTATACACTGTTACACTATTATTGGGTGTGGATTATAGTGTCTGGTGAGGCGTTATTGGTTAATTTATAGCTACTGTGGCAACAACAAGCAGCCTAGATGAACACACAGCTCAAAGAGGAGCAGGACAGAACTGCTGTCTCATTTGAATAATTCTCTGGGCCTGATTATTTCAAAGGACTTGCGTTTCTCACATGAAAGTTATTTTCTTTTCTCAATGTCAATAAATGAGAATAAATAGACATAAAATAGATCTTTTCGAGGATGAAGTAAATGGAATAAAAAACAAAACCCAAGCTGACCAGAAATCATAGAGGGAAGAAAAGGTTATAAATATGTGGATTTTTCAAAGTGATTTTAAGCTATTAGGAATCAGTTAAATGTTGGGGGATTTTGTCTGAGTATAGGCTAAAGGAGAATGCCCCTTTTGCCTTCTGAAGTTTCCCTGAAAATCACTAATAGGAGGCAGATAAATAGTAGAAAAGGCATACAGGTTTCTGCAATGTGTGTACACTGGAGCCCTTAGAATGAAGACCCAGACACAAGATGGGTGCAGAAGCTTGTCTACCATATGAAGTTTACAGAAAGAATGGGGTCTTGGATCACATGGGAAAAAAAAAGGTTATGTGAGAAAAGGACGCTGACTAGCAACAGTGGACTTATTACGTAGGTGAAACCTCACTGGGAGCAGTCCTCAGAGAGAATAGAGAGAAAATGTTTCTTTCAGACCTTTGGAGACCTCAGACGCTCAGTTAAACTTTCCTAGATCCAGACAAGTTAGCAGACCTCAGAGAAAGCCTGGCTGCATCAAAGTAGGTTCTCTACAGATGCAAATCTCCCCAAGACAGCTTTGCAGCTAAGTTTGCATTTCCAGCCCTTCTGAATAGCCATTTTGAAATATATCAAGGAAATATATTTTGGGGTAAAATATATTGGATTCCTTCATACAGCTGTAAAACATACAGAAATAATTTTTGTCAATGTCTACTACAAATCCAATATAGCAGTAATTATAAAACCCACCAGATATTGAAGAAAAAATATGTAGAGTACATCACTTACAAATATTGATACTAAAATGCCAAATAAAATAAAAATAATATCCAACAATATTTGAAACAGTAAGACAAGAAATTGGCAAAAAAAAACAAACAAACAAATATCCACCTTGGGGATGAAAGTGTGATTCCAAATTTGGTGATCCAATAATTTTAATAATCATATTGATTACC
This sequence comes from Homo sapiens, assembly GCF_000001405.40. NCBI lineage: Eukaryota > Metazoa > Chordata > Mammalia > Primates > Hominidae > Homo > Homo sapiens. The sequence goes on from NC_000010.11 coordinate 38,925,350, forward strand.
CCAAATAAACAATAAATATGGGATTCTCAGTACATGCTAAAATATATTTGTTAAAATGTAATATTCATGTCTTTAAATATTTTAAATGCTATAAAGAGTCTGATATTCTATATGCAAACATGTATATGTCTATTAGAAGAAGAGAGACTTGGTTTTCATATGTTACTACATAAAGATAGAGAAGTGGATAGATTAATTTGCATATTCATAGAGAAAGCATAAAATAGAAATTTACTATCATACTTAAAGGAATTTAAATTCAACAATAAATTTTAAATATTTTTAACAGTTACATTATTATTAGATAATATAATCATTGTGAAAATATTCGATGCTAAAATAAGATAGAATGTCTAAACCTCAGTATTAAAACTAGTATAAATATTTGTTTGTTTATACAAGGAAAATTCAAGCTCAACCTAAAATTATATAGGAAATAAAAGAAAAATTTTAAGCGAGCTCTTTAATAACACAAACATATATATATATGTATATATATATATATATATACACACATATAACATGTATATATGTTATATGGGATAGATATAGATTTAACATGTTATATCTATATTTGTATCTATCTATGACTACAGCTGTATGTATCTACATTTCTATATATTTACTCAGTGATATAAATATAGACTGGAATAAATATAAAGGCACATATGATTCTTGGATAAAAAGGATTTAGTATCATAAAGACAAATTCTTTCCAAAATCACCTATGATTTCACAACAATATACAGGTTCATTAGTATAATTTAAAATTTCTAAATAAATTCCAAGATTCATTTAAGGGAATATACACGTATACCAGCAGCAAAGAAAGAAGTAAGAGTGCACTAAACTAACTTGCTATTAAAATACATTTTTAAACTTAGTAACTAAAACTGAGAAGTACTGATTTGGAGTACTGGAATTTAGGTATATGGGATCTCAAACGCATAGAGCTCAAAGGAGACCCCTGTATGCCCGAGAGCTTAGGACGTGCTTTAGAAGGCATTACCAAGCCACGGGCAAAGTTACTTTAGTGTCTTAGTCTTACTAGGTTTGAAAAGCCAGAGAAAAGACTCAAGGCCACCATATAAGAGCAAAACAAAAGGACAGGGAGAGAATGTGAAGATACTGAAACATTTTACGTAAAGTTGTATAAAACATACTTTAAAGAAAATGTAAAGTTTAGGATATACATCAAAATCAGCAAAACCACTTAATAAATAAATAGGCATTGTAAAGTAGCAAGAGAAAATTTAAATGGATTTCTAAAAAATATTGACACCTATGATTTTTAAAATATGTTTAAGAAATCCCGTATTTCACAGGGCAGTTTTTCACAACATAGATATATTAGGACATAAAGGTCCTTCTGTTTTTAATTTACTAGTGTTTATAGGGTTAAAATTGTCTTCTATCTTTGTCTTTTGTCTGATGGTGCAAAAAAATTTCATAAGCATGTACTTCTGAATGCCTGATAGATTGACATATATAATATGCTGCTAGTATTAAAATATGTGACAGAAAACGCATCCAAACTTCTTACTGTTTGCATAAATTCTAGGTTTCTACTATTTACCTCAAGCACGTATGGAGTGAATTCTTACCTTTTAATATTGCCATGGCATTCACATTGAATGTAACTTGAACTCTCTCATATGGTAGCTGGGTTCAGATTCCCTTGACAATTCTCAGTTCTAACCCTCACAGTTCCTCAGTGTGGCTGGCCCAGATATTGACCCTACACAGTTGCCTCCTCCTGGTGACTACCCGCTATGGAACCATTGGATACAACCTACCTGACTCACCCCACAGACCTCACAGCCCACATGGACAGCCCCCACACTCCAGAGTGACCTGCTCAGTTGCAGCAGGAGCCAAGAAATATGCCTGCTGGCACTCACCCCACTGACTAGAGCCCCGTGGAAAACTTGTAATGTTCTGGGCCCAATAAAGGCTGGAGTCCCACAGACCCCTTTTCTCTCTATTGCTCCCCACTCGTCTTCCCCATTTTGTTCAGCCCTATGAGGTGTGCTACTGTATTAGTCCATTTTCACACCACCGGTAAAGACATGCCCAAGACTGGGTAATTTCCAGAAGAAAGAGGTTTAATAGACACATGGTTCCACATGGCTGGGTAGGCCACACAATCATGGCGGATGGTGAAAGGCACGTCTCACATGGCAGCAGACAAGACAAGAGAGCTTGTGCAGGGAAACTCCCCTTTATAAAACCATCAGATCTTGTGAGACTTATTCACTATCAGAAGAACAGCATGGGAAAGACCTGCCCCCATGATTCAATTACCTCCCACCTGTTCCCTCCCACAACATGTAGGAATTCAAGATGAGATTTGGCTGGGGACACAGCTAAACCCTCTTCTCAGCTACCCTCTTCTCTCTGGATCTGTGAGTAATAAAACCACTTCTGTGATTTCCCATGTTTGGTCCTGTGGTCTCCATGTGTCTGAGCTGACCTACACTGGAACCTAACTCTCCTCCTGGCCAGGGTCTCTGAGAGTGGCTCTTGTCAGAAATACACAGGACACAGGTCAGGCAAAAATCACCAGGCATCTCCTAGTCTCGACAGATGTTCTGTGAGAGGGAGGCCTGGTCGTGGGATGCACACCTGGCCACTGCTAGGGTAAGGAAGTGTCCTGTGAAAGGCACATGTTAAGCATCCACAACCCCCTGCCCAGAACCCCAGAAAGGCAGGGCTCCAATTGACAGCCACTCTCCAGAGACAAACCTCAAGCCCTAACTGGAGGAAAAGAAAACAATGTAAAAAGTTGAATTTATCTTACTATTTTAATGATCCAGTACAGATATTCTATGCCTGTACACCACATATTTTCTTCGATTGTGGATATATTTTAGATAAAATTTTATGTCTGGCTTTCACTTTAGCCTGGTCCCTATCTCAAGCATAAGGTAAAGATTTTCCATGGGTTCCTTTCTGGTGCTACTACCTGCCAGTGTGAACTCATGTCCTAGTCTATCTTGAGGGAATCCCCCTATTCATTATTGTCAGAGTGAGACTGTTAAGTCTTGATTTCCCTGGACAACTTCATTGCATGACTTTTAATATGATTTTTAAATATACCCTTTACTGGACAATAAACTACATAGGTATCTGAGTAAGAGATATGGTCAGGAAGAGGCATTGCCTCATTCAGCTTTTCTGTTTGGTGAACTTGCATATGTTCTCCTCACCCACCAGTCACCTCTAAACCGTATTGTTCGAAGACAACAAACAGAACTCGACTGTGTATCTTTCACCACTGGATTTGTCTCTGCTCCATAAAGCTTAATGCTTAATAGGGTTTCTGTTAGCATTTTCTATATATATATTTCCCATAAAATATCACAGGCCTTCTTCATATGGAATTATGGGTGATTTCCTTCAATCTACATCATATCAAGTTGAGGTTCATGTTGATGGAAAGTAAAACATACGTTTAAAATATCAGTAATGATGTTTTCCTCTCCTTTTTAGCACATGTGCCTGTGAGAGTCATTGTAATACAATTCTAGTCTCATGCTTTGATCATTCCTAAGATTAAAATAACATTTTTAGATAAAATATCTGAGTTTTATGAGGCCTTTTGTATATGATGTGATAGAATATCGGAAGACCATACTTTTTTCTAGTTTTCCATGCAATTCTATCATTGTTTCATCTTTACTCCTACCAGAGTAATTTTCCAGAATAGATATCTTGTCATTCTTCCTGTTGTTATCGGTAAATAAGTGAAATGAAAAGCTAGATTATATAATTTATCTAGAACAAGAAAGTAGAATTGAATCTATATTCATTAATGAGACTAAGCAGTCAATTACACAGATAGGCATTTTACATTTTGAAGATCATATGGACCCACTGTCAGATATATTATCATTTATGTCTACATGGACATCACCTGTGCATATTTATGGAGAAATCAATGAGAGCTGATTTTTATTTGTATTATATATATTTTTTGAGATAGGGTCTTGCTTTGTTGCCCAGGCTTGGGTGCAGTGGTGCAATCACTGCTCACTGCAGATTCAACCTCCCAAGTTCAAGCAATCCTTCCACCTTGGCCTCCCAAATAGCTAGGACAACAGGTGCACATCACCATGCCCACCTTTTTTTTTTTTTTTAACTTTTGATAGAGACTGGGTCTTGCTATGTTGCCCAGATTGCTCTTGAACTCCTGGGCTCAAGGAATCCTCTCATTTCAGCCTCTTCAACTGCTGGTATTACAAGCATGAGCCACCATATGGGCTGGAAGCTTATTTTTAAAATGCTGAGATCATATAGATGACAGCACCTGAAAAATAGACAACACCAAGCTTTATGTTAAAAGGTGTGAGGGTATCAATATTGTTGTGGCTATTGGGGAGGAAAACATTAGTAAAACCAGTGAGTTAAAGCTGTTGCTTTAAACTTTGGCCTTAATTCAACAAATGTTCTCTGTGGTGATAGTATGTACGTAACCACGCTATGCTCATTCACAGATGCAGTAGAAGGAAGAATTTCTCAAAGACAACTGTTCTAAGATTGAAATTAAACCGTACTGGGTTTAAAAAGAGAAAGTCCAGGAATTACCAAATATTTTAGATATCAGATAAAAGAGAATGCCAGGTATGCGATGATAATCAGCAATGGTTGTTCACACAATATATCAAATCAGTATTTGAATTAGCTTTTGAATTACAAGGACAAATGGATCAAGTCTTGACTCTCTAGTAGATAAATCTTATTAGGCTGAGATGTGTTTTCTCTTGTTTTTCCACAAGGAGATTGCAAATTTGCAAACCTCAGCTGCTCTCATTTTATGCTCTCACCAATCCAAAAGCTGAAGTTCATCAATCAGTGTGTCTAAGTGTTCACTAGTTATATACCATTTTGTAGTTTAGGCTATCTTTTCAACTTCCTAAATCATCACCTTCATTTGACCTTGTTTTTTTCCACTATCACTTCTTTATTGACCATATAAAGAATACAAGTAAGTTCTTATTTTGTTATTGTTCATTTTAGTCTAATCTCATCAAAATATCATAATTCTTTAATTTCATTTTAATTTCAAAGATTAAATGAAACCTACATTGAAATGAGTGTAAGATTACATTTGCGTTATTTTGGCATCAATTTGCTATCCTCCCTCATACACATAGAGATCATTTCCATGTACGTGATTTCAAACATCCAAGTGCAGTATTAAAAGTAGTTGTAAATTATGGTTCTCATTTTCATGATACAATTACTATATAAACTTCCTCTTGCTGCTGTAACAAATTATCATGAAATTCATATCTTACAATAAAGTGACTGTTAAGCCTACAGTTCTGGAGTTCAGAAACCTTAAATGAGACTCACAGGGCTAATATCAAGTTTTGTGCAGGGCTGCAGTCTTTCTGAGGGCTCTGTGGCAGAGTCTATGTACTTTATTTTTTTCAGCATGCAGAGGCCACCTTTATTCCTTGGAACATGACCTCATTCTTATATCTTTTTTTTTTTCAGATAGTGTCTCCTTCTGTCGCCCAGGCTGGAGTGCAGTGGCACAATCTCAGCTCACTGCAACCTCTGTCTCCTGGGTTCAAGCGATTCTCCTGCCTCAGCTTCCTGAGTAGCTTGGACTACAGGCACGTGCCACCATGCCTGGTTAATTTTTTGTAATTTTAGTAGGGATGGGGTTTCACCATGTTAGCCAGGATGGTCTCGATCTCCTGACCTCGTGATCCACCTACTCTGGCCTCCCAAAGTGCTGGGATTAGGCGTGAGCCACCGCGCTGGGTCCTCATTCTTGTATCTTAAAAGTCAGTGATGTTGAGTAATTTCTCATGCCACCACCTCCATGGTTGCCTTTCTTCTGCCTTCTTCTTTCACTTATAAGGAAGCTTGTGATTTCATTGATCCCAACCATTTAAGATAATCTCTCCAACATTTTATTGCAACCTTAATTTCACTTGAAATCTAATTTTCCACAGCCATGTAACCTAACATATTTGTATGTTAGACTCTGGGAATTAGGACATGAACATTTTTGGGAGGCCATCCTTTTGTCTACAGCAGACATAATCTATTTACCTGCAGATTAAAGTGTTCTTTATTTTTCTTCCTCCATGTCTTAATTTTTTTAAATAATATGAATTGTAGTAAAGAGAAAGAAAGAAAAGAAAAGAAAGAAAGTAAAAAGAAGGAAGGAAAGAAGGAAGGAAAGAAAGAAAGAAAGAAGAAAGAAAAGAAGGAGGAAATGAGATAAGGAAGGAAGGGAGGGAGGGAGGAAGGGAGGGAGGGAGGAAGGGAGAAAGGCAGGAAGGGAGAAAAAAGAAAGAACACAAGAAAGAAAGGAAGAAAGAAAGAGACAGAGAGAGAAATAAAGTGAGAAAGAAAGAAAGGAAGGAGGAAGGGAGGAAGGAAAGGAGGAAGAGAGAATGGTAAAAGGGAGGAAGGCAAAGAAAGAAAATAAAGAGGAAAAGGAAGGAAGGAAGGAAGGAAAAATGAGGAAAGGAAGGGAAGGAGGAAGGAAGAAAAGGAGGGAGGGAGGACGGGAGAAAAAAGAAAGCAAGGAAGTGAGAAAGAAAGAATAAGAGAAAAGAAGGAAGAAAAGAAGGGAGGGAGAAAGGAAGGGAGGGAGGAGGGAAGGAAGAATCAGAGGAAAGAAAGAAGGAAGCAAAGAAGGAAGGAAGGAGAAAAAAGAAAGAAAAAGAAAGGAAAAGAAAAAAGAAAAGATGAAAAGAAGAAAGGAAGGAAGAAGGGAAGGGAAGAGAAGAGAAAGGAAGATGGAAAGAAGGAAGGAAGACAGCAAACATTAGAAATTCTGGTTTTGTTAGAGAATATGCCATACTGTTTTTTTTTCACTTGAAAGGAAAGAGTATCTGCCATTGAAGATTGGATGTCTTGTTGGTGATATTGTTCTTATCTTCCATATGATTACTGAGTCTGTTCCTAGTCTGTCCCTCACTAAGACAAAAGTTTTGAAGTCTGTAAATATAATTTTGGATTTTTCTAGTTCACCTTTGATTTCTTTCATGTTTTACCTCATGTATTTGGAGGTTCTGTTGTTAGCTGCATTCCCTAATTAGTAGGATGTTTACATCTTCTTGAGAATTGATTATCATATTATCTATTATCTCTCATCTCTGATACTATTTCTTGTTCTGAACTCTGTTGTGTCTAATATCAATGTAGTCCTTCCACAGATTTATTTTAGTGTTTCCATGATATGGCTTTCTCCATATCTTGATGATAACCTATTTATATCTCTATATATTTGGAGAAAGATATAAAATTTAGAGTTGATTTTTTAAAGATTTTCCAAGATGTAATTCTTATTTTTGTTCTATTTGACATTCTCTGAGTTTCCTATATCTGAAGTTTGATTTTCTGTCACTTCTTTTAGAATATTTTTGGCAGTTATTTTGAAAAATATTTCTTTTGTTCCATTACTTTTTCCTCTTTTCTTTTTGGGATTTCAATTATAACTAGGGTAGGTAATTTCATCTCAGTCTTATGCAGGTACCTTTTCTCAGGATCTCAGGAATGCAGACTTCTCACACTTCTGTTCTTTTCCTGGCTGTGTTGGTGAGCTCAGTGATATTCCTCCATCACCTTCAAGAGCAGTTTTGTTTTGTTTTTCCTGTTTTCATACTCCCAGCATCAGGAGTGTTCTAGGTGTGTCAGTTTTTGTTACCTTCCCCTACATATTAAGTGGAATATCTTGGTCTATTTGGACTCTTATTACAAAATAATATGAACTGGGTGACTAAAAAGCAACAGATATTTCTTTTTTCACACTTCTTGAGGCTGTAAGGTCTCAGGTAAAGATGCTCACAAATTCAGTGTTGATGAGAGCCCATTTCATGGTTCATAGATGGTGCCTTCTTTCTATGTCCTCACATAGTGGAAGGCACACAAGAATTCCATTGAGCTTCTTTTATAAAGGCACTAATCCCATTCATAAGGGCTCGGCCCCCAAGACCTGGTCACCTCCCAAGTGTTCTGCTCTCCCTGATCTGTATCATATACAGACTCTCTTGGATTCCTTACCAATTGCTTGAGAGATCACATTGGGTTTGTGGGGAAAAAGTTTTCAAGATGATGGATCTTTCCCGAGTTCTGCAGCTGTCAGCCATCTCCCAATCTGACCAGCCCCACTTTGTCCTTAGGAATTTATTGATTATTCCAGCTTTACTTCTCATAGTGGTGTCTATTTGCATCTGTCCTATGTAAGTGCATCTGTCCTCTTTCTCCTTGTAGGTGCTTGCTTTCCCTCACATTTTGACTGAGTTCTTGGCAACCTGGTTGCTATAAAAATAAAATCATGACTTTGAAGTTAGTTTGGTTATTACATTGTGGTAAGGTTAGGAGCCCTACTCCATCCCAGCTCTGCAAAACCCAGAATTTTTGGGGGGTTGAAATTTTAGGCTTTCCCTTTGAATTGTAGTTTTATCTTATTTCAGTTACAATTTGCATTTTAATTATGATTAATGAGACTAAGCTTTTTTTGTGTAGTTGACTGTACCTTTGGATTTTTTTCCCAAATCCCTTTTCATTTCTTATTTTCTTTATGGTTTCAGAAAATGTAGTTTACATAATTGCAGCTTGATTTTTTAATCAGTTAATGGCATGCTTAATGGAGAGAAAAAATATTAACTATATTTCCCTTTTTAATTACTGTGCTTTTTTCTTTTTTAAGAAAATATTTCATTATGTTAAATTTCAGTGTTATTCTACTTAGCTATTCCTTAAATATTATAGTATTTTGGATTTCACATATAATTTTGTAACATATCTTGAGTTTTTTGTATATACAGTAAGGCTATTTTCTCTTTTTTGTTTTTTAAGGCAAAAATCACATAATATAAAATTAATAACTTAACCATTTTAAAACATACAATGCAATTGCTTTTAGTATGTTCACAATGTTCCAGGACAATTTCATCATATCCCTTCTAACAACCCATTATGCATAAAGTTGTTACACCCTATTCTGCTTCCCTGAGCCCTAATGACCACTAATCTGATTTATATCCCAATTGATTTGCCGATTCCTGATGTTTCATGTGAATAAAATCAAGTAATGTTTGTCCTTCTGTGAACTTAACATAATGCTTTCAAATTTCACCCATATTACACCATGTATAAGTACTTCATTCTTTGTTATAGCTGGAAATTGGGTGTCCACTTATGAGTCAACAAACATATGGATTGTTTCCACTTTTTGACTGTATGAATATTACTGCTGTAAATATTCATGCACATGTTTATTTTTTGAGCACCTATGTTTTGTAAGAGTAACAGCTGACTTAACAGAAACAATGGAAGGCAAGAGGCAGTAGAATAATATAGTTGAAAGATGCAAAGGAAAAAAAAAACTGTCAGCCACCAATTCCTTATCCAGCAATTATTTTTCAAAAATGAAGATAACACAAAGACTTACCCAGATAAACAGAAATATTAACTGAAGTTGTTGCTGGCAGACCTACCATAAAAAAAAAAAAAAACTAAAATAAATTCCTAAGGCTAAAAGCAAGTTACACAAGACAGTCATTTGAATCCACATTTTTAAAAAAGCACTGCTATAGGTAATATTAACATTATAAAAGACAGTATAAATGCATGTTTTCTCTTTATCATAAATTGTTTATAAAATAATATGTGTATAATGGCCGGACACGATGGGTCATGCCTGTAATCTCAGCACTTTGGGAGGCCGAGGCAGGCATATTACGAGGCCAGAAGATCGAGACCATCCTGGCTAACACAGTGAAACCCCGTCTCTACTAAAAATACAAAAAATTAGCCGGGTGTGATGGCGGGCGCCTGTAATCCCAGCTACTCGGGAGGCTGAAGCAGAAGAATGCATGAAGCCGGGAGATGGAGCTTGCAGTGAGCGGAGATTGTGCCACTGCACTCCAGCCTGGGTGACAGAGGGAGACTCCATCTCAATGATAATAATAATAATAATATGTGCATGATGTATTGCTGAGTATTTGACATGTAGAAACGTAACATGTCTATAACATATTTTCCAGTAACATCAAAAAGGAGGTAGTTGGAAGAAAAATGTATTGTGATAAGGTAATCCCTCTAGATGGTAAAGTAATAATTACTAAAATGTATTGTTGGCTTTGTAACTTTAATAGATGTAATGTGTAAAGTGATAATACCTTAAAATGGAGGAAATAAAAGAGATTTGTAAAAGAATGATGTTTCTATTACTAAAAGTTTACTAGTATAAATTGGAAGACGATTTGAATAATTAATTTTCCATATACTTATACGTTAAACTTAAAACAACAACAGAAATTCTCAAAAATAAATAGTAAAATAATTCATTAGTAATCTAAAGTTCCTTGTTTGTTTTAGAAAATATTCATTCATTGCAAAATAAAGCAATAAAGAAAAATATTTGAGAAATATACAAAACAAACGGTAAAATGGCAGACATAAATAAAATTATACCAATTATAATATTAAATGTGAGCAGATTAAAGTCCAATCAAGAGGCAGAGATTGTCAGACTGGATTAACACAAGTGATCCCAATATACGCTGAGATGCAAGGATACTAATGCAAAGTAAACAGATGACAAAAAATACCTTGCAAAGAGCAATCATAAGAACACTGAACTCATTATACTCATAACACACGATATAGACTATTAAAAATGTGAATAGTATTTTAAAAATTTATATTGTAGTAAAAAGGGTGTCAACGCTTTCGGAAGACATAGCTATTACAATCATGTATGCACAGATAGGAGCTAAATTGTTTCCTCTATATAGATGCTGAAATCCTAACCACTGAATATGACCTCATTAGGAAATAGGTTCTTTGCAGGTGATCAAGTTAAGATAAAATCAGATGAGCCTGAATTCCATATGACTGATGTCCTTATAAAAAGAAGAAATTTGAGTAGAGGGAGACATACACACAGGGAGAGTACCTTGTGATTATGAGGGCAGAGATTAGCCAAGGAATGCCAAAGACTGCCACTAAACCACCAGAAGCTAGAAACAAGGCATAGAACAGACTTTCTCTCATAGCCCTTGAAGGGACCATCCCTGCTGACACCTCAATCTCAGACCTTTAGCTTCCAGGACTATAAGACTATAAATGTATGTTGTTCAAGGCACCCAGTTTGTGTTACTTGGTTATGGCAGCCCTAGAAAACTAAAACATGAACTAATAACAAAGCATAATAACATGAAGCAAAAATTGACAAAAGAGGAGCATCAGCAAAATGGCAGTGGAGACAGCTGCAATCTTTCATTTCCCCACAGAAACATCACACAACTAAGAGAAACTGTCCGAATAAACTTTGCCAAATCTCTGGAAAATGGTCAAAAGATTACAACAACCAAGTGAAATCAGACTCAAGAAAAAGACAACTTGAAAACTTTATGACATTTTTAACTTGCCTTTGCCCCAGCAAATTGGCAGTTTTGAAGTGTCAGAAGCCCACGTTCCCAATGAGGAACCCTGGTCCATGGTCCAAAGGAACAAGAGAAGATCTTACCCGCAAATTATAATGTGTCTGTTCTGACTGGTCTGGGGGATACCTAAAGGACTAATGAAAGGCTTTTTTTTCTTCTGCATTGCTAGAATACAGAAGAGATAAGGAATGGACATTATTAAGAAACTCTGCAAGGAGACCTAACAAACCACAGATGCTTAGGGCAAAAATTAGAGTTTACACATATAGTAGATCACCTTCAGCACAGGAAGAAAAGTTGGAGAAGAGTATTTGGAAAACTAAGACATTCAAAATCATTCACGGACATGGGAGAGTCTAGAAAGTCACATGTATGCATAGGTTAAGCCACTTGCTGACAAATGTCATAAGAAGACCCTACATTTTTACCTTGGCTGAACCCTCCCCTCAGTGCAAGCTCTGTGCAAGAGTGAACTTGATCTTCACTCAGTGCAAGAGTGAACACACACTTTGTGCCGGCATTAAAGAACCCAGCACAAAGCCAGTCTGCATGGCGTAGAGACATATCTTGCTGGATAATGATTCCTTGTTTTTCTTTTTTTGTTGTATTTGCCTGTTTGCTTAGTTCCTGACATACAAGAAAATCACTGTCAAAACATTAGCTTAACATTTGTTAAGGAAACAAAAAGACTTCAGTGACCACACCTTATAAAGCAAACAGTTTTGTAAATCGCTTTGGAAAATTTCACTAAAAATTAAAACCTTAACAATAATAAGTAAATAAAACTTATAACCACAAAACATTAGTGTGTTTGTAGGGGGGGGGTCTGATTTACAGAGTAACCACATAGTAATTATAATTATTATAATGTCCAGTTTTCAAAAAGTTACAAGGCATACAAAGAATGGGAAAGTATGGCTCATTCAAAGGAACAAAATAAATTGACAGAAAATATCTCTAAGGAAACCCAGACATCAAACTTACTAGACGAAGACTTTAAAACAACTCTCTTAATTATACTCAAATGTCAAAAGGAAAACAGAAACAAAGAAATAAAGGAATCAGAAAAAAAATATTAAAAAGTAGGACTATCAACAAAGAGATAACAGAAATTCTGGAGTGGAAAACTACAATGATAAAAATTAAAAAATCACCAGAGGGATTTAAGAGTATATTTACACACACAGAAGAAGTCATGAGCCTGAAGATAAGAAAATGGAAAATATTGACTCTGAGAAACTGATAAAAAATGAGCAGAGACTAAGGAATCTGTGGGACATCATCAAATAGACCAACATTCATATTCTAGAAGGTTAAATTATGTTGTTAAAAATTTTACCATTCTTTCTTTTCACCTTTCTTTCTTCCTCCCTCCCCCTCCTCCTCCTTTTTACTTTTCGTCCTCTTCCTTTCTCCTGTTTCTCTCTTTCATTATCCCTTTCGCTCTGTTTCTCTTTCTCCCTTTCTCTTTTTTCTTTTCTTTCAATTTTCTCAATTACTAAGAGATGTTTAAATACCCTTACCATGTTAGTACATATGGTTATTTATCCCTTTAGTTCTCTTTTGAGATTTATAGTCACTCTAAGTAAAGAGATAACCCAAACATAAGCCCCATAAACAGGCTTCCATACCATTCTTAATTTGGTCCTGTAATTCTTCGTTGCTGTATTAACTTTCTGATGCTTTTAAGGATGTTTTATAACAAATTGTTTAGTTTTTTCCAATGGAATGTTTATTCTGAATTATCTAATTCATATTGTAAGTATATAGGGAGTTTAATATAAAATTGTTAAACTAATATTTGTGAAAGAATGTATTTGTGCATTTAACAAATATGTTAATCCTCAAACTGTTATTGGGCAGCTGAGCATACAGCAATGAAAATAACATAATTTTTACGTGTACAATATTTATGGAATACGTTACTGGAACAAATAAATAATTTAGTTAATAACATGACAAAGAACAGAAATGGTATACACTATAGAGCACAGTAATGGAATAATGAATGATTAAAGTTATAAATATTAGGTAGAAAATGCAGGGTATCTTTAAGAGCAGATCTCAAGGAAGCAAGCAATTCGCCTTATGAGGAAAGAGTTACCTGTGGATAAAGGAGAATCTGAAAAATTTACAAGTCAAGACTTTTTGAGCAAAAACAAAAATATGACCATTAGTCACCAATTCAGTACAGTGAAAAAAAAGTTGAAGAGATATCTTGGAAGTAAACCATGTTGTGGAAGAGCATGTAGGGTTTTGATAATCATGGGATTATTCTGAATTAATTTTAAATGCGATAGGAATATATGAGATACCTTCACCAGAGAATAACATGATTGTGTTTGCATTTCAAAGGAGTGTATCTGGTGCACTGTGTAGAATAAGTAGGTCATGTGAGCAAATAAATTGGGAGGCTATTGTAATCCAGAGAAAAAAGGTAGTGACTTAGGTGAAAATGCTGTTAGTATGAGTGGTATTAGTGGTGAGAAGTCGTTAGGCCATGGATGTATTTCATAGGACTGGCCAAGAGAACTGCAGCTAAATTGGAGTGTAGGGAGTGAAATGGAGAACTTAAAGATGACTCTCAGCACTGGAAGGTGACAGCTGTCACTGAAGCATGCTGATGCCTCTTATTAAGAGAGTTACTTGGGAATGGCAAGATCAAAACTTCTCACTTTCAAATTTATGAAAAATATTGTTTTCAGAACGAATGACTTTGGGATCAGAAAACCATCATTCTAATTGATGGTTCCACGACTACACAAGCTCACACTCCCAAGAGCAAAAGTAAATCATCACAAAGGTGCTTCCTGATAATTCTAGAGAATGGAGAAGTACTGTAACATCTTTCTGATTTTAGGAGAGGTAGCAGTTCCCTTTTTAGCCTAAATGCTATTTTTTTTAAAGCTCAGCCAAGAGACTCTATTATAATTTTCAAATGTGTTTAACTTAAATTCTCATACGAAATACCACTATGCTTAAATTAGTCAAAACATTTTCCCCATCTACAACTCTATCTTTTCATTGCAATCATTTTCACCAAACTGACTGCAGCTAAAAGACCCTAAAAGCGGAAAATCTAGGGTAGGTTATCTGATCTAGTTAGTTTTGCAGACAGGATCTAGAGATTATTTAATATGAAATAGGTCACCTGAAATGAAGTGTTTACTGAAAACAGTTTGGATAAACCCAGTTTTCTACCACTGAACCATGCATTTGGTTTAAAAAACACAACAACTCTGGGGAATATTGGCTGCTTCCAACTGTGTTGAAGGTGTTAAAGAAAAGAGCATAAAATTAAAAATGATCATCTGAGGCCTTTATAGTCTCTGCTCAAGAGACTAGAGTCTTCCATTCTTAACGAAACACCCAAATATCTTCATAATTGGGCAAAATCTAAATATCAGAGAGATAATTTTATCTTGAAGATTGTTAAATTATAATGGTGATTCACTACCTTGCCACGTCTCTGAGTCAAAAATTAGATCTTTCTTTAGGAATCGATGGTACTGTGCAACTTGGAAATAGGAAGATTTTAGAAGACTCAAACATTGACTTTCTTGTGTGCAAAAAACAGACGTATTGACATAAGACAAGTCTTTCCTTGCAAGGATACCTCTAATGCTCATACACCACCTCCCCTAATGTTAATATAGCTTCCAGATCACTAACCAGTGTCAGAGAGCAGCCTATGCAACTACAAATTCAAAAGATGTCAAACACAGCATCAAGCCTAGAATAAGGAGTCTTAGCTAATTTAGTATGCTTTTCTCCCCAAATTCATATTAACAAAAACTTGGATATGTCAGAGAATGCATTCTAAGTTCACTCAACCTAGGAGGGAGAAACATAATTTTAAATTAAGAGCTGAATCATTCTTGTCCTAACAAAGAGCAAGGAAAATGAAATATCACACCACAGGAGGGATTTCACAAATTAGTGTCAACATCAAAACCTTAAAATAGGCAAGGAAAATGGAGATTCACAATTAACTCTTGTACTTGTTTTGTTCAGAGAAGAGATGGTTCTGAGAGAATGACAGTGAATTAACCCCAACTGGTTTAGTTGGTGCTTTCAATTGCTGCTTCTGATAAACTCCTTTAGCTAGAATAAATTGATGAGGATTTTGGCATGTGGTATTAGAGATGGTTATTAATTTTGTCCTCTTATTTGCGTTGCTCAATGTAGTAAATACTAGCTGTATATGGCTACTTAATTTCAAATTAATTACAATGAAATATACTTACATATTGAATTTTTTAGTCACTGTTGGTTCATTATTGAATATCTTCAGCTTAGATTTCCCATCTAAATACACTAAGTGGTGGCTTAGTTAACTGGTCGTCCACAAATATTGATGCTGTTGTTAACTCCTGATATATTCTCTGCAAATAGAATATTCATGAGCCTCCTCCTGAAACCAGCAGCTTAGAGAGAATTTTATAAATTGGACACAAGTTGGAAATCTATACTCTTTCAGTTTTTGAAATATTAGCTTCCCAGGGAACAAAATCAAATTCATAAGATATGTTAGGACAATTTAAGTCAAGATGTTCAAAACTGAAATGACATATTCTACAATATGTGATAAAACCACCCCCTAACAACTTAAAGCAAAACAGGTATTGACCTTAAAGACCTGCCTTTTCCTCATCCCCCAGCCAATCAGTTTTCAAATCTGGCATTTTATTTTAAAAGATCCTTATCCCCCTAGTCTCTTGTTTCTAGACTTGGCACATATTTAAGTTTGTTACCTCTATCTACTGAGTTTCCTCTCTTCAAACAGTATCTATGCCTGCCAAATGTGAACATACAAAAAACAAATCAGAATGTGCCATTCTGATTTAAACTGCTTATTAGTTAATACCCTCAAGATAACATCTGGGTTCTTAGCTGCAATGAGTCAAGCCTACTTACATCTTTTTTTGTGTTTGGCTGCACATTTCCTATCACATCACACTCCAGCAATGCCAAGCCGTGCCGCCTTCTACCCCATTTCCACTATTTTGCCCCCACCGCCGAGGCTTTCTGACCCCGCAGCCGCGGCTTTCTCCCACCGCGGCTTTTTGCCCCTGCCGCCGCTGCTTTTTGCCACCGCTGCTTTTTGCCGCCGCGGCTTTTCCCCCCACCGCCGCGGCTTTTTACGGAATTTCTCCCCCCGCCGCCGCGGCTTTTTTGCCCCCTGCCGTCGCAGCCTTTTGCCCCCGCCACGGCCTTTTGCCCCCGCCGCCGCTGCTTTTTGCCCGAGCCTCCACGGCTTTTTGTCCCCGCCGCCGCGGCTTTTGGCCCCTGCCGCCACGGCTTTTGCCGACGCGGCTTTTTACCCCCACCGCCGCTGCTTTTTGCCCCCGCTGCCACGGGTTTTGGCCGCCGCGGCTTTTTGCCCCCTCCGCCACGGCTTTTGCCTACCCGGCTTCTTGCCCCGCCGCCGCGGGGTTTTTCCCCCGGCCGCAGCTTTTTGCTGCCACCGCCGCGCTTTTTTGCCCCGCCACCGAGGCTTCTTGCTCACGCCGCCGCGGCTTTTTGCCCCCGCCGTCGCTGCTTTTTGCCCCAGCTGCCGCTGCTTTTTGCAGCTTTTTGCCCCTGCCGCCGCGGCTTTTTGTGGTTTTTTGCCCTCGCCGCCGCGGCTTTTTGCCGCTTTTTGCCCCCGTCGCCGCGGCTTTTTGCCCGCGCCACCGCGGCTTTTAGCAGCTTTTTGCTCCTGCCGCCGCCGCGGCTTTTGAGGCTTTTTGCCCCCCCCCCGCCTCAGCTGCTTTCTGCCGCCGCGTTTTTTTGCCCCCACCGCCACTGCTTTCTCCCACCGCGGCTTTTTGCCCCCGCCACTGCGTCTTTTTGCCTCCGCCGCCGAGTCTTTTTACCCCTGCCGCCGCGGCTTTTTACCCCGCCGCTGCGCCTTTTTCCCGCGGTGGCTTTTTGACCCCGCTGCCTAGTCTTTTTGTCCCCACCGCCGCAGCTTTCTGCCCCTGCCACCACCGCTTTTTGCCACCATGGCTTTTTGCCCCCGCCGCAGCGGCTTTTTGCCCCCGCCGCGGCTTTTTGCCCCCGTCGCTGCGACTTTTTCCCTGGCCGCTGCGCCTTTTTGCCCCCGCTGCTGCGGCTTTTTGCGCCCACCGCCGCGGCTCTGAGGGCGGGAGCGGCAGACTCCGCTGCCAGCTCTACTAGCGTCCTGGCGGGGTCAGCGCCGAGGGTCGTTCCTGGTCCAGCTCTTCAGGCTCGGGGGTTCCTTGCCTAGGCTCCCGAGCCCCCTGCCTGGGCCACTGCGGCTTGCATAGAGCGGCCCTGCGTGCGGCGGCAATGAGAGAAAAGAAGGAGGGTGGTGGCGGGGGTGACGCCGCCAGGTCCAGTCCTCTCATCTTGTAGGTGAGGAAACCGAAGGCCTGAGGGAGAACTGACTTGCCAGAAACCCCTGTTAAGGAGAATTAACAAAGTTTGATTAATAAAGGAGCACTGACTTGGGAGTGCGACCTGGAGGCCCACAATCTTGGTTAAGACATTATACCACCTTGAGTCTGGCCTGTTGAGTGAGGGTGAGCCACTCCATCCTCGTCTGATTGTGGGGTCTTGACCTCAAGGGGTTTCCTGCAGGAAGAAGCAAATGGGTTTGCTTTCCTAGCTCTGTCCAGTACCTTAGGGACCCTGAGGACTGGAGAGATTCTTGGAGAGACATCTGGTGTATGTCATGGGTGGGCCTTTCTTGAAGGTCAGTCTGCCCAGTGGGCTGGCTCAGCCCCAATGAACTGTCTTGAATCTTTGGAGTTGTCTGTGTACTTTTAAGGGCTTCTTATCCTTGCACCAAAAGATCCCCTGGAAATTAGGTGGGAAAACCTTAACTTTTGTGGGGCCTTGTGTTTGTCTTAAAAGTTCATGCACATGGCCAGGTGTGGTGGCTCACACCTGTTATCCTGTCCTGGATCCTTTGAGTCAAGTTGTTTGAGACCAACCTGGACAATATAGTGAGACCCCGTCTCTACAAAAAATAAAATATTAGCCAGGGGTGGTTGCGTGCATCTGTAATTCCAGCTACTACTGTGGCTGAGGCGGGAGGAGCACTTGAGCCTGCACTGAGCTGTGATCTCACCAGTGTACTCCAGCCTGGGCCACAGAGCAAGACCTTGACTCAAAAAAAAAAAAAAAACCAACAAGAAAAATTCTTGAAGATTTTGCATTCTGTCCCACTATCCATTGGTTTTCATGTCAAGATAATGTCAGAAATTCTTTACAATTGCTTCCAGAAGGAGTAGACTTTTGATCTAGTGCACAGGTGTCCAGTCTTTTGGCTTCTCAGGGCCACATTGGAAGAAGAATGTTCCTGGGCCACACATAAAATAACTAATGCTAACAACAGCTGATGAGCTTAAAAAAAAAAAAGGTTTGTACATAATTTTCATGATACCCACCACCACAGATAGGCGGAAAAGTCCTTGTAGTCAAAGGGTTGGACACGGCTGATCTAGTGTCTTGTAGTCCGTTTTGGCTTTCTCCCTGATTCCAGAATGCAGGTAGAGATGTAGAGACATGCTCTCAGGACAGCTGTTGAGATAAAAAAAAAATTGTTGTCATTTATTCCCAAGCACAGCTGTTTGTCATTTGCATTGAAAAAGTCTCCCTTCAAACTGCTGTCACATATAAAATCTATTTATATAAGTCTGTATTTTTCTGTTGTCTTGGACTTTGTGGGCAGTAGTGGGCTTTAACCGAGCAAATTGTCCTTCCAAGTAATGAAGCCGAAGTCAGCCTACCTGCTTGCCATTTTTCTTCCCCTTCCATTTTTCTAACCTCAGGATAATTGTAAGAATGAAGTAAGATTTGTGTTTAAGGCCAGGCACAGTGTCTCAGGCCTCTAATCTCAGCACTTTGGGAGGCAGAGATGGATGTCTCACTTGAGCTCAGGAGTTCAAGACCAGCCTTGGCAACATACTGAGACTCCGTCTTATATAATTTAATTAAAATTTAAAAAAAGAAGAGAGAAACACCTGTGTTTAAAATTTAAAAAAGGGGGGGAAAGTGTAATGCAAAATGTGGACTATGCCAGCTATGATTGGGAAAAATAATTTTTCCTACAGCATTATCTGTAGACTTGTATTAGCAGCATACTGGTCATAAGCGTTTTGCCTTCCTCAAATATGATGAGGTAAGCTACTTTAAAGTCTGGTGGGGCTTTCCTCCGTGTGGCTCCTGGAGGTGTTGAGTCCCAATTTAGACAACTAATTCGGGTTTAGTTTTGATATGGATAAGGGAGACCAGCTTCATTCATGGTGCACACACAGTTTTGTCAATAAGGAGAAAAAAAAGCCAACTGAATGTTCCTGCTCATTAGATGCTATCTGTAGAGCTCCTACCCCACCTCCACCAAGGCCCGGGCCCTTAATAAGACTAAATGCAGCCTTTCTGTAACTCATACTGTATTCTGCAGGATGCTCCTGTGAAAGAAAGTTGTGCTGCATCAGCCATCTCCCTCCTGAAGATCCCTGCGGATAAGGATTTGTGTTTTAAAGGTTCTCAGAAGTCCTGCACCAACAGTTCTCAAACTTATTTGTCCAGGGGATGTTTTCTTCCTCTGAACGTAGTTGGGGAGACACGGCCTTAAGCCTTGAGCAGAGACAGAGACAAGAAACTGTTGTCTCACTTACAACCAAGTGTTGTGTTTATGTTTTAGCTTTTTATGAAACTGAGGTGCTGTTTGATGTTCCAAATCAAACTGGGTGGTTGAAGAGAGCCTGGTATCCCTGTAGACTTAGCCGGCAATGAGAGGTTGCTTTTTGTTGAAGGAGGTGTTTTACAAAGGGAAATAGGGTGTCTCCTGGGCATCATATTAGCACTTAAATACATGTATCACTGAAATGAAATGAAATGATGAAATGATGAAATGAAATGAAATGATGGAATGAAATGAAATGATGAGATGAAATGATGAGACGAAATGATGAAATGAAATAATGAAGTGAAAGGATGAAATGATGAGATGAAGTGATGAAATGAAAAGATGAAATGGAATGATGAAATGAAATGAGGAAATGACGAAATGCAATGGTGAAATGAAATGAGGAAATGAAATGAAATGAAATGAAATGATGAAGTGAAATGATGAAATGAAATTAAATGATGAAATGAAATGAAAAGATCAAATGATGAAATGAAGAAATGATATGAAATGATGAAATGAAATGATGAAATGAAATTAAATGATTAAATGATGAAATAATGAAATGAAATGATGAAATGATGAATTGATGAAATGAAATGATCAAATGAAATGAAATGACGAGATAAAAAGATGAAATGAGATGAAATGATGTGATGAAATGAAATCAGGAGATGAAATGATGAAATGATGAGATGATGTGAAATGATGAAATGAAATAATGAAATGACAAAATGCAATGATGAGATGAAATGATGAAAGGAAATAATGCAATGAAAGGATGAAATGATGAGATGAAATGATTAAAGGATGAAATGAAATGATGAAATGAAATGAGGAAATGAGGAAATGAAATGATGAAATGATGAAGTGAAATGATGAAATGAAATGAAAAGATGAAATGATGAAATGATATGAAATGAAAAGAAATGATAAAATGAAGTCAAATGATGAAATGATGAAATGATGAAACTAAACAATGAAATGATGAAATAAATGAAATGAAATGATGAATTGATGAAATGAAATGAGATGAAATGATGAAATGAAATGATGAAATGAAATGACGAGATGAAAAGGTGAAATGAAATGATGAGATGAAATGATGAAATGATGAGATGAAGTGAAATGATGAAATGAAATGAAATGTTGAGATGAAATGATGAGATGAAATGATTAGATGAAATGATGAAATGATGAAATGAAAGGATGAAATGAAAGGATGAAATGAAATGAAATGATGAAATGAGGAAAAGAAATGATGAAATGAAGTGAAATGATGAAATAGATGAACCAAACATACTTATTCATTTTTTTCTTGGCATCCTTCTAAGAGTATTTTAGTGAGATTAATTTCTAAAAATAAATTGCTATTCAATGGCCATACAGTTGGCCTTTGCACCACAGTGGTTTGAACTGTGCAGGTCCACTTAGCAAAACCAACAATTCTATATCCTTCTCCACACCCTGCCCATGAAAAGGATGAGGATGAAGATCTGTTTGATCATTTACTTCCATTTAATAACTAGTAAATATATTTTCCTTATGATTTTCTTTTTCTTTTCTCTGGCATGTTTGTTAAGAATACAGTATATAAGACATATAACATATTAAATATGTGTTAATTGACTGCTTGTGTTATTTGTAAGGCTTACAGTAGGCTATTAGTAGTTAAGTTTTGGGGAAGTCAAAGTTATAGTGGATTTTCTACTGTACAGGGGGGCCAGCACCCCAGCCTCCGTGTTGCTTAAGGGTCAACTGTACATGTTATTTCCTTTCTTGTAAGAGAAAAATGATGAGAAGGTCTTTTCTCCAATAAGTGTATTCAAAATGTAGCAGACTTGAAATGTGTTGGCGCCACCATTTTGCGTCTCACTTTGAAAACTTATTATTAAAAATCGTGCTAAAGCCTACCTTACTTTTCCAACCTTAGAAAAAATGTTACAAAGAAAAGGGGTGAAACCATGCTAGTTTGCACTGAAATTTGAAATTATCTTTTAAAAATATATTTTTACTTTAATTACTTCCAAAATTGAGATCAGTTGCATACAAATGGCAGGTCATCCTAATCCATCCTATGACTGCACTTAGATTCATGAGGACTTGTGCCATCTAGAAAGGGCAGAGAAGAGGAGCCACATGCTTTGATTCTGTTGTCACTGTGTACTTACTGCTAGGAAGAGGGCATGTTTGTGTATTTTTATGCTAATATTTATCCAAGTTGTTAATGATTTAGGCTTTCAGAACCATATAAAGATTTTTTTCCTTTCAGATATAAACTATCTTGCATTGTTCTTCTGATCATATGAGTGATAAATTTGCCTAAATATTCTTCAGACCATAATAGTATGTCCATACAAATGCCAGTAGCAAGAGTAGAATCAACCACAACTGCCTTTGTAATTATTTAAAGCATGTGTGCCTATAAGTAATTGGCATTTTATATAATCAAGAATCTTTGATATAATAATATCTCAACTATTTGAAACATGGCTTACATATATTAATTTTATATGCAAATATAGATATAATATCATTGTATATGAAACTAAATTTTGGACTTTAAAACAGCTTCTTAGAATCTTGACTTAAATGTCTAAAGTAATATTTGACTTAAAAAATTTAGCACACCGTCACTATGATGAAAAAAATTACTATAAAATTATTGAAAAATTTTTTCCACACTAACATTTAGACTATTCTCACATTTGTGGTTAAAACCTATTGCGATTGTTCTTAGAATTTAGATAAAAAATGTTCCAGAAAGTTTGAAGAGCAGCACTTTAGTCCATTTTTATTTGTTCAAGCATGAAGAAAGGCATTGACCTTTTAAAAACTATTCAGATTCCCTCTTTGAATTCAAGTGTTTCAAAGATATCTTATTTTAAAATACCAAAATAGGAATAGAATATGAAGGGCTGGTTATGAGTAACATGATACACATTTATGAGAGGATGAGATTACAATAACAATACCTCCTCTCATAGAATAGCCAGCAAGTCTCCACTAAATAACAGTGCCTTGATTTTATAGATGTTTAATCATGGATATTGAGTTAATGTGAACCATTTGTAGACACAGGAGTTTATTAAAGAATTATATAATATCTTTCAAGTATTAAGAAGTGTGTTGAAATTAAGCCTGCATCCCCACGATTTTCAGAGGTGCTGATGCCTAATAAACTCAACCCCTTGCATGCCAAAATTGGCTTAAAGCCCACCCGTTACCCAAGCTACACTTCAAGCATCAAGGCTCAAAAATGTAATTTTAAATATGCAAGAGTTTGAGGAATTCACTACTCACATTTTCTTGAAAGTCTATCCAAGTGCATCAAGCACAATGTGAGTAAAGAAATTTTGACCAAAGGATTGATAGTAATGTTGAATATATTCAATAGTAGATCTAAGATTAAAAGGTGAGAGTGAGGGTGAGAAGAGTGTGTGAATGCTTCGTGTTCTGACAAAGAGAATGTAGCACCCAGGTCCTACCTGCTTGGTTGCATTGCCAGTGCCCACGGTAGGCTATTTTATCCAGGTTTTTAGGTTTTTTTGTTTTGTTTTGTTTTGTTTTTTTCTGTTCAAGAGGGTTAGTCCAAGACCAATAACTCCATAACTGGTAGATTTGGAAGATTTCAATAGTGCTTAACATTTTGTACATAGCTTTATAACAGTTTTCTTTTCCTTTTATTCTGAGAGATTCTTTTCAATATACCCCATCATGGTTGAACTCAAAGTCATTGCTTATATAAAATCCACAACTGCTGACATTTTGTATCCTTTGCATTCCAGGTAATTCTTTTTGTACATTTTCTGTATTTTTCTCCATCAGTCTACCTAGATATTTCTTAGATTTAATATTTTAGTATTTTTCTGAAAAAGTGAGCTTTTGCATGTTTAAATATATACTCAGTTGCTTTATTTCTGCTTTTTCATGTACTATTTCCTCTTTTTTTTGACACGGAGTCTTGCTCTGTCGCACAAGCTGGAGTGTAGTGGCGTGATCTCTACTCACTGCAACCTCCAGCCCCCACGTTCAAGCAATTATCCCACCTCAGCCTCCCGAGTAGCTGGGATTACAAGTGCATGCCACCATGCCAGGCTAATTTTTGTATATTTAGTAGAGAGTGGGTTTCACCATGTTGGACCAGGCTGGTCTCTAACTCCTGACCTCAGGTGATCCACCTGCCTCGGCCTCCCAAAGTGCTGGGATTACAGGCGTGAACCATGGCGCCTGGATATTTCCTTCATTCTTTATGTTTATTTTACTGGTTTTATATATCTCTCTCTCACTGTTTCTCTCCTTCTCACATTCACTTTGAAGTTGTCAAATAGCCCAGGTGATATTACAGATTGACTCCTTATAAAAGGAGGCATTACGCGTTACACATGCATCTTAGTGGCCTTACAAAAGTGTTTGGTTCATTTGTATTGACAATTCACCTTTAAAATATTTAAATCGTCATTAAAATAGCTTCCAACCAATATTATTAGCCTTATGTTTCTAGCTTTCTTTATTGTATTGATATTTACCTTCATTGCTGTTTGTTTAGGAAATATATTGTGTCACGTTATTTCCGTGAAAATTGTTTGAATTTGTGGTATGGTCTAGAAAATGTTAATTTTTGTAAGTATTCGGTATGAACATGAAAATGACATGAATTATAATATTCATGTTCCTTATATAATATTTGCCCTTTTTAAAATCTAGTAGCTTCTTTTAAAACTTACTCTTTTAATTTCTTCTTGTATCTATTACTGAAGGATATGTGTTTGAAATGTCTATAATAATTTGGGGGCTTATCCATTTTTACTTACTTGCTGATATTTTTGCTTTATATATTTTGACTCTCTAAATACGTGTTTGTGTGTGTGTGTGAGAGAGAGAGTGTGGTGTGTGTGTATATATGTATATATATATATCAGGCTAATGCACATTTAAGTCATCACATCTTCTTAATAACTTTAAACTTTTATTACACTGGTTAGACTAACTTATTTTAATAAATGTTTCTAACTTACATTCTATTTTGTCTACATAGCAACTTTTTAAAAAATTATATTCATGTAATATGTTTGCATGTATATCATATATACACACACTATCTGTATTGTTTGAACTTCAAAGTTTCTGAAAATTTATATATTAGTTGCCTCTCGTAACTACGATAGAGACGGAATTTTTTAATTTTGCCAATCTTTGTATTTTAACAAAAACATTGTCTACTTAGGTTTAAGTTAATCTTTGATCACTTATACTTAATTTGTTTTATTAATTTGTTATATATATATATATATATATATATATATATATAATGCCTCTTTTTTCCTATCAGGGTCTGTCTTCTTGTTTTTAAATTTTGACTTTTATTTTTATTGTTTTCATAGATACAACAGAGAAATGCATAATGTCCAGTGAATTTATTACAGTTCCAAAGTCGGTCGCGCATGGTGGCTCGCGCCTGTAATCTCAACACTTCGGGAGGCCGAGGCGTGTGGATCACTAGGTCAGGAGTTGGAGACTAGCCTGACCAACATGGTGAAACCCCGTCTCTACTAAAAATACAAAAATTAGCCAGGCATGGTGGAACGCGGCTGTAATTCCCGCTACTCAGGAGGCTGAGGCAGGAGAATTGCTTGAACCTGGGAGGCAGAGGTTGCAGTGAGCCGAGATGGCGCCGCTGCACTCCAGCCTGGGCAAAAGAGTGAGTGAGACTCCTGCGCAAAAAAAAAAAAAAAAAAAAAAAAAAAAAAGTTGCAAAGTCATACTCACCTTTCTGCTCTTGTCAGACAATTAAGGGGTCTTTGAATACTTCAGCCCTAATAAGTTGCTTCCTAACATACATATTTCCGTGCTTATCTAATTTTAAATATCTTTTTGTTTCAACACCTAATTTTTTATTTAGATCTATCTGTATGTTTACAATGTATTTTGCTCTGTGTTCATTCTTTGATTTCAGAACTTCAACCTTTCTGAAGCATGTTTTCAGAGTTTCTCTTTAGTTTCTTTAGTGGAATTCTGCTGGTGGCGTTTTGTTTCTTGTCTCTAAATAAGTTATTTAGCCATAGGTTGATGAATATTTTTCTTGGTTGAGAATTTCAGAATGGCATTATTATTCTTAACAAATAATATTGTTTATTTTACCTTTCATTCTTTCAGATTTCAATATGATTAAAGGTAATTTGATTTTTCTAGTGCTAATTGAAATATTTTTCCCTTCCTGATTGTTTACTATTTCTCTAGGAGATACGTAGGTGTAGGTTTATCTCCATTGTAGCTTGCTTAGCATGCATGGAATTTTTGAACATGCGGATTAATGTCTTACAAAAGTCTAGAGAACTTTCAGCCAAAATACTATCACATATTGTCCCTTCCCAGTTCCCTTCTTCTATGAGAACACGCACTAAACACATGCTACACTTTCTCACTGTATCTTCCACGTCTCTTCATGATTCTGTCCACATTTTGCATTTTTTTAAATTTTCTGTAATGCATTCTGAAATATTTATGAACTCTCACCATGGCCATCTCTAATCTGATGAGTTCATTTTTGAGTTTTTAATTTAAAATACTATATTTTTATACAAACTGCTTTTCAAATTTGCTGCATCAATTTTTTAGTCTCCTAAAAATATATTCATTTTATTTTAAATTTTTTACAGCAAATGTGCTTTATAATCTAACAGTGATATTTCTACTAATGAACTGTTGTGGATCTGTTTGTACTCTTTTTCTACTTCCCTTTCAAATGGTGGAATATCATTTCCTTGCATACCTAGATGCCTTTGAATGACAAATATTTATTTTTCTCTGAAAATTATTTTTGTGCACTTTTGAGGATTAGTAAGAAGAAAATTTGCCAAAGAGAATTTGAATTTTTTTGTGAGTCTACTAAAGGCACCACCATTCTGGGACTACATTATGTTAATTCTTGGCCTAAAGGTGTTTGGACGTATGTTTGCACTGCACATTTAAACAATTTTTAAATTAATTGCTGTTAATTATTAATGATTGAGTTGCTTTAAATCTGTCCAATCTCAAGTCATTTTTATTTGCCGTTTCCAGGGAATGTGAAATGGGACAAATTTACCTCTGATTCTTCTTTATACTGAGGATAGAAATTTTGGTCCTAGCTTCAGGGAGGAGCTCCTGTGTGATGCCCTATCTTGGGAAAATCTATGTATTTCTTTACTGTCTTATGTGATGTATGACAGTAGGAATCTGCACTCATTCATTTTGGTACATGTCCATAGGGCAAAATCAGATTCGGTGTTTAGGTATATTTTGTCTGCTTCCTGCATTCCCATGGTTTTGACATTATATTTTACTTTTTTTTTGTGAACATACCAATGCTTCAATTTTTTTCCAGTAATATAATCAACTATATTATGAGAAAGAGAAAAATTTTGATAAAACACAAATTTCATGTTTTCCTACTCTAATTGGCTTTTACTTAACAATACAGGTAAAATTTAGTTGTGCTGTTTTGCTATTTCTGTTTGGCTATTCTCTGTTTGTCTATGTCTTCTCCACATAGGCACAATTAGGGAATTTCGTACACTCTTGTGCCAACTGCTTTGATAGTCACAAGATGTATTTCTCGAACTCCTAGGTATAAAACTCAAGTATCCACAATTTAAATTCTTTTTCCCTCACTTCTATTATGTGTCCAGTCTCAAAAGAAATCGATGCCAATCCAGAAATACAAGCATTATTCTAATACTTCTCACACATTACAGATATAGATTAAATTCTCTAGATCTCCTTAAATACTATCATTTTCACTACTTGTATCTTAACTGTTATGTTCAACATTTTCTATAATATTAATATGTTGTGAAAATTTCCTTACTTTCTTATTTGTCCCAGGTTCAATATTTTGCAGTCTCTACCACACCCTGTGAAGCATAAACATTGTACATGCTGTAAAAATAATACATAGTTCATGTACTTAGAGATTGCACAATTTTTATTTGGTTGACAATAGTTAATGTTTTCTTCTTCATTTTCTACTTCCTGATTTTTCTTTATTTAGTATATACTACATTATCATAAAAATAAGAACGTTTTACAAACTAAAGCAAAAGCAACCCTAGGAATAAAATGCACAATTAAGATATGTAAACATACAGTTAGATATACCACGTACCCTTCTAATTTATTTTCGACATTTAATTTTAGTACAATTTTAATTAAAGTCTGTGTATTATCTGTCATCGTCTTAGTATTTTTTATATAACAAATTTTGTAAATCAGAAAGTCTCAATGTCGTTATAAACTACCTTGGCAGAGGTTGATGTCCAAGGAATAATTTCTCTCCCAAATTATGTCAATCAGAATTTCACTCTACCATAATTCTTTTAATCAGTTTCAGAGGAATAATAAATTTCAAAATTGTTCAAGGTACTTGTTGTAGTTCAAGTACATTTTGACAGGTGTAAAACTGTAGACTGACTGATACAAACATATTCTAATTGACTCAAAACTATATAGGACCTGTTTTAAAATCTAGATTTTAAAATGTCGTGTCAACACACACATGTTCTCCTTGTGAAATAATTGCTTTTTATTCTGTGGATAGAATAATTTAATCTTTAAACCTTTAATTCACTGTTAAAAACAAAATATTACATAACGATATGCTGATAAAAGTAATTCACAACTAGCTTTTCAATTCAGAAATATATGTGAGAAATCATCAAGCATCTAATGGATTTCAAGGAGAGATGGGTTAGTAATTTATTCCATATGTCTCAATTTTTCCTAGACTCAAGGCTTCCTTTAAAATAATTGTAGGCATTTAAGAAACCATGTAAACTAAAAAGAAGAAATTGTGACACTGCCGCTTAGGTTTTTTAAATCTTTGGACATAAATCAATATGTTTTTATATTTTATCTTAATTAGACATGGTGAGTTCACCATCTTCCTGTCAGTATAGCATCCAAGCTGATTATCATAGACTACAAGTTACACTATCAACTGTGTTCTGAGAGTCTAAAAAAATAAATGAATGTATTTGTTTGGGTATTTTTAAGCAGGAGTGAGGACACAGTGAAAGTGAGAAAAGGAAGAGAGAACAAACTAAAACAGGAAAGATAGAAAAGCCAATACCACACGTGCTAAGAGGTAAGTTTCTGTGTTAGATATCTGGGCTTAATTCTCTGGGAAGCTATGTGGAACATGCCTCAGAATTACATCACTGAATCCAGGGAGATTCTTCTTAGTTACCCTCACCTTTTCTTCCCACTTCATGCCCAGTATCAAGCTCCCGTACTGCTAGAGAAAGTCCTCAGCTAGAAACAGGTGCAAATTCTGGAGATGAGACCTTGTAGAGTGTTAAGAATTGTTTTTTTCCCAGCAGCTACAGGTAAAGAATAGCGGCTGGGCTATTAATACATCTGCTACAAATCAATAAAACCCTTATGCTCCTTTTGGTGATCGACAATGTATTTAAAAATATTAGATGATCAAGAATGGCTGCAGAAAGGAGGAAACAGAAACAAACAGCACACCTCTTGGTTTATTTTTATTCATTTCATCAGTTTCAAGGAAAATGTGTTGGGAGTTCCTGGCATAGAGAATGTCACAAAGACATGTTTTCAATAGTGGTGCTATCCCAAGGGCACAGAAGGCCCAGAGAAAGCCCAAGTGCCTGCTAGAACAAAGTCAGACACCTTGCCACCTGTCTGCACTCCTTGGCTCTGCCATCATGCTGAAGATCGGTTTAAAGGACTGGCTTCCCTCCCTCCAAAATTAAAAGAGCACAAACTGAGAAACTGAATGTAGGAGACAGCAGTGGATTATGCTGTTCTCAGGGGTCACCTCAGGTTTGGAAGCATTCTTTCAAATTAACCCATCTCAGGCCATCTGCAGAGAAGAAAGTTGGTACCTAAATTTTTTTCTTGTCAGCATTTTGTAGGGATGTTTTATTGACCAAATATGCTCCCACAACCTAGTTTTTTGTAACTAACTAAATATAGTAGATTTTTAAATTTTATCATCAAAATCTATAGACAATTTTTGATTAAAATAGACTCCACATCTATGTCCTGCTTTTCTTCTTCTTATTAATTACATTGCTGTATCAAAGAAAAAGACTTCAGAATCAAGAATATCTTGTCTCTTTGCATTGAATTTATACAAGGTGCTCTTTCTTTAATGCTGTCTCAAAGGATATATTTTTACTCATTAAAAAGGAAGATCGGAATCTTGTACGTACTGCTCCAACATATTAATAATTAAAATTAGGAGGTAAATGTGGTCAAAGCTAGAGAAAGACTTGAGATGTCATTTATATTGATTACTGTGTAGCACTCTACAAACAGACATTTTTAAATATTAGTTTATATAAATATTTTGTAGCATTTCAAATATTTGAGTGCCTGAAGTTTCTACTATTATATAGTTCAGATAATCAATTTGAAGACTTACTCCACTAGTTAAAATGTTTTTAGTCTGGTTTGAGTATTACATAAAAGCAATTTTCAGTTAAATGGGTTCTGCTTACATAAAACATTACAAATTATTGAGTATTTAATT
Source organism: Homo sapiens (assembly GCF_000001405.40). Taxonomy (NCBI): domain Eukaryota; kingdom Metazoa; phylum Chordata; class Mammalia; order Primates; family Hominidae; genus Homo; species Homo sapiens. The sequence goes on from NC_000010.11 coordinate 38,955,951, forward strand.
ACAATTTCATGTTCCTGTAATGTCTTTAGAAGATTTTCGTATTATTACCTATCAATATATGTATGCTTTGTCAAAGAAAAATCAAACATATATATCATTAAAATTGATACTTTTTAAAAGTACTTATTAATTCTATTCAAAAACCACATGCATAGGAACAATTACAATATAATATTGTGAACATGTAAATATATATCCTATGTCAATTTTATATATAAGCATATATGATTAAAAATATAGTTAAGAATTTTTAAACAGTATTATAAAGTAAAAATCAGTTAAACTTCTGATGATTATTTGTTAATTAAGATAATATTATTTTGAATAGGGTGATTTTAAATAAACAAAAATATTAAATTACATGAAAAAATTCTTTATAAAATGTTTATGATTTTTACATTGGTTTTATCACTTTATTCCACTATTTTATTTTAAGATAACCTGCCTTGTTTAAAACACTGTATTCATCTTAATTAAATTAAATTCCATTTGTAAAAAAATTAACAAATGATTTACTCTATTATACAGTGCGGTTATAAACTGAGTCAGTATCTCAAGATTTATCCCCATTATCGTCATCTGTGGCCCTATTTGTTTTATAAATGTATTGTCTTTTTCCATGCCTGTCACATCTCTATTGCTCGTTCATTTTTCTCTTTGTCCCTTACAGGGAGCATTGCCTATCTCTAGATTAAGCAAAAGTTGCATATTAACAAAGCACAATAACCTGCTCAATCTTTCTCACACAGAGAAATGTTTGTTAAGTAATTAACGTGTAGATGATGATACAAAGAGCTTGATTAAATTAGATGTCAAAATACCCTTGTGATTCAGAATATGAATGGTATTTAATTTCTTTGAAATCAATAATTGCTGAGTGACATTAATTAATGCCAATATTTCAGAAGTTGTTCTAGTTAGTGAAATGTATACAACATCCAAAAATTTCAGAACTCTGAAGGACAACATTATTCTATAGTTAAGAATTAAGAATCAATTCACATTAATTATTGGAGAGAAATAATTATTAAGAATTAATGACCGAGAAAATGTTTTCATTTTTTATTTAGAAAATTATTTTGTGCGTGAGCGTTAATGCAAGTTTTTCAAGAAACATACATTTAAAGAAACAATTATGTGCACAAGGTGAATTTAATAACATCTTGATATTTTCCACGATTAGAGTTTTATTTGGTAAATCTTTAAATGCACATCATCTAAAGATAATAAATGAATCTTGGAAATCTTGTAGGTAAGGATAAATATTAGGATGCATCCAATTACATTTACACACACATACAATTACATTCCCACCCATACATGCACACACACTCACTGATACACATGTGTGTATATATATACACATGAACTTACTAATTGATTTTAACTAATATTTATAAGAGCCAGTAGGATTGATATATATTGTTGAACCTGAAAAATATTTATTATATACATGTTTAATATACACACAGAAATATATAGTAATTGCACTAGGCTTTTGCAACTGTACTAAAATATAAGCTGTGAATATTTTGTGATCACTACAAATTCTTACACCGAATATTTTTATTTTTATAATATTAATATGTTTGGTACATGTGTACATTTTTTACAATGTGTTATTTTATTTTTGTCATAGAGTCATGTAAGGCATAATAACATTTCTGTCAAAGATGGATTACATATACAAAAGTGGTCCATGAGATTATAATACATATTTTTACATACTTTTCTGTGTTTAAGTATGTTTAGATACATAAACTCTTATCACTGTGTTCTTATTGCCTGCAGTATTCAGTACAGTAATGTAGTACACAGGTTTGTAGCCTAGGAGAGAGAGGCTCTACCATATAACCTAGACGTGGTAGGCTGTACAATCTAAGTGTTTGTAATATTCTCTGTGATGTTTACAAAATGATGAAATTGCCTATGGATGCATCTGTTAGAACGTAACCCTATCATTCAGTGATGCGTGACTGTACTAAAATGCTCAATCCAAGTTTCAATGCCCTCCATAAAATTGTTGTACTGTGAAATGCAAATCTCTCACCTATGGCCTGAACATGTTTGCAAACTAAGCAGATCATGGGAAGGAGAATGTGCTGGCATCGCTGGGATGATTTTCTCACACTACATGAATAATATCTCCAGACTTTTCGAATATGACCCACTTGCATAAAGTAGGCATCTCTTTGCTGGGAAATTTATCAAATGGGAGTGTGAATAGTTTTTAAAAGACACTTGTTTGTTTGTAGCCTGTAGGCCTACAGTGTCTCATGGTAATGGTTGAGGTTGCTAAGATTTGGTGGAAGGAGGCAAAATGAAATGGCCCCTTATATGGTATATGGATCACTTGTTTCTGTTCAGTTACAGATTCAGCTGGTTATTTCTCCCAATGTTAGTTATTTGGAGAAAAAAACATGACGGTAATTTTGGGGTAACAAACACAATATTTGATGAAAGCAAATTTATTAAGGGTTAGACAAACTACAAGATAATTTAGGCTGCAAAGTCAACACGAGACTTCTGACCCAAATTGTGCAGAGTTTGGGTCCAGCTGCAAAGTTCAAAGGAAGAGGCCATATAAGACGATTCTCACTTTTGACACCAACTGCAAGTTCAGGGGTTTCCCCAGAACACCCTCAGTTTCAAGAATTTACTAGAAAGACTCACAGAACTCATTGAATGCCATTGTACTCATTTTTTATAATAGAGAAAGGGTAGGAATTAGGACCAATCAAAGGAAGAGACATATCACATAAGGTGGAATCTAGGGAGATTTTGAATGTTAACTTTCCATTGTCTTCAGGACATATTACCTGCCATTGTTGTACAGCAATAAACATGGAGTACTACCAACCTGGGGAGCTCACCTGATGCTAAAAAGACACCATTTTGAAAATGAAAAGACAAAGGAAAGGATGAGATAAGATGACCTTCCACTTTAAGGCACTGGAAAAAAATAGCAAACTAAACCTAAAGCAAGCAGAAGGAAGAAAATAAAAATTAGAGAAATTAATAATTTATAATATTAATCATATTTGTTGGTATTGACTAATTGATATTAATTCCTGACTAACTTTTTTTAAAAAGAGAAATATTCACTTCCCAATTTATTCTGTGGGGCCAGTGTTACCTTGATATGAAATTTAGTCCAAATAGCATAGAAAAATAAAACTACTATTAGTATAAATGCAAAATTCCTTAAAAAATACTAACAAGTCAAATGTAACAACATATAAAATAATTATACACTATGACAAAGTGAAATTTATACTAGTCATCCCAGGTTGGTTTAACAGCCCAAAACCCATTAAGGTAATACATCTTATCCATAGAATAAGAAACAAGAATTGCGTGATCATATCGATAGATTCAGAAAAGACATTTAAGAAAATCCAAATGCTTTAATGATTACAAATAAAAATAAAAACTCAATGAACCAGGAATAGAGAACTTTCTACACCAGATACATGGCACCTGTGAAAAGCCAACAGCAAACATTCAACTTAGTGGTGAAAGAAAGGATACTTTCCCACAATGGTCGGAGATAAGAATAAGATATACACTTTGACCTCTTCTAGTCAACACTGTACTAAAGATTTTATGCACGGCAAATCGGCAAGTAAAGAAATAAGAGTCACCCATATTGAACAGGAAGAAATAAAACTTTATTTGCAAATAACATTCTTGTATATAGAAAATTTTAAGGCATCCACTGAACAATAGAACTAGTAAATTATTTCAGCAATATTACAGCATACAAGATAAATATACAAAAATCAATTGCAGACATCTACAATGAAAACCCCAAAATGAAATTAAGAAAACATTTCAATTTGCAACAGCATCAAAAAAATAATAATTAATTTGGAAAATGTGATACAAGATTTTACTCTGAAAATTAAAAATTATTGTTTAAAGAAGATCTAAATAATTAGCAAACATCTTACAGCCATGAATTGGAAGATTTAATATTATAGTACTTTACAATTTGAACTACAGATTTGATGAAATCCCTACAAGTATCCCAACAGACTTCTGTCTAGAAACTGACAAGGTGATTCTAAAATACACAGGGAATTGTAAGGGACTCAAAATAGCCAAAATAGTCTTGAAAAAAGAAAACATATTAGTATAATTCACACCTCCGTGCTCCAAACCTTACGAAAAAGCATCAGTAATCAAGACAACACAATACTGATGAAGGAAAAAATATAGATTGATGGAAGAGAATTGAGAGTCCATATATAAAACTATGTATCTATAGTCAATGGATTCTTACAGTGGTGCCATTTGCAATTCAATGAGGAAGAGACAGTCTTTGAACAAACTGGGTCAACAACGTACACGTGGATCACCACTTGCAAAATAATAAATTGGAACCCTTACGCCAAAGCATACAAAAATATTAACTCAAATGAATTAAAGACATACATGCAAGAGCTAGAATAAAGCATATGGGAAAATCTTCAGGATTTTGGATCTAGCAAAGAAATAGCTGTAACACCAAAAACATGAGCAACAAAATAAAAATTAGATATTTAAAATTTCTTAAAAATTAAAGACATTGGTGTTTCAAAGGACAACCAAGCAAGTCAAAAGGCAGCCCAAAAACTGTGAGAAGATATTTGAAAAACACATATCTATATGTCTGTGTATATATGTATCTTGAATACAGAAAAACTGTTTTAACTCAGTAACAAATATCCCAACTCAAAACTGATAAATGATAGGAATAGATGTGTTTCCCAAGAAGATACACGAACGGTCAATAATCCCATATAAACGTACTCAATAGCATCACTCATCAGGCAACTACAAATCAAAACCACAGTTAGACACTCTATGGTTAGAATTGGCCACTTTGGAAAATACTTTGATGGCTTCTAAATATATTAAACATAGAATTGTCATATGACCTAGAAATTTATTCCTAGGTATACACCCAGATTATTGGAAAGAGGTGTTCAAACACAAATTGCACACAAGTATTTTTAGCAGCAGTATTTAAAATAGCCAAAAACTGAACATAACTCAAATGTCAATAAAAATATTATTGGATAAACAAAATGTTCTATCCGTGAAATTGAATATTATACAGTTATAAAAAGAAATAAAGTACCAATACGTATATGAACCTTGATAGCATTATGCCAACTGAAAGAAGCCAGGCACAAAAGGCCACCTATTGTATGACTCTATTTAGATGAAAATAGAATAGGAAAATCTATAGAGACAGAAAACAGATTTGTGGTTGCTTAGAATTGAGGAGGGGATGGATGCATAGGAGGTTAACAGCTAAAGAAGGTGGGGTTACTTTTTGAAGTGATGAAAATGCTCTAAAATTCATTGTGATGATGGCTCCACTTATCTGTGCATATACGAAAAGCCATTGACTTGTAGACATTAATGTGTGCACTCTACACTATGTAAATTATATCTCAATAAATCCTTTCAAAAATACACAGAAGTGTAAGGGGTTTTGGAGTGTTGCAACTGGGAGGCAGTTTGAAATACTGAATAGACCTCATTGAGAGTGTGAGGTTTCAGTAAAGACTTGAGGAAGTTGAATGAGCTGATCAATGGATATATGGAGGGTTATCTTTCCAAGCCAAGAAATTAACTAGTCTTCGTCATAAAACAGCAGCATGTTGGCATGTCCAGAGGACAGTGAGGTGGCTAGGAACACTGGTAAGATCAAGGGTGAAGATATAAAAGAATTTGGGCGGTTAACATGCGGCAGATCATGATGGGCTTGCAGACCATTGTAAGAATTGTGGCTTTTAGTGTAAATGAAATGGGGAGACAAATCATTACCCCATTATCAATATTTTAATAAATTGGGTCCATGAACGAAATACAATGAGATTAAATCAGTTAGAAATAATATGCAAATTTGTATTAAAATCACAAGAATTACTTGCACATTTGAGAACAGGAGAGTCATGACTGTTTATCAGCAATAATAAACATTATTAATTTTAATTGTGATCAGCTAATTGAGATTAATTGCAATACATCATGCTTTACAATGTGACTGTCCAAAGGAAAATATGATTGTAATCTTATACTACATCTATCAATGTCTTTAATTCATAGGACTATAGAGTAAGCCCCTAGTTTTCAAAGCCAACTTATGAGGCAGTGACATCTTACACAAGTTTGCTGCTTTCTGCCACAGTGGTCCTTGGTCAGCTGGCACAAATTGTTTTACAAATGCCACTAGGTCTAAAAACAGTTTGGATCACAATGAACACAGAAACACCCTCTTCCCTTCAGAAATACCCATGAATTACTTCCAATACAGAATGAAAAATTGACAAAAGAAATATGTTGATTGTAAAAATGCCAGTTAGCTTGCATCTACATGAAAGAAAAATGCCAATTTTATTACTTTAGATCATTGTTTTACATCAGTTTTGGTATAGCACAATGTTGAACCAAGGGCAAAGAGAGATGAATTAATGAAGTCTTAAGATATCAAGAATTTAAAAGAAAAGGAAGGTCATATTTGAAGGTTAGTGACATAGCATTCATCTTCTGTGGTCACTTTTTCCGTCATTCCCTGTATGCCTGATGGACAGCTTTCACTCAAGTTCAGAGAACAGCATGCAAAGATTAGCTACCAATTAATCTGTATGAAGTGAGCTTAATTTCTAGCCAGACTGAGCTTACGTTTTAGCAGGAAGCATTTTTGGGAAGTGTTTATGTTAGAGTTTGCCCTTCTTGACAAGGTGAGACATAAATGTCTACTTTGTAGACATGAATTAAGATGGGAAGATATTTGGGGGAAACATTTACTCAAACGCTAAATAATAAAGGCACACAAAGGGCAAATTATACTAGATTTTTTCCCGCTTGTTTTCTACGTCTCATGCAATTCACCTTGATTCCCTTCAGTTTCTGTTTAATGTAGAAAGTGGCATTTTCATTACTTTAAGCTTCTAGCACAATGAAAGAATTTCTCTCTTTCATGAACTGCATCATAAACGAAAGGGAGGAAGAGTGTCCTATATCAATCATATTTATTGTTCAACAAAACACTGCTCCACGGCTTAAATTCAGTTTAAAAAAGAGAGTTTATTGAATATCTAACACATACATAAAAGGTAGTAAAGACAAATGAGAAGGGGGCAGGTTATTGAAGTATACAGACTTTAATGCTGAGTTTTGTATCTTAGGAAGTTACTCCACCTTACAGAGGCTCAATTTCCCCTGATTTAGGAAGGCGATGCTAATGGGTATTGCCTTGGTGTATGTATAAAAATGTTGTATTTAAGAGAATCCCACAAGCTTGGTATAAGGCAGAAAATAAATAGATATGACATGAATAAGTAGTTTATTACATTTGTATGCTACCTGCAGACTAGAGGAAGCAAGAAACACAGCCACTATGCTTGATTAGCATTATATTCTAATTTGGAATATAAATAGAAAAGAGAAAAATAGAAAGCTGTGTATAAACACGTGCATTAAAATTAATTTTATGTGGACTCTTTCATGAAAATGTTCCTAAGGTATTTTATTTTTTATTGTGGTAAAATAAACATAACATAAAATGTACTCTGTTAACCATTTTAAGTGCACAGTTCAGTGGTACTAAATACAGTCATAACATTCTGCAGCCATCCCTACCATCCATCTCCATAACTCGTTTCATCTTGTGAAACTGAAACTCTATACCCATTAAACAATACTTCCCCATGTCTTCCTCCCCCCAGCTTCTGGCAACCATCATTGTACTATCTCTGTGATTCTGTCCACTTTAAGTTCCTTATACAAATGGAATTATACTGTATTTGTCCTTCACTGACTAACTTATTTCACTTGGCATAATATCCTCAAGTTTCATCCAAGTTGCAACATATGTCAGAATATTTCCCTCATGTTTAAGGCTGAATAATATTCCACTGTATTCATATATCATATTGTGCTTATCCATTCATCTGTTGTTGGACACTTCAATTGCTTCTACGTTTTAGCTATTGCCAATAACGCTGCTGCAAACATGGATGTGCAAATATTTTTTCAAGACTCTGCTTTCAATTCTTTTGCTATCCTGAGATGTGGCGCTGCTGAATCATATGGCAATACCATTTTGATGTTTTGAGGAACTACCATACTCTTTTCCGCAGCAAACATAGCGTTTGGCATTCCCTCCAATACTGCAAAACGAATGGCCACATCCTTGGCTGTAGATTTTATTCACAAGTCCTGTGGCTCTCTCTACATCCTGGCCACCATGTGTTATTTCCTGTTTATGTATATGACATCAAAGATGCAGGAAGTAATGAACTAAATTGGAAGGATAAACGTAGAAAAATAGAGGTAAATACTGACTACATAAAACCATAAGAATAAGAATTTTGGATGATCTATCTATTATATATCTATTTATCTAACATCTATCTGTTCCTCCATCTGTAATTAAAATATATTACAGTTAGAGAACAGAGGAAAAAGGAGGAAGACATGTATTTAAATTTTAATTCTTCTTAAATTGTCTCACAGCATCATTATAGGAAAGAAAATTTATAGGTCAATATCTGTTAACTATAAATGTAACATTCTTAAAGAATTCAAATATATTGATTTACAGCATGAATAATATATTACAATCCATTCAAGTTTATTTTATTCCAGGAATACAAAGCTACAAATTTCATTTGCAATTCAAGAAAAACAGAAATTGATACATATGATTGATGTATATACACACTTAATGTATTTTTAAATATACATTTTTTTAAATAGAAATTTTTCTAGGACAAATACTTAAAATATCACTGAAAAAAGCGTTATTAGCTAATACCTCCCTAATAACTCTGGTATTACATAAGAAACCAAAATTAAAATTTCAGGTAAACTCAGAAACTAAAAATTTTAAAAATATTATTCTGTTCTCCATATGTTCATAATTAATATTATTTCTTGTTTTCATTCGTCTTCAGTGTTGCTCTACTAAAATATAACATACAATACTAACTTTTGGTTTCTGTTCTTATTACTCAGAATTGTATACATTTTCTCATGCTCTTAATTTAGTTATGCTACTTTTCTGTACTCTTGGAATTTTCACATTTGTGTTCACTCTCTTTTGAGTTCCCATAGTATCAAATGAGCTTTTTTCCCTCTTTCTGATTTGAAGATTCATCTTCTCATAATTATTTTGTCCACTCAGTTTCTTTTCATTCTCAGTTAAGTGCCTCTCATCTGGCTTCTTTTCATTTATAAGGTTTCCTTTCATCTTAAGCCAGTCTTTCATTTATATTTTGATTCTGTTTTGTGAAGGACATGCTTCCCTGAATTTTATGGAAGAGGCCAAAAGGTTTGTTCAAGTTTTTACCTGATACATTGGATTAAATTATCTAATGTACACACTCTTAATTTAAGTCTAGGGGTGACTGTCTACTCTTGATTTGTATAGTATTATTTTTCTTAACATCCAAGTCCATCTTCATCTATTTGTATAAGATCAATGAAAATATATTTGCCCAGAACCCTGTTTTTGCGGAGTTACTTCTTTCTAAGTAGTAGAGGTAGCAGTTGAGACATGAGCTGGGTTCTGAGTCAGTTTAGAGGGCTGGGTGACATTCCTCCTTTTGGTCTGTATGACTGAATGAATGCAGTTCTTGCTGTCTCGCTCCTCTCCTTAACACACTGAGCCTTTGCAGCAGATGAGAAGGAATAATCTTGATCTGCCATTCAGGTGGAACACATGTTCTCTCCAACCACACCCATAGGTTGTACTCACACTCGGCCAGAAGGTATCCTGTCAATGATATGGAGATGTATCTATCTATCTAGATAGATATCTACTTTGGTTTATGCTCTCTGGTTTCCCGTAAATTATCTCCTTAAAGTGAATATCAAAAGAGAGCTTGGTGATGGCAGTGTTATAAAATCTTCAAAATGCAGCACCCACACCCAGAGGAATTTGTAGATTCTGGGATTCTAATTCAGATACCAAACTATATAAAAGGGGAATTGGTAATTGAGGGTTGCTAGGCTCTTTGTTGAGCATATTTGCTCTTTTCGTGACATTGAAATTATTTTAAAAATCTAACCTTTTTCTCGGTGTGCTGCAAGATGATTTTATTTTAATGCATAAGCACTAATTCTCCCCTAAGATTTGTACAATATATTTCCTCTGACAAGCCATAGCCAGTAACTCACTTCACAGCAATTTATAGCATTTCCACGATAAGTTGAATTATTTTTAACTAGACTCTCTTTGCCTTAATACAAATATGAAGAAGCAATCTACTTGTTCTAATTAGGTTCAAAAGTTGGCAGTCTCTCTCCTGGAAAGAATAATAAAACTTTTCAACAGCCTAATATGCATCTATAGACACACACACACGCAAGCACTATTCATAAAACTTAAAGCACATTCTGTTCTATGACTTCATTTGTCTCGCACAAAATAAAACGATCTCAGTATATGTCAAGTACCAATTTTTTATATGGCCAATTATAGATATTTTATTTTTTAAAAATTAGGGTGTTCTTGAAGCTCTTTCTATTTCTTTGTCAATGAACTAAACATTGGCAAATATGTAGGGTTGCCCACGTAAGAACATTATTAACATCAAAATAGAAAGCTGGTGGTAGAAATAATGATTGGGAACACAGAGTCTCTTCTCAACTTTCTAGTTCTGTCATACCATAACTTTGTGATCTCAGGAAATATCTCTCCATGTTGTCATCTCTATGTATAGTTTTGTCATTTTTCAATACGAGCTTTTTGCTTAATTATGAAGTACTAGTTACTATAACCATTATTTTGAGCTTCATGTAAATCAAGAACACATGGACTCCACTTGCAAAACATTGAAAGTGTAGTTAGGGATTGGGGGCATAAAGCAACATTTTAAAATGTGTAAAGACAATGAGTAAGCAACAAAGTGTCCAATTTTTTATGGGAAAGTTGCTTACATCAGGAAAAGACAGGATTAAGTAACAGAGAATTTGAATGATAACTGGCCAATTGGTGTCATTTACAATTGCAAGTCATACAAATGAAGTTTGCTTTTTTAAAGAGAAAAGGAGTTATTTAGAATGGGTCAACCTATTGGGGAAGCAATGTAGTTAGAGACAATGCCCAAAACCATGTGAGCAAATACTCTGTAGAGCGCACCCCTGCAATGCTGCCATTGTGAGGCCAATTCTCTCCTTGTCTTGCTACTGAGCCCTCCATTCTGCCTCCATCATTGTCACTGTAGCTGCCACAAAATGATCCCTCAACCACCGCTGCCCAGGAACAAAGAAAGAATTCTGTCCTTCTGCGCTCTCAGATCAATTTCCAACAGCAGGTGAGCCTTTGATGGGCACTGTTCAGTTCCCATATCCCTGAAATAGACGCAGTAAAAACATAGAAATTGCCTATGTGTTTCCCAGTAAGACACATATGGAAGCCTGTTTTCCCACAACAGGAAGGGGTTTGCATGATGGGTGTTCAAAGGAACAATAGTCCCTGTAAACCATACTTTGCCCATATGAAGAAAAGCAATAAGGATTATTTAATAAATAGACATGGAAGCTCATCCAGGGTTGGTTGATGAGAAGCTGGTTAGCAAGGGGTCTGCCTTCAGTTAGGACAAGGTCTGTGCTTCCCATGGGTTCTCTCCACAGCAGGAGGGAGGAAAACTTCCCTTTCCTCCCCTGCACCTACCCTCAAATGGCCCAGAGGTCTTCAGGTGCTAGAATTTCTCAATTAATGCTACACAAAATAACAGACAGCCTTGACTGTCACAGTCTGTTCTCATGAAGCTAGTCTCTGCTCACTACATAAAATAGGAGAGTAAGAACAAGGGTGTTTAAAGCTACCCTAGCTCAAACGTGTTTCTCTCCGTAGGATGCCAAGAACCTGGGAACCAGTGCATCTGCTGCTTTCCCTTCTCGGATTCTACCACAGACAAAAGAGGCAAGGGGCATTTCTTCAGAGGCCTTGAGCTTCACTACACAATGACCGAGGCTCTACATGCACCCTCTTTATATATTTCTACCTTGAAAAAAATTTTTATATAATATTAATAATATATATTTTTATATAATAAACACATATGTTTATTTTATAGATAGATATAGATATACATAGATAAAGATCTCTAGTCAGCCTTTTTTAAGGCTGGGCTGATCAAGGTGCCTCAAAAGTATAATCCCAGCACTTTGAGAGGCCAACTTGGCCAGATCTCTTGAGTCCAGGAGTTGGAGATCAGCCAGGGCAACATGGTGAAACTCCATCTTTACAAAAATTAGCTAGTATGGTGTCATGCACTGCAGTCTCTGCTACTCAGGAGGCTGAGGTGGGAGAATCGCTTGAGCACAGTATGTGAAGGCTTCAGTGAGCTCTGATCACATGACTGCACTCCATCTTGGGTGACAAAGTGAGACCCTCTCTCAAATAAAATAAAATAAAATAAAAAGGCTATCACCATACTCACAGATAAGTGTGTCAGGTATATTTGCTGCTATCTTTCCTATATTCCATTTGGTAAAAAAAAAATTGCAAAGAACTCCTCTCATTCTAGATTTTTGTATTAATTAGACATTTGAAGTTTATAGCAGAAGAGCTATAATCATGTTTTGTGTGTGTACTCTATAGACCAGATAGTGCAAACAGGTATCAATGCTTTTTAAAAGTATATAAGGTTATTAGAAATATTTTAAACTACCTATAGGTATATATGTATGTAATTGAACTATCAAATGCAAGTAAGATCATTTCCTTAGCGTGTGAAATCCACTCAATTTATTAAAATATTTTCTAATATCTATTACAATAATATTTCTTAATTAGCTAACATAAGAGAAGTTTTAAGACATTTATTTATATGTACTTACTAGATTCAAACTTGATTCCACTATTTTCAGAAATCATACTCTGAGACAAGTCCTTTTTTTAATCTAACTATGTTTCTGCCTATATTAAAAGACAGATATGTCAATTTTGCTAATCGTGCTTTTCCAAACCTCTCCTTCCTGATTATTTTTTGGTTTGTTCCACCAGTCACTCAGAGACTTACTTATATTCAAATTTCTCTCTAGGTTTAACATTTGTGTATGTCTTCTTGGTTTTGTCTATTTTTGCTGTATATATTTTATTGACATATATCATACATGCAGAAAAGTACAATGATTAAATATGGATAGCTTGATTAATGAAACACATGTATTTGCTTATAACCATGTATGAAAATAGAACATTATTAAAAATAGTGATACTTCTCCTGCCCCTTTCCAAACACTAACCCTCATCCTCAATAGTAACAGATTTTTTTATCATACAGTAATTTGGTCTATTTTCAAATTTTTATTAAATAAATCACAGTATCTAAGTCTATGTTTCTTTCATTGTTGTTATTTTGCTTATAGTATTTATCTGCTAATGGACATGGTAGATTAAAGACGGCTACATACACATTTTTTAATTAATAGATTTTTTGAGCACTTTGTGGCTCATGTCTCTAATCCCATCACTTTTGGAGGCTGACGTGCGTGGATCATGAGGTCAGGAGATCGAGACCATCCTGGCCAACGTGGTAAAACCCCTTCTCTACTAAAATACAAAAAATTAGCTGATAGACTAACATCAAGATAACATCTGGGTTCTTAGCTACACTGAGTGAAGCCTACTTACATCTTTGTCTTCCGCTGCACTTTTGCTTCCACATCACACTCCAGGAATGCCAAGCTGTGCTGGCCTTCTACCCCATTTCCACTATTTTGTCCCGGCCGCAGCGGGTTTTTGTGGCTTTTTGCCCCCGCCACCGCTGCTTTCTGCCCCCGCCACCACGGCTTTTTGTCACCCCCGCCACGGCTTTTTGCCCCCGCGGGTTTTTGCCGCCATGGCTGTTTGCCCCCGCTGCCACGGCTTGTTGCCCCCGTCGCGGCGACTTTTTGCTCCTCCCACCTTAGGTTTTGTCTATTTGTACTATTCATGGGACTGCAGTTCTGGGAACTTAGTACTGGGTACCTAGTCAAGGAGGCATAAAAAAGCTTTGGTTATATCTATGCCTTTATCTGAGCTTGAAAGGGGAGAAGAGGTTTGGAATAGGAACATTGGAATATTTTTTAAAAGTGGCTCGCCTAAGAAGAAAAACAAAAAGGGAGTAATAATGGCATTGTGTAGGACAAAATGACGTGCCCTGGGGCTGTGAAGGAGAGTGTGAGTGTAGAAGAAAGGGCAGTGCTCAGACAGGCTGGGATTAAAACACTTCTTTGCCCAGGATAAAAAGAGGACCAGAGGTGGGATGGCCTGCAGAGGGCATGTTCTTCTACAAAGCCAGCACCCTGAGTCCCACCGTGTTCCTCCTGCAGGAGGGGAGGCCAGATTTGCTATTTTTCTGACTCTTCTGCTGTCACACCTGCCAAATGCTGCCAGTGGGCACTACCAGAACCTGGACACTCTTGGGCCAGCTGCCAAACAAGTGTGCCAACGGGAGAAAGAAGGAGAGCTCTGTGACGAGCAAGCCCTGACACTTTGTTAGGCCAACTGGTTTCTTAGGTTGCGTCTTGGTTCCTGGAACCATCTTGTACCTTGTGAATCTCAAAGTGGGATGTGGAATGCCTGCCAAAGGGAAATGTCAAGTGTGCTGGTCAAGAAAAAGGATTTTATAACTTTTTGGGCTTTTGATTTTTTAATTTTTTTTTAAATATGTGGTCTTTCACTATGTTGCCCAGGCCGTCCTTAACTCCTAGGCTCAAGTGATCCTCCTGCCTTGACTTCCCAAAGTGCTGGGATTACAGGCATGAGCAACCTCATCTAGGCTATAACTTTTTAAAATTGTGGGAATGTTGCCTTTACTTCAAAAAGGGGGAACAAGAAGAGAAAAGGGAAGAAAGGGATAGAGAAAAGTAATACTTTATTTTAGCACAGAGGTAGGAGAGGCTAAACCATGAAATTACACCTAGTGTTGGGATGTCCTGGGGAAAGGGGTGGAGGCAAGTGACTCTGTCTTGCTGATTTCAGTCTCCCCTGATGTCACTGAGGGACTTGGACTATGAGCAGAATTGGGGCAGGAGGGGCTCCAGAGAAGCCCTCCTCAAGCATGGGGGCTTCCAGCCTAACTTACAGTTCCAGGGTTGTTTGTGGTTGTTTTTAAATATCATGGACCAGCAAAATTAAAGAAAAATAACCTGAAGACAATACTGAATCACCCACTTTTTATTTTGCCAGGGAGAGAATCCCAGAGCTTCAATTATAACATTATCAACACAGTATCATTTTAACATCTCTCACCTCCATTGAAAAAACACACAACTGCATGATAAAAAGAGTCTAAGAAAGTTCAGCTGACCTCCAGACTGATTATTTGGAAAGATTATATATAGCCACTATAGTTAAATACTGATACTTACAAATACACATCCATAAGTGCTTATGTGTGCATACAAATGATTGTGTGTGTATATACTATGAAAGGAAAATAAATCTTGGGACCCCAAACTCTCTAAGGCAAAGGGGAAAGTTAAGCTGGGAACTGGGTCATGCAAACCTGCCCCCCAGTTTTGTTCCTAAATAAGACAGTTACAGAGATGAAAGGGTATATACCTCCCTCACAATTTTCCCACAAGGGAATTCCTGGTTGGCCCCACAATCTTTACCCTAAAGCAGTTCTGTTGAATTTCACTCTGACCGTGTAAATTCATTGCTGATCTTCTCAGGTATGGGACAAAGGACAGAACTGAAAAGTCATCTCTCCACTCACCTGAGACAAATGCCTATCTTACTGCCTCCTCTACCCTCTGTTTATTTAAGGTTATGTAATAATGCAGATTCACTGAGGACAAGTTGAATGCGTAAGTGACTATTCTCTACCCCCTGTCACATGTAAAATGTAGATTCAGAGAATGCTGATCCAAGACTAAAAAGATGCAACCTCTTGCCACTTTTATCTACCACCCTTTAAAAAGATTTTCCTCCTTCCTCTTTCCCCCAATACCTGCTTTTTTCCCTTTAAATATTGAGGTCCTCAGATTCTCTTTGGAAAAAAGCACAGACCACAGATTTTTCCTATGATTTTGTGTTCTTTTGTCCTAGGCATGTCCTTAACCTTGGCAAATAAACCTCTTAAAATACTTGTGACTTGTCTCTGTCATCTTTGATTTACAACACACATACACTGAGACGTATGAATAGGTTTAAAATATAAATACAAAAAAATAGCATCCATTTATTGACGGTATTATATTGCAGGTGATTTTTTAGAAGTGGGTCAATTAGAGGTTCATGTTGAACAGTGCAACATGACGTATAGCTCAAATATCTACTTGTAGACATTTTTCTGACCACATTTTAAATATAAGCTTATGCATAAGCCTCCTGATGAAAATGGAAGCACTATGGTTAGCTGATGCCGTGAAAGTGGTGGAGGCAGCCCGGCAGAGCTGGCTACAACTTCAGGAAAGGGGGTGCTGAAGGACACACTCTGCTTTCAGAGCCCTGCGGGGCTGCATCTGAAGAGTGGTTGCCCAGAGCAAGCATCTGAGAAGGCTGCTGCACACAGCAAAGCTTGGTCATGAGCCAGCTCTGCTTCTGGACCTGGAGTTTATGAACCAGTCACCAATAGAGCTGGAATGAGAAGATTGAGAAGTGTTGCAGAAAGTTCCAAGGTCTTCTGAGCCTTTGAGACATGATAATATGAAGAGGCAGAAGCCAACGTATCATAAGAAAAAAATAAATATACTTAGCATCAACCTCGGTGACCAGTGGGAGTTCTCGTCTCTAGCATCCATTAGAATCACCTGGGGAGCTTAACATCTAAAAGCAGGTCCCACTCCCAGAGGTTGGGATTTAATTGATTTGAGGTGGGGCCTGGGTAGCAACATTTTCTTTAAAGCTCTCCAAGTGATTCTAACATGCAGCTAACTTGAAAACCACTACTTCAAAGACAGAAAAGGATGCAGGAAAAATTCCCTCTCATCAGAGGTTGTGAAACTGATTCCCAAATTCTTAAAATTCCCTCTCATCAGAGATCTGCTAACTATTTGCAGTAGGACAAAACATTCTACTATCAACCGAAAGAAATAAAAATATTCTACCCCAAAATGTATTTCTTTGACATAGTTTGAGACTGCTTGCTCAGAGACCCAGCAAACAGAAGTAACTCTGCAAAGCTGTCTTTTGTGGGGGACTTTGACACCTACAGAGAATCTAAATTGATGCAGCCAGGCCTCCCCTTGCCCCACTCTAAAAGAAAAATAATGGAGAGTTTGACACCTTTAAAGGTTTAAGAAGAAAAAAAGCATTTACCATCTATTCTTTCTTTCTCTCTCTCTCTCTTTTTTTTTTTTTTTTTTGATGGAGTTTCACTCTTGTCACCCAGGCTGGAGTACAATGGCATGATCTCGGCTCACTGCAACTTCCACCTCCCAGGTTCATGTGGTTCTTCTGCCTCAGCCTCCTAGTAGCTGGGATTACAGGCAACTGCAACCATGCCCAGTTAATTTTTGTATATTTTAGTAGAGACGGTGTTTCACCACGTTGGCCAGGCTGGTCCCAAATTCCTGTCCTCAGGTGATCCACTCGCCTTGGCCTCCCAAAGTGCTGGGATTACAGGTGTGAGCTACTGCGCCCAGCCCCATCTATTGTTTTTGAGGGCTGCTACCTTTGCTAGCCAGGCCTCCTCTTCTCTCCCTCCCATAACCTGTTCTGCCATCATTACCTGTTTCTGAACCCCCATTTTTTCTGTACATCAAGATGATATATAAGCTTCTACACTCCCCTGGTGGTTGGGGTAATCACTCTGTGGTTCTCCCTTGTGTGCATGTTTATAAATGTTTACGCCTTTTCTTCAATTAATCAACCTTTTGTGACTTGATTTTTAAACAATCCTTTAGAGGGTGAAGGGAAAGTTCTCTCTTCACCCCTACACAGTTGTGTAGGGATTCTCTTTTTTCACTGAAAACCTCACCATAGTTAACAGGCAAAAAGACACCCTGCTCATCAAAACACCAATGAGATGGTACAATGTAAAGTAGCATTATGAAAGCCACAGGCATTAACACAACAAATGTCAACAGTACAAAAATTCCACAGACCACCTAGAAGCCACCAGCCCTTGGTTACCTTGGGAAGTGTCTGCCTGTGTGATGGGTGGGGTTGGCGTCAAAGCTGGCTGAAGGCAGAGCCGGGGCTTCACAGCTTTGGAGCATTGATTCCGCACCAGACACTAGGCATACCACACATTCTTGGTATAAATGATCTCATCTAATGTACGTTTGTTCACTCTGCCTTGGCCGCACAGTCCTCCTGTTACTTGTCAAATATGCCAGCCATGTCACCACCCTTCTTCCACCTGGAATCCTCTTCCCCAGATATCTACCTTTTTCAAGTCTTTGTCCAAAATCCACAGACTCTGTCATGGCTGTCTGAATACCCGATTTAAAGATGTCCGCAGTTGCTCTCTCTTCCTATTGATTTCTTTGTGCTTGTGCTACACTTTCTTCTTTTCAGAGCTTTTATCACTTTCTAGCATCTGTCTATTTATCAGCTATATATCTATGTGATATGGTTTGGTTCTGTGTCCCCACCCAAATCTCATCTCGAATTGTAATCGCCACTTGTCAGAGGCCTGGTGGGAGGTGACTGGATCGTGGGGGTGGATTTCCCCTTGCTGTTCCCATGATAGTGAGTGAGTTCTCACAAGATCTGATAGTTTAAAACTGTTATTTATATCCACTTCCTACTTCACTCTCTCTCTCCTGCTGCCACGTAAGACATGCCTTGCTTCCCCTCAGCCTTTCACCACAAGTGTAAGTTTCCTGAGGCCTCCCCAGCCATGCAGAACTGTGAGTCAATTAAACTTCTTTTCTTTATAAACTACCCAGTCTCAGGTAGTTCTTTATAGCAGTGGACTAATACATATGTGTATATATATACATGCATGTATGTGTGTATGTATGTATCTATTTATCTACCTATCTATATTACTGTTTATTATCTGTCTTCCCCATTAGACTCTAAGCTCCACAAGGACAGACAGTCTCTCTCTTCCACTAGACAATGTCTAACCATGCCTGGCATTTAGTCAATAAATATTTGATGAATTAACAAAAATATGTACTAACACTACAGTAAATTATTATTGTTATAATTATTTAACATAAATCTTCGCTAAAAAATAAATGCTTTATTCTTTAATAAAAAGAAAACAAAACAGATAAAGGAAGAAACTGAAAATAGAGAGAAGGGGGAAAAAAAAACTCCAGGTGGCTGTTGCTGATATTTGTATCATAAAATTATGAGCTTTGTGATTAATGGAAATATAAAAGTCACATGTGTGGCTCATAAAACTGAGGCTGGGTGATTTATATCCTCAGTTATTTTCATTATCCTCCCTTTAAGTAATTGTTTTTTTTTTGTAGTTTCCAAAGTTGACACCTGATATTCACTTTCCTCAATTTATCAATAGGAATCTGACATCCCAAAGGCTAATGTCTTGATTTTAAAACAGAAATCCCTTCCAAGAATTGCTCCCAAAATACATGCAGGTTGTTTCACTGCCTTGAAGAGTGAATATGCCTCTCTAATATTTATTAGGAGTTATTCTGAAAATAAACGGAATACAACAAATCACTCCAGTTCCTTTTGCTGACAATGCCTGCAGCCTTTCTCCAGTTCCCTAGGTGCATTGGAACTGCTGTCCCCATTCAGAATTCTGCATGCAAGCCTGCAATCTCTAAAACTCTTACGCAGCAGGAAAGCACATTTAAACATTTTACCTTTGCTCCCAGTGTAACAATAGAAAAAAATTTTATATTTTTACAAGATTTTCACTCTTCTAGTACTAAAATGTTTAAATGGACTCTGCATAGAGGATCAGAGGTTTTCCAGATGGTCAGAAGATGATTATGGCAGGCAAGGAAGAAGCAGAAAAGTCATACATGACTTGATAAAACAAGATATACAGTTACCAAATGTAGTGTGTTCAAGACAGGAGACTGTGAAATCATTATATTTTCAAAAAAGAGAGAGTAAGTACATCCCTGTAGAGTCAGATCTTTGCAGTTAAGCATCAAAATCTTTATCTTTACCAGATGCATAAAATGGAAAATACAATTTTGACACAGAGAGAAGGAAACACAACCAATTTCAGTTTTACCCTCCCCTTCACAAAAAAGCAATTTGTTGTAAATGCATTTAAAGAGGCACCCTTCACCACTACTTTCAGGCAAATGACAGCAGGTTAAAATGTAAAAAGAGCTTTCAGTCCAAATCCAAAATAAGGAATAAATCCAGATAATGTCAACTCACGTGAGTAAAAAGCAAGATGATTTCATTAGAATGATCAAAGGCAGTACAGAATTTCCATTAAAAAACGAATTTGCACGCTAAGCAAAAGTGATTTCAATTACTTCTTGCTAAAAACAAAGTAAGTTTGTAAAGTGCATACTTTGCGTGAAATCACCTTTGCAAAAACTGTGACAGCAAAAGAAATATGACCTAACTGACTCTATCTTGCTTCCAATCTCCAAGCTGCCCTGTTCTTTCCTGGGTGTAGGTTGAACTAAGTTTAGAAGAAATTTAGTTTATTGTTTAACTTTGAAGTAAACATGATAATAGCCCCTCCCTAAAACAAACCTCTTCTTTGATTGAGGACCACACCGCCTTTGTAAAACTAACAAATCATCCACAAGATTAAGAATTATGTCTCAGGAGTCAGGCAGCCAGAGGCCAAAAGATTCCTAACGTCTCCAATTTCTCCCATAGATAATATTACTACTATAAAACCTAAAATTGATGTTTGAGTATTTTTCAGACTCTGCATTCTGATGGACCAGCTGGCCCCACCCAGATCAGTTAACTGGCTGATCAGGTCTTGTGGCCACCACCCAGGAACTGACTCAGCCCAAGAGGACAGCTTCAACTCCCTGTGATTTCATCCCTGACCCAAACCAATCATCATTCTCCATTGCCTAGGCTCCTGCCTGCCTAAATATCTTTCAACAACCCTAGTCTCTGAATTTCAGAGAAGCTGATTTGAGTATTAGCAAAACTCTGGTCTCCTGTTTAGCCAACTCTATGTGTATTAAACTCTTTCTCTATGGCAATTCCTGTGTCTCAATAAATTGGCTCTATCTGGGTAGCAGGCAAGAAGAACCCACGGGGTGGTTACCAGTGCTGTGAAATGTGTATCGAGCATAAGGCTAGAAAACATCCTACACCTCCAGAAAGTGGTCCTATGTCATCCATAAAAGTAAGCACAAACTCTAGTTTATTATTTTCCAATCTTACTACATTCTAAAATAACTATTTATACACCAATGTGCTGTAACTGTAAAGCAGGGATCTAAATGATGTTGACTGGGCTGACTCCATAGGTAAGGGTGTTAAGCCTGCATGGTGAGATATATATATATAGGGAGCGAGAGGGAGAGAGAGAGAGGGGTGGGGAGTAGAGAGAGGGAGAGAGAGGCAGAGAAGGAGAGAGAGAGTGGGGGAGGGGGAGAGAAGAGAAAGAGAGTCAGAGTCAGTCTTGCTCTGTCACCAGGCTGGGGTACAGTGGCACGATCTCGACTCACTTCAACCTCCACCTGCTGGGTTCAAGTTGTTTTTTTTTTTTTAAATTGAACTTGAACCCTTTCATGCTGGCAAGCATGGACTCTGGTCCTCTACAAATTCTAGCCCTTGCTACAGTTTACACATTTCCCAATGTCTGGACCTTGAGGGTTTCTGTAACCTGGAGTAATCAGAATGGGCAGAAGACATCCACAGACCTACACCTTCCCTGCCATACCAGAGCTCTCAGAACTTATGGGAAGCTCTTCTTAAACTACTTCAAAAGCCAGTTATAAGTCAGAAATTCTTATTTTATCAGAGTCACATAGCATTTATTTTTCTTTTTATTATTCTTAGAGCTGGGATCTCACTCTGTCACCCAGGCTGTAGTGCAGTAGTGCCGTAATACCTCACTGTAACCTTGAACTCCTGGGCATAAGTGATCTACCCATCTCAGCCTCCTGAGTAGTTGGGACTACTGGCATGTGTCACCACATCTGGCTAATTTTTAGAGACAGGGTCTCATTATGTGTCCAGGATGGTCTTGAATTCCTGGCCTCAAATGATCCTCCCCCCTCCCTCCCAAAGTGCTGTGATTACAGGTGTGAACCCATGTGCCTGGCCTCACATTGTTGTGATCAGAAATAAAATTACTCAGGTTGTTCATGCCCCACTTTTTCAAAAGCATTTGCTGGGAAGGGCTTTGACTGGTTTCTGAAAGTCCCAAGTATCTGCTAAGTATATGCATACTAAAGATAAAGGTACTGTGGCTGCTAAGTATATGCATACTAAAGATAAAGGTACTGCGGCTCAAAGTTGTTCTTCCTTTAGGTGAAAACATGAGGTCGTGCTAGAGTCATAAGAGTCAGGGACTGGATTCCTGGTCCCTGTTTGTATGTGGATAAGTTAACTGACTTCTTTCAGTCTAATCAAAATGAGAGAAGATATCGTTTATTTAAAGATCCTGACATATACTCCTTCAGATAAGCCTTAAATCCTCCCCCGTCCCTCCTTCTGGCTTAGGAAAACATACAACTAAAAACTACAGCCCAATCTCTGCTTGAAACTTTGCACTGCTGAAAAAGATCTTGATATTTTGCTTATATTCTCTTTTGGTTATTAGTTATTTCTTTCCATCTTTTATATAAGTTGTGTGTGTGTGTGTTTTGTTTTGTTTTTGAGACAGGGTCTCACTCTGTCATCCAGGCTAGAGTGCAGTGGCGTGATCACAGCTCACTGTAGCCTTGACCTCCCTAGCTCAAATGATCCTCCCACCTCAACCTCCCAAGTAGCTAGGACCACAGGTGTATGTTACCACATCTGGCTTTTTTTTTTCTTTTTTTCGAGACAGAGTCTCATTCTGTTGCCCAGGCTGCAGTGCAGTGGTGCAATCTTGGCTCACTGCAACCTCCGCCTCCCAGATTCAAGTGATTCTCCTGCCTCAGCCTCCTGAGTAGCTGGGACTACAGGTGCACACCACCATGCCTGGCTAATTTTTTGTATTTTTAGTGGAGATGGGGTTTCATCATCTCCACTGTGTGTCTTCTCCGCTGTGTCTCTTCTCACCTTCAGCCACCAAACATTGAATGGTCATGTAGCTGGAGCCTCGGACACTGGCCCCTTCTGCTAGGGACCCTTAGATGGGCCTCTGAGGAGACTCTGAGTACTGTTTTCCCCAAACTGCCCCTGATAGCAGGAAGCAGTATCCTTATTCTAATGGTAGTTAGATGTACTTCTTTAGAAGGAGGAATGAGGCAGCTGAGTAAAAAGGGGCCATCAGAGAATCTCCCACTGGCCTGCACACTGAGAGGAGTGTGCACTGGTGTGGGGCCTTGGGAAGTTCATGGTGCGGGGAGCCTGGCCCCTTCCCTTCCTGGGTGGAACATGGAATTCAATCTGTGAAGCGGGAAGCCTATGCTAGCAGGACTCTCAAACTGCTGAGGGGTCCTGGTTCCCCTTTATCCTTTTTGCTTAATAAATTCCATTTTTCTCACCCTTCAAAGTGTCTGTGAGCCTAATATTTCATGACCATGTGACAAGGACCCCATCTTTAGCTGAACTAAGGAAAAGCCCTAAAAATGTCCTGTGTCTTTCAGCGCTTGTTGGGTTCACAGCCTATTAAATAAGCCAGCTGCTCTTTACCCTCCCAGACAAATCAACTTAGGGGAGGTAGCAGGGTGCGGGCCTTGGCCTGATCCCCGGCTGGGGCTGGGCTGTGATGTGGGCAGGCAAGCAGCAGACAAGACTGTATCTGCAGGTGCAGCATAGCCTCGACCTAGGGCGGTGAGAGTTTGTGGCCAAAGCTGTGAGCAGAGGCACAGGTGGTGACAGGAGTAGAGGTGCCCCATGGGGAACATACTGACCTGTTTTGTGTGCCCCAGGACCAGCCCCGAGTTGGACCAGCACAAGGGGTTGGTGTGTCCCTGTGAGTCTGAGATCTATGAGGCAGCAGCTGGGTACATGATGGCAGGAGCACTGGTGGCTCTCATTGTAAAGCCTGGTGAGGGGACTTTAGAAGTTTGTCATCTCAGGGCCTCCATGTGCATCACATCTGTGACTGGGAGATGCCTGAAAGTAAGGAGGTGACATGTGCCCTTGGCACACCTCTGGCTGCTGCTGTCCCCAAGGTCCCCCGGGAGGCATCCCCCTCTTTGAGCTCCTTTCTGTCTGTAGCTAGCTTTCCCAGGGCTGGCCAGGAACAAAGGCTGGCTCTGCCTTGCATTCCCACCCCTTAGTCTTTCTCCACAGAGTCAAGACAATTTCCTTTCACTTCCCCTCCCAAATGCCCAGTTCTTTCTCCCTCTATCATTCTCCCAGGCTGGCATGGGACCATTTATTTATGGCTTTTCTTGTCTGTAGCTCTATTTATTATCCTATGGGACTTTGTGGAGGCTTCTTTGGAATATTATCTCCCTTCTCTCAATAAAAACTCAAATATCCCAACTTTCCTGTACCAATCTCATTCTTTCTTTGTACCTATCCAGATAGTACCTAAGTGAAGGAACTAGGTAATTTCTTGTTTCCTTTGTTAAAGTAGCTAAATCTCAGGACAATTCATACTGAAATATTTGAGGATTTCTTATTTAAAATCAGAGTGGAGGTTGCCATGGAAAGACTATATGGTATTCTTAATGGGCTGCTTTAAGTCACCTTGATAGAAGCTGCTTAGTTTCATCTAACTGTAATTTGAACACAGAAGGACAGAAAATGGGGGGTGCTTAAAATAATTGGGAAAGGTGTGAAATGTCATGGCCAGAGGTGCAGAAAATTGGGTGTGTTGTTGGGGGCGGGGGTTCCCCCAAAGGAGTTTACCCATGAGGCTCTGATTACTTTAAAATTCTTACTTTAACACAAAATGTGTCTCCAGATTTATTCTGGTGCCTTAACAGACTTTATTTACCTTCTTGTTCTAAAAGAGAGGTGGGGGTGGTTCGGGGTCACAAGTCTCGAAAGACATGAAACATAAATTTAGACTTTGAATGTGTAATATAAAGATTGAAGGTTAAAATGTCAGACATTGCCTGTGTAAGAGTGTTTGTTGCCACGGCTCCTCCTTTGTCCTTCCCCCCTCTTGACAATAGCATCTTGTTCAAAGATAAAAAATTTGGAGTTTTTCAGTCTCTAATTTGGAGAGGCAGGGGGATGGGAGGGGGTAGAAAAGAGAAAACAATTAGTTGGTATGCCTCTAAAACTTTGCAAAGAGATGAATCTAAATAAAAATAATTCTGGGTAACAATATGGTTCTTGAATAAAAAATAAATTTCAGAAATAGAAAACATTGTATTGTAAAGATATTAAATTGAGTTGGTTCATTGGTTTCATTTAAATTCCAGAGATATTATTACTGTAGAGGAAATGTATTATAGCTCTTCTATTTAAACTTTGGTTGGGTTCTTAATTAATTTTTTAAGAGGTAGGGTAATTAAGACTCATGACGAGTGTGACTTTGTAACTTGGAAGTACTATACTCACTTTTCAAGGTATTTAAGGATCGCTTTAGAATAAACAAATATATTATGGAAATTAATTGATTATACCTTTATACACAAAGCATGTAAGTACTTGTGTGAACTTATACTCCACTTGGTGGTGTAAGGAAAGCCTCTGAGTGATTTTCCACACCAGTTAGTAGATGGATAGTGTTGGATGAGAGCCCAACAAATGCTCTTTATTATCATTCTTTAGGATTTCAACACAGTTTATGTATGTCTCATTTGGCCCTTTCCAATACACATAAGGCCTGTGTATGCTCTCCCTATGTACTGTTAATGAAGAAATGAAGATTTAGAGATCTCACATGACTATGGAAGACAGCTACCCAACAGAACTAAGGTTCCATGCCCTCACAATGGCATGGAAGTGACAGATATGCTGAATTTACTTTTTAAAAATTTTAAAAACTCCAGAATACATCTTGTTTGTTGCCTATAAAATAGACCAGTCTTTTAAAATGTACTGCCATGTTGATTTATTTTATGCAAAGTTGATTTTACACAACTCAAACCAACATTTACCTCTTCATTTTTTTTTTTTAATAAAGGAGGGTCTCACTATGTGACTCATGCTGGCCTCAAATTCCTGACCTGAGCTCAAGGGATTTTCCCATCTCAGCCTCGTGAGTAGCTGGGACTACAGGCATGCACCATCTTGCCTTGCTCCATCTTATGTCTATACATTCATTTCAATGAATAAGAATAAAAGTGGAGGTAGCGAGATAGCCTAAATGCAGCAGTCGAATAAAGGAGTTGATAAATTTTTATAAATGATCACATCTTTCTTTTCTCCCTCTATAGGTACATCTTTGGAGTCCAACCCTTCTGCCCAACCAGAGGCAAGCACTATATTCCTGAAGAGCTCTCAAACAGATGGTGAGACAGCATTGTTTTTTCCCACCAAGAAAAAGAGTGAAAACCCTTGTTTGATCAGATGTATTTTAGAAAGAATTTAGAAAAACTCACATTTAAATGTTTCAACTTTTCACGTTTACTTGTCTTATTTTAACATGTGATATACTTTCCTTTAGTTGTTACTGTGTTAGTGAAATCATGTAAACTTCTTGTTTATACATTTTGCCATCTTTTTATCAGCACAATTAATTTGTCATGTGATGGAGGAGTCATAGGTTTATCTTTATTTATAATTCTTTGTCCGTTTTCTCTTAGTCCAAAGAGTACATTTTAAAGATGAATGATAGAACTTAGTCTTCAGCTTGGTTTTCATTTAAACAAGCAAAAAAAAATAGTTGTTCATCATCGGTGATTGAACCTGTGATTTTGGCCTCCTGTTACACAGTGCTCTGACCACATGCGTTTATCACATTCAAGTTTATGCTACTCAAAACGTTTAAGTTATTAACCTTTTCATTTGATGTAATGTAAATTTAAACATGCCCTACTCCTGCTTATTTTCCTTAGTGTTATGATAAATCCTCATTTGTTTGCTAAAAAGCCATACACAGCCAAGTTTTCCAGTTGATTTAAGCAGCAAGAATACAAGTGAGGACCTATAATAATATGGGAAGTAATGCAGCACAGTAAAATATGGGAGTGTGTAACCTTTCTTTTTGTAGTTTGAGTAGACTTTGCCTGTCTCGAGTCAGTTATTTCTGGTTAGAATTTGTGTTCATTTTTGCATAACTATAAAGAGATACCTAAGGCTGGGTAATTTATAACAAAAAGAGGTTTAATTGGCTCATAGATCTTCAGGCTGTACAAACATGGCTTCAACATCTGCTTCTGGTGAGAGCCTCAGCAAGATTACAATCATGATGGAAGGCAAAGGGGAAGCAGGTGGTTCCACACTGTGAGAGAGGGAGTAGAGAGGGGAAAGGGGAAGGTGCCACACTCTTTTAAACTACCAGAATGAGAATTTGCTTGTTACCATGGGGATGACACCAAGCCATTAGTAAGGAATCCACTGCCGTTACCCAAACACCTTCCACTGAGCCCTATCTCCAATCTTAAGGGTCACATTTTAATATTAGATTTGGAGGGGGAACATATCCAATCCATATCAGAATTGTATTTCCCAGTTCCTTCCAGAGGCATGGGCTTTCTACACCTAGAGAGCATGGAAGCAGTAAAACAATAGCTATTCCGTGTCCCTCACTCTTCAGTGGTAGGAATGTTTGCCTGCAAGGCCCTTCCAGCATCAAAGGCAGAGGCAGTGTAGGAAACAAAGCATGGCCCAAGTCCCTGTTGGAACTTTTATTATTCTGGCCTATTTTAAGAAAAAAGTGATTTTTTTTTCTTGTGCGGCAGACACCATGTCCAATTAGGTTTGTATAATAATTTTAAAATTCAAATTTAAGATAGGTTACAGTTGTGTAAAGACCTTTTTTTGTTTTGTTTTGTTTCATTTTGAGTGATATATTAGTAGATGACCACCACTAAGTGTGATTCAAGATGCTTACAGGGATTCTGACGCATCTAGAGATAGGTGCCTGGCCAGCAAGTAGTTCTTACAGCTGTTAGCTCTTAGAGTCTGATAATCAAAGTAAGCTATGTGTAAATGCAGAATGAGAGAATATTAATGGATCATGGATCATATATGCAACAGTTAAACTTTTTTATTAGCTAAATTTTTCATCTGGCCTAATTTTTTTGCCCTTTACTTTTGTACATGAGTATTCTTTCATTTGTATGTAATAGAAACAAAAAACTTTTGACCTAGTTTAAGGTCAAAAAGTAAAACTAAGTTTTTAGATTTTACTTTATGAGATTTATCGTGCTAGATAATTTAAATTATAAATAGCTGAAAATAATTTTTTTAAATGGAATATTTTCTCATTTTACATACGAGTAATCAATAAGATGTTAACAACTACTTTTATTTTATGGTATTTGTATCAGAAGTGACCAGTTTTTTTTCATTCTTAGTACAAGAAAAAAGAAAAAGCAACTATACAAACCATGTAAGTAAACAGTCAAAATGTTAAGAAATTGATAGCTTGACATAAAAGTATGTCTCTCTTGATTCCTTTAAATTATAATAGGTCCCAGTGGTGATAGCATGGAGATCTTTTTGTGGATTTTCTAAATCTCTTTTATTTTCCTAAGTATCAAATTTATCCAGAAAAGTCTTCAGCTTAGTGTGTCTATCTTTTAAGGATTTCTGACATTTAAGTTAAATTTCAATAGTCTGGTTGTGGTATAAAGATCTGCTTTACATATTTAATCTTATGTTTAATGAAATAACAAAAATAGAATAGCTAAATTAACTGTTAGCACTGTCTATTGACTTTCTGTCATAGCAGGTGAAAGCATACCTTCTTCACTACACCATGACCTTATTTTTCTCCCTGTGTTTCTTCCAATTGTAACACATTTTTAAATTAAATCAGTAATACTTACACTATTATGACTATGCAAATTTTTTTCACTGCTTAGTCATTTGGTGTTTTCACTGTGCCTCTGCATTACATATCCTTCATTCTTTCTCTGAAACAGTTTTGAAATCTGAGCACTTCTGCAATTCTCCTAGATCTTCTCTTTTTTCCTAGTCTATGTTAGTTTATCCATCCAAATATAGTAAGTAGCCTCTGTGTGCTCTGTTTGCTTTCACATCCATTATTTTTTAGCATGAAGCTAATTTTCTGATTTTATTCATTTGCCTGTTTTCTAACAGCTGTTTTCCCCCCAAGTGTTGTAGCATTTATCACATGCCTTTCAAAGATATTTTCCACCTGCTAAAACACATCTGTTCCTTTTTTTTGGGGGGCGGGGGTGTTGGGTGACTTTATTTGGCCTTTTGTCATCCTAGTTCAATATAGAGTGCCTTTCCCTAGATATGCTCGATGTCTGCTTTTCTGTGCTAGCTCCTTAAAGTCTTTTGGAATCTCACATAACTGCCGTCTTGTGTGGGATTGCCTGAGTCCTAGATTCTGTTTCCCGCTGTCCTGTTATCCTCTCTAGTTGTACTTAAGCACATTTTCCTGGGTGGAGATGTTTAGAGATCTGGCAGGTCTTAAAATCCCTCCTCTTTGATAGAAAGTAAACCTCTAGGTTGAATCTAAATTTTATGGTTCTGAAGATATTTTGCAATTGTGCTCTCATTAAAGCGTTGCTCTTGAATCTATTGCCATTGTGTGATACATTATTTATAACCACGTTTTAAGTATCTGTGGAGGCTTTTTAGGAGCTTTTCTGTCTCTGAGATTCTGAAATTTCACAATAACAGCTTGGTAAGGATCTTTTCATTTTATTGGGGCTACTAAGTCTGCAGACTATCACTTCTTGAGAATTTTTTAAATTTTCTCTGTTCCTTTTTTTCTGATAGTCTTGTTATTCAGACGCTAGGCTGCTTAGACCAGTATACCTGCATTGGCTTTTAATTTTTCCCTTTCTATTATTTTCAGTTTGTCTTTTTATTCTAATTCTGGGATATTCTGTGACTTTATCCTCTACTATTTCTATTGAATTTTATATTTTTTAAGAGTGTTTTAAGATTTTTAAAAAAGTTTTGCTCATGATTTTGACTGGTCCCATGAATCCCTTTTTTCTGTTGTTTTGATGTCTCTTGTTGGAGGCTTCCCTCCAATGTGTGGTGGTCCCTGGCTTTTTTTATTTGGAAGCATGACTTCTGTTAACTGGTAGCACTCAGTGTGAGGTTTTGGAAGCCAAACTAGTTTCCATTTTGGGGACCTCAGTGTATTATCTGTAGATCTTTATTAGAGACAGTTCAGTTTCTTCTGAAAATGATCTCCCAATTTCCTGCCTGGGAAGTAAAAGCATGGCTACTTGGTTTCCAAAAGCAGAGTTAGGGAAGAAAGTTGGAGTTCCATTTTTGGTTTACAGTTTTCTTGATATTTCAAGTTTAAACCGTGGTATCTCTGAGCCAGAAATTATCAGGTTTGATATATCCAGACAACACACATCTAAGTTTCTTATCAGATGGGAGGACAGGTGGACTTGGGGCTCTGGTAAGAGATTTTCAACTGACCTTGCCGGCGTTTGTTTTACATTTTACCCCACTTTCCAAAGTGCCATTTGCCTCTAAGTTCACAGCCTGCCTTTAGTTCTGCAAGACAAACTACTTTGCTTCTCTTCCAGTCACTTTCTGTAGGCACCAAAGTTGTGCTTTGTGTTATTTACCACTCCTTTATCTACTTTCTATGTCTCAGCATTTATTAAAAATTATCTCTGTCAACCTCCTCTCCTGTTCCTGTGTGTAACCATTATTTTATGACTAATGAGACTTCCAGAGGGAGAGAAAATAAATTTGTGGTCAATCTATTATATTTAATCCAAATTTAGGACCTACATTTAAATGTAAATCAAAGTTTAATTTCAATATAATTAATGATATTAATCCAGACAATTTTTAAAATTATGTATCTATCATAAGCATATTATACTTATCTCCTAAAGCCTTGTTTAATATTTCCATTCAAATTTTATACACTGCCATATGATCCCATTACTTCACAACTTAGATGGAGCTGTTTTCATGAATGCCCAAAGTGTTAGAAATATTTAAGTTAATTAAGATTTGTTTATTTTTAGCCTGGTCAACATAGCAAGAGCTCATCTCTACAAAAAGGTTAAATAACAAATTACCCAGGCTTGGTAGCATGTGCCTTTGGTTTTACCTACTCAGGAGGCTGAGGCAGAGGATTGCTTGAGCTCAGGAGTTTGAGGCTGCAGTTAACTATAATTGCATCACTGCACTCCAGCCTGGGCAACAAAGTGAGACCATGTCTCAGAGAAAGGAAAAAGGTTATTAATTCTTTAAAAACATATCTAAAATTTGTCCTGCCAAAAAGGAGAGATAAAAAGATAAACTTCAGTTTTTATTTTATTTATTTATGTTTGCTGAGAAGAATCCTGTACTTTATTTATTCATTATTTCCATAGGTTTTTTGGGGAACAGGTGGTTTTTGGTTACATGAGTAGGTTCTTTAGTGATGATTTGTGAGATTTTGGTGCATCCATCACCTGAGCAGTATCCACTGAACCCAATTTGTAGTCTTTTATCCCTTACCCTCCTCCCAGCCTTTCCCCTGAGTCCCGAAAATCCATTTTATCATTCTTATGCTGTTGCATCCTCATAGCTTAGCTCCCACATATGAATGAGAATATACGATGTTTAGTTTTTTATGCCTGAGTTACTTCATTTAGAATAATAGTCTCCAGTTCCATCCAGGTTGCTGGGAATGCCATTAATTTATTCCTTATGATGACTGAGTGGTATTCCATTATACATATATATGTATATGTTTATCACAGTTTCTTTATCCACTTGTTGATTGATGGGCATTTGGGCTGGTTCCACATTTTTGTAATTGTAATTCGTAAATTGTAATTTGTTTGAGTTCCTTGTAGATTCTGGATAATAGCCCTTTGTCAGATGTACAGACTGAAGATTTTTTCCCACTCTGTGGGTTGTCTGTTAACTCTGCTGATTGTTCCTTTTCCTGTGCAGAAGCTCTTTAGTTAAGTCTCACCTGTTTGTTTTTGCTGAATTTGCTTTTGGGTTCTTGGTCATGAAGTCTTTGCCTAAGATAGTGTCTAGAAGGGTTTTTCTAATGTTTTCTTCTAGAGTTTTTGTGGTTTCAGGTCATAGATTTATGTTCTTGATCCATTTTGAGTTGATTTTTGTGTAAAGAGAGAGTTGAGGATCCAGTTTCATTCTGCTGCATGTGGCTTGCCAATTATCCCAGCACCATTTGTTATTGAATACACTTTACTTTCTTCACTTTATGTTTCAGTTGGCTTTGTTGAAGATCATTAGCTATAGGTATTTAGATTTGTTTCTGGGTCCTCTATTCTGTTCCACTGGTGTATGTGCCTATTCTTATACCAGTACCATGCTGTTTTGGTGACTATGGCCTTATAGTATAGTTTGAAATCAGGTAATGTGATGTCTCCAGATTTGTTGTTTTTTCTTGGGTTTGTTTTGGCTATGTGAGGTTCTGTTTGGTCAAATATGAATTTTAGGATTGTTTTTTCTAGTTCAGTGAAGAAGGATGGTGGTATTTTGTTGGGAATTGCATTGAATTTTTAGATTGCTTTTGGCAGTATGGTCATTTTCACAATATTCCTTCTACCCGTTCATGAGCATGGGATGTCTTTCCATTTGTTTGTGTCCATGATTTCATTCAGCAATGTTTTGTAGTTCCCAGTGGCATATGAAAAAGATAATCCACCATGATCAAATGGGTTTCATACCAGGGATGCAGGGATGGTTTAACATATGCAAGTCAATAAATGTGATACACCACATAAACAGAATTAAAAACAAAAATCACATGATCATCTCAATAGATGCAGAAAAAGCATTTGACAAAATCCAGCATCGTTTTATAATTAAATCCCTCAGTGAAATCGGCATACAAGCGTTATACTTCAATGTAATAAAAGGCATCTATGACAAACCCACAGCCAACATAATACTGAGCAGGGAAAATTTGGAAGCATTCCCCCTGAGAACTGGAAAAAGACAAGGATGCCCACTCTCGCCACTTCTATTCAACATAGTACTGGAAGACCTAGGCAGAGCAATCACTCAAGAGAAAGCAATAAAAGGCATCCAGATTGGTAAAGAAGTCAAACTGTTGCTGTTTGCTGATGATAATGATCGTATACCTAGAAAACCCTAGACTCCTCTAAAAAGCTCCTAGAACAGATAAATGAATTCAACAATGTTTCAGGAGGGAAAATTACTGTACACAAATCAGTAGCACTGTTATACCCCAACAGCAGCCAAGTTAGAATCATACCAAGATCTCACCCCTTTTATAGTAGCTGAAAAAACAAAATATTTAGGAATAGAAGAAACCAAGGAGGTGAAAGACCTCTACAAGGAAAACAACTTTAGTATTTTTAATGGGTTAAAATGAAAGGCAGCAAGTAGAGTGGAAGAAGTCAGTGGGTGGGCATTGGCGTCCAAAGGGTACTGGACCTTTGATGGCAAGGCTTTGATTTTGAGTTACTAAATTACTAAGTATAATTATTTTCTAGTTTTTGTTATTAAACTGTAAAACTACTAAGTAATCCCTTCCATTTCTTGTTAAAGATCATAAATTTTCATACTCTGATTTATACTGACTGAAGTTAGATTATTTGTTTCTATTTTTGTGATTACTTTTTTAAAATTATACTTTAAGTTCTAGGGTACATGTGCACAATGTGCAGGTTTGTTACATATGTATACATGTGCCATGTTGGTGTGCTGCACTCATTAACACATCATTTACATTAGGTATATCTCCTAATGGTATCCCTCCCCACTCCCTCCACCCCATGACAGGCCCCAGTGTGTGATATTTCCCTTCCCGTGACGAAGTGTTCTCATTGTTCAATTCCCACCTATGAGTGAGAAAATGCGGTGTTTGGTTTTTTGTCCTTGCGGTAGTTTGCTGAGAATGACGGTTTCCAGCTTCATCCATGTCCATACAAAGGACATGAACTCATCCTTTTATATGGCTGCATAGTATTCCATGGTGTATATGTGCCACATTTTCTTATTCCAGTCTATTATTGATGGACATAGGGGTTGGTTCCAAGTCTTTGCTATTGTGAATAGTGCCACGATAAACACAAATAAACACAAAACACAATAAACATGCCAAGAAAACATATATTTAAACAAAAAATATAAAGCACGTGTCTCTCTAGCAACATGATTTATAATCCCTTGGGTATATACCCAGTAAGGGGATCACTGGGTCAAATGGTATTTCTAGTTCTAGATCCCTGAGGAATCGCCTCAATGGTAGATTCTTCCACGATGGTAGAACAAGTTTACAGTCCCAGTAACAGTGTAAAAGTGTTCCTGTTTCTCCACATCCTCTCCAGCACCTGTTGTTTCCTGACTTTTTAATGATCACCATTCTAACTGGTGTGAGATGATATCTCATTGTGGTTTTGATTTGCATTTCTCTGATGGCCAGTGATGATTAGCATTTTTTTTTCATGTGTCTGTTGGCTGCATAAATGTCTTCTTTTGAGAAGTGTCTGTTCATATCATTTGCCCACTTTTTGATGGGGTTGTTTATTTTCTTCTTGTAAATTTGTTTGAGTTCTTTGTAGATTCTGGATATTAGCCCTTTGTCAGATGAGTAGATTGCAAACATTTTCTCCCATTCTGTAGGTTGCCTGTTCACTCTGATGGTAGTTTCTTTTGCTGTGCAGAAGCTCTTTAGTTTAATTAGATCCCATTTGCCAATTTTGTCTTTTGCCGCCATTGCTTTTGGTGTTTTAGACATGAAGTCCTTGCCCATGCCTATGTCCTGAATGGTATTGCCTAGGTTTCCTTCTAGGGTTTTTATGGTTTCAGGTCTAACATTTAAGTGTTTAATCCATCTTGAATTAATTATTGTATAAGATGTAAGGAAGGGATCCAGTTTCAGCTTTCTCCATATGGCTAGCCAGTTTTCCCAGCACCATTTATTAAATAGGGAATCCTTTCCCCATTTCTTGTTTTTGTCAGGTTTGTCAAAGATCAGATGGTTGTAGACGTGTGGTATTATTTCTGAGGGCTCTGTTCTGTTCCATTGGTCTATATCTGTCTTTTGGTACCAGTACCTTGCTGTTTTGGTTACTGTAGCCTTGCAGTATAGTTTGAAGTCAGGTAGCATGATGCCTCCAGCTTTGTTCTTTTGGCTTACGTTTGTCTTGGCAATGCAGGCTCTTTTTTGGTTCCATATGAATTTTAAAGTAGTTTTTTCCAATTCTGTGAAGAACGTAATTCGTAGCTTGATGGGGATGGCGCTGAATCTATAAATTACCTTGGGCAGTATGGCCATTTTCATGAAATTGATTCTTCCTCTCCGTGGGCATGGAATGTTCTTCCATTTGTTTCTGTCCTCTTTTATTTCATTAAGCAGTGCTTTGTAGTTCTCCTTGAAGAGGTCCTTACATCCTTTGTAAGTTGGTTTCCTAGGTATATTATTCTCTTTGAAGCAATTGTGAATGGGATTTCACTCATGATTTGGCTCTCCATTTGTCTGTTATTGGTGTATAAGAATGCTTGTGATTTTTGCAAATTGATTTTATATCCTGAGACTTTGCTGAAGTTGCTTATCAGCTTAAGGAGAGTTTGGGCTGAGATGATGGGGTTTTCTAAATATACAATCATGCCATCTGCAAACATGGACAATATGACTTCCTCATTTCCTAATTGAATACCCTTTATTTCTTTATCCTGTCTGATTGCCCTGGCCAGAACTTCCAGCCCTATGTTGAATACGAGTGGTGAGAGAAGGCATTCCTGTCTTGTGCCAGTTTTCAAAGGGAATGCTTCCAGTTTTTGCCCATTCAGTATGATATTGGCTGTGGGTTTGTCATACATAGCTCTTATTATTTTGAGATACGTCCCATCAATACCTAATTTATTGAGCGTTTTTAGCATGAAAGGCTGTTGAATTTTGTCAAAGGACCTTGTGCATCTATTGAGATAATCATGTGGTTTTTGTCTTTGGTTCTGTTTATATGCTGGATTACGTTTATTGATTTTCGTATGTTGAGCCAGCCTTGCATACCAGGGATGAAGCCTACTTGATCATGGTGGATAAGCTTTTTGATGTGCTGCTGGATTTGGTTTGCCAGCATTTTATTGAGGATTTTTGCATCGATGTTCATCAGGGATATTGGTCTAAAATTCTCTTTTTTGGTTGTGCCTCTGCCAGGCTTTGGTATCAGGATGATGGTGGCTTCATAAAATGAGTTAGGGAGGATTCCCTCTTTTTCTGTTGATTGCAATAGTTTCAGAAGGAATGGTACCATCTCCTCCTTGTACATATGGTACAATTCGGCTGTGAATCAGTCTGGTCCTGGTCTTTTTTTGGTTGTTAGGCTACTAATTATTTCCTCAATTTCAGAGCCTGTTATTGGTCTATTCAGGGATTCAACTCCCTCCTGGTTTAGTCTTGGGAGGGTGTATTTGTCGAGGAATTTATCCATTTCTTCTAGTTTTTCTAGTTTACTTGTGCAGAGGTGTTTATAATATTCTCTGATTGTAGTTTGTATCTCTGTGGGATCAGTGGTGATATCCCCTTTATCATTTTTTATTGCATCTATTTGATTCTTCTCTCTTTTCTTCTTTATTAGTCTTGCTAGTGGTCTATCAATTTTGTTGATCTTTTCAAAAAACCAGCTCCTGGATTCATTGATTTTTTGTAGGTTTTTTTTTTTTTTTTGTCTCTATCTCCTTCAGTTCTGCTCTGATCTTAGTTATTTCTTGCCTTCTTCTAGCTTTTGAATGTGTTTTCTCTTGCTTCTCTAGTTCTTTTAATTGTGATGTTAGGGTGTCAATTTTAGATCTTCCCTGCTTTCTCTTCTGGGCATTCAGTGCTATAAATTTCCCTGTACACACTGCTTTAAATGTGTCCAAGAGATTCTGGTATGTTGTGTCTTTGTTTTTGTTGGTTTCAAAGAACATTTTTATTTCTGCCTTCATTTCGTTATGTACCTGGCAGTCATTCAGGAGCAGGTTGTTCAGTTTCCTTGTAGTTGAGCGGTTTTGAGTGGGCTTCTTAATCCTGAGTTCTAGTTTCATTGCACTGTGGTCTGAGAGACAGTTTGTTATAATTTCTTTTCTTTTACATTTGCTGAGGATTGCTTTACTTCCAACTATGTGGTCAGTTTTGGAATACGTCCGATGTGGTGCTGAGAAGAATGTATATTCTGTTAATTTGGGATGGAGAGTGCTGCAGATGTCTATTAGGTCTGCTTAGTGCAGAGCTGAGTTCAATTCCTGGATATCCTCGTTAACTTTCTGTCTCATTGATCTGTCTAATGTTGACAGTGGGGTGTTAAAGTCTCCCATTATTATTGTGTGGGAGTCTAAGTCTCTTTGTAGGTCTCTAGGGACTAGCTTTATGAATCTGGGTGCTCCTGTATTGGGTGCATATATATTTAGGATAGTTGCTCTTCTTGTTGAATTTCTCCCTTTACCATTATGTAATGGCTTTCTTTGTCTCTTTTGATCTTTATTGATTTAAAGTCTGTTTTACCTGAGACTAGGATTGCAACCCCTGCTTTTTTTTGTTTTCCATTTGCTTGGTAGATCTTCCTCCATCCCTTTATTTTGAGCCTATGTGTGTCTCTGCATGTGAGATGGGTCTCCTGGACACAGCACACTGATGGGTCTTGACTCTTTATCCAATTTACCAGTCCATTTCTTTTAATTGGAGCATTTAGCCCATTTACATTTAAGGTTAATATTTTTATGTGTGAATTTGATTCTGTTATTATGATGTTAGCTGATTATTTTGCTTGTTAGTTGATGCAGTTTCTTTGTAGCATCAATGGTCTTTATAATTTGGCATGTTTTTGCATTGGCTGGTACCGGTCATTTGTTTCCTTGTTTAGTGCTTCCTTCAGGAGCTCTTTTAGGGCAGGCCTGGTGGTGAGAAAATCTCTCAGCATTTGCTTGTCTGTAAAGGATTTCATTTCTCCTCCAATTATGAAGCTTAGTTTGGCTGGATACAAAATTCTGGGTTTAAAATTCTCTTCTTTAATAATGTTGAATATTGGCCCCCACTCTCTTCTGGCTTGTAGAGTTTCTGCTGACAGATCCGCTGTTAGTCTGATGGGCTTCCCTTTCTGGGTAACCGACCTTTCTCTCTGGCTGCCCTTAACATTTTTTTCCTTCATTTCAACTTTGGTGAGTCTGAAAATTATGTGTCTTGGAGTTGCTCTTCTTGAGGAGTATCTTTGTGGCGTTCTCTGTATTTCCTGAATTTGAATGTTGGCCTGCCTTGCTAGGTTGGGGACATTCTCCTGGATAATATCCTGCAGAGTGTTTTCCAATTTTGTTCCATTCTCCCCATCACTTTCAGGTACACCAATCAGATGTAGATTTGGTCTTTTCACATAGTCCCATATTTCTTGGAGGCTTTGTTCATTACTTTTTACTCTTTTTTTCTCTAAACTTCTCATCTTGCTTCATTTCATTCATTTGATCTTCAATCACTGATACCCTTTCTTCGAGGTGATCAAATTGGCTACTGAAGCTTGTGCATTCATCACGTAGTTCTCGTGCTATGGTTTTCAGTTCCATCAGGTCATTTAAGGTCTTCTCTACACTGCTTATTCTAGTTAGCCATTTGTCTAATCTTTTTTCAAGGTTTTTAGCTTCTTTGCGATGGCCTCAAACTTCTTCCTTTAGCTTGGAGAAGTTTGATCATCTGAAGTCTTCTTCTCTCAACTCATCGAAGTCATTCTCAATTCAGCTTTGTTCTGTTGCTGGTGAGGAGCTGCATTCCTTTGGAGGGGGATAGGTGCTCTGATTTTTAGAATTTTCAGCTTTTCTGCTCTGTTTTTTCCCATCTTTGTGGTTATGTCTACCTTTGGTCTTTGATGATGGTGATGTACAGATGGGGTTTTGGTGTGGATGTCTTTTCTTCTTGTTAGTTTTCCTTCTAACAGTCAGAACCCTCAGCTGCAGGTCTGTTGGAGTTTGCTGGAGGTCCACTCCAGACCCTGTTTGCCTGGGTATCAGCAGCAGAGGCTGCAGAACAGCAAATGTTGCTGAACAGCAAATGTTGCTGCCTGATCATTCCTCTGGAAGGTTTTTCTCAGAGAGGTACCTGGCCGCGTGAGGTGTCACTCTGCTCCTTATGCAGGATTCCTCCCAGTTAGGCTACTCTGGGGTCAGAGACGCACTTGAGGAGGCAGTCTGTCCATTCTCAGATCTCAAACTCCATGCTGGGAGAACCACTACTCTCTTCAAAGCTGTCAGACAGTGACATTTAAGTCTGCAGAGGTTTCTGCTGCCTTTTGTTCAGCTATGCCCTCCCCCCAGATGTGGAGTCTATAGAGGCAGGCAGGCCTCCTTGAGCTGCGGTGGGCTCCACCTGGTTCAAGCTTCCTGGCCACTTTGTTTACCTACTCAAGCCTCAGCAATGGTGGGCACCCATACCCCAGCCTCGCTGCTGCCTTGCAATTCAATCTCAGATGGCGGTGCTAGCAATGAGCAAGGCTCCATGGGTGCGTGGGACCCTCTGAGCCAGGCACGGGATATAATATCCTGGTGCGCCATTTGCTAAGACCATTGGAAAAGCGCAGTATTGGGGTGGGAGTGACCCGATTTTCCAGGTGCCGTCTGTCACTGCTTCCCTTGGCTAGGAATGGGAATTCCCTGACCCCTTGTGCTTCCTGGGTGAGGTGATGCCTCTCCTGCTTCGGCTCATGCTCGGTGGGTTGCACCCACTATCCTGTTCCCACTGTCTGACAAGCCCCTGTGAGATGAACCCGGTACCTCAGTTGAAAATGCAGAAATCACCCATCTTCTGCATCACTCACGCTGGGATCTGTAGACTGGAGCTGTTCCTATTCGACCATCTTGGAACCGCCGTGACTACCTTAAATAATACCTATACACAGCAAACTGTTAGTGTTTTTGTTGTAATTAAGTGTAGTAAACTGTACCTTCCAAATTATATCTGAAATAATTTGTCAAACACTTGTTGAAGTTTTTGATTTACTCAAAATTCTATGCTCAGCAGCTGGAGGTAGGAACAGTAAGTGTCCTCCTTTACTCTTATGTAGAGGCATACTTTCTCATGAGGTGAATACTCTTCAAGAATTAGTATCTTGTAGCTAGTGGTGAATTTGACTAATTAGTGTACCAAAAAACATTTTTTGGTGTGGCTGCTGGCAAAGAGATCCAAGAGAGTAGATGGAGTCAAGCTTGCTGAAACAAAGAAAGAGAAAAGCATTATTTTAGGCAGAGAGCAGGGGTAGAGCAGGAAAATGCCTAGGTGCAGGTTAGATGATTTTTATAGAATGATATTAATCAACTTTTGAAATGAATGGAAAGTATTCCCTGAGAGTCTCCTTTGAGTCATGTCATGGCAGTCTTATTTAAACATGAAGTGAAAGTTAAATTTTTTAAATTGTCATTTTTGTCACCTGTTTTCAGGGTGTCAGAGAATATTTAAGTGATACTCTTTTTATCCTCCGCATAAGAAAACAGGACTAGAGAAACCTATGGCTTCCTCACTTGTTGGTGGTCTAGTAGCCCTGGCACACAGAGCCTCTGAATCTGAAACACTTGTTTTGTCACAATATTGCCTGAAATAATACGTTTAGGATTAGTAACTTAGTAAATGCATTAGTCTTGTATTCATTGCAATAAAATGTTCTTGCACCAGTATTATTTAATACATTACATTTTATCATAGTAAATAAATAATAGAAATAGAAGTTCTTGGCTGCTTTATATTGCTGTAGCAAAAAACAATGAAACCTTATTTTAAACTTTTCTCATTATTTATAAATGGAATTCATGAGATCCTTTTTTAGGTTTGATGACAGGTACCATATTAAGGGAAGCATTTTATAACCCATGTCTCCAACACCATCTCTGGAAGTTAAGAGCCTCCAATGTGTTTTCTATAGAGTGCATATGATACCACACTCAGGCAGTTCATGGAGTGTAAGAAATATCTTAGTGTTTTGTCATTTGACATTTTCACCAAGAAAAAATAAACTTTGATAAGTTTAACTTATACTTCCTTTCCCCTTCAGGTATCTACTGAGTATTTTACTCAACAATACAGTTCATGCTCGAAAATATTCCTTGATGACAGCACTGCCAGCCGGCCTCATCCAACAATGACATTAAAATTGTGAGTACAACTATACTGTCAAGGGAGAGACTCCTTTTATTCTAAAAGTATTTCAGCCTTTTGGTTGTACTCTTCTGCAAGCAGTTTAAAAAATTGAAGTCCACTGTATATTGATACCCAGATTATAAGTATCAATTTCTCTTTTAATCTTAGACGTCAGGGTGGAAGGAAAAATCAGTTAGCAAATAAGCAATCCCAGAAAAAGTGCAGCTATTTATTTGATGCCTTTATACCTTAAAACAATGTTGAACACAGTGAGAAGGATAGGTTCCCTTTATTGAATGTCTT
This sequence comes from Homo sapiens, assembly GCF_000001405.40. Lineage (NCBI taxonomy): Eukaryota > Metazoa > Chordata > Mammalia > Primates > Hominidae > Homo > Homo sapiens. The sequence goes on from NC_000010.11 coordinate 38,997,323, forward strand.
TTTGTGAAAAATTAGTTTTTCAATGTGTTACAGGCCTAAATCAATGTGTACTACTTTGGACATTAGTCTTGGAAGAAGGAACAGCTTTTTCTCTTCTGCCACCACCGTGTATCTGCATTTGAGTTTCTCCCATTGTGCATTAACACTTCATGTGCCACAAAGATGTGCTTTGAGAGCACCCTGAGATGAAGTTTATTTTAAAAGGAACAACAACCAACACCACCACCAACTCCATAGAGGCTGTCCAGTGTACATTGTTATAATCTCCTTCGGTTATGAGTCTTATTTTTAAAGTTTGGTAAGTGTTAATTTAGAATATTAATGTGTTTATCTTTAATTTTACTTTTCATCCCATAAATGTAACCAGCTTATAAACAATTTCGTTTTGAATGCACTAGCCTTTTTAGCTAATTCAATCATCAGTAACTTTAACTTTAATTAGAAATGGCAAGTTTACATGCATAATGTCACTTTCCTCCCTTTCTTATAACAATAATTGAGATGAAATTGTGTTTCAGCAAAAACTGGACTCAAACTCTATCTCAAGTCATGAGCTTTGGGACCGAATGAGTAATCACTAAATGTCTGTAGTCAACCAAGTCTCTTAAATGTTTTTTTTTTTTTTTTTTGAGACAGAGTTTCACTCTTGTTGCCCAGGCTGGAGTGCAATGGTGCAATCTCGGCTCACCGCAACCTCTGCCTCCCAGGTTCAAGTGATTCTCCTGCTTCAGCCTCCTGAGTAGCTGAGATTACAGGCACACACCAGCACATCTGGCTGATTTCGTAATTTTTTAGCAGAGACGGGTTTCTCCATGTTGGTCAGGCTGGACTCCAGACCTCAGGTGATCCACCCGCCTCAGCCTTCCAAAGTGCTGGGATTACAGGCATGAGCCACCGTGCCCAGCCTTCTCTTAAATTTTTGAGACACACACACACACACAAACCACAACACCAAAAAGCTTCTTGGCACCAAAAAACACTACTTGGCTACAATCCCTGGCTTCTTTTCAATTGAAAAGATTTTGATGTGTTAGCAACAATTCAAAAGTAGCTTTGAAGGTTAATCTTGCTCAAACAAATTTCATGCTTTTTTCCTCATTATTCTAATTTTTAGGAATCTATTTTGAAAGTAAAGTAAGTTTTAACTCGCCATCAGCAAGTTTGAGTAATGATCATTTGGTATATTTACTATTGGTGAAATAAAGGTTTATTGAGCAAATTAATAGGGCAAATTAGCTTCAAGAAAAGATTTTGAAAACTGTTCATCACGAGTTAGTAGTGCACTGTTGTCAATGGGATAAGTGGAACGCATTGGGATCAGTTTTGCAAAGTTTTTTTCAAAATACATGTCTGCATACACATGTTTCTTCCCATCTCCACTTTCCCTCTATCTCTAGGCACTGAGAAGCCTTTTAGGAAAATAGGGATGGAAGTGAGGCATCTTTATGTGAAGAAAAGCATCCCAGAAGATTCTGATTTTTCACTCCAACTCAATCATTCCAAACTTTTCTGCACATTGAAGTCACCTGGGAAACTTTTAAGAACACCCCAATGCCCAAACTCATACCCAATACTAATTAAATCAAAATGCCTCATGTTGAAATTGAGGCAGTTATTAAAGCTTCTCCGGTGATTTTAATGTGCAACAAAGTTTGAGAGATACTGCCTAATTTGAGTTTAGGTTGAGAAACTGCACCTACTTGGTGGGGCCTTGGACAAATTAGTTTTAAGGTGCATTTTCCTGGGATCTGTAAAATGAGTGTTGCATTAAATGGCATGTAAGGTCATTGGTCCTTTCTAGCATATAACTTCAAATTCTGTGATTTTAAAATGATTTCAGAGATGAAAACTACTTGAAGCACTATAGACATATCCATCTTAAATGCTAATGTCACAGGCTTTTTAAAAAGTGCTAATATTGTATAGACCTATTACTAAAATTGAGATTTGCCTTCCCTCAGTTATTTTGAGCCTCATTCTAGATGCTGAGGGCAAATGGAAGCACATAACTTATGTAAGAGAGCTCCTTGTTTTGTGATACACAGTATCTGTGAGTAACTTAGGAATACAGTTACCTATATCTGAAGAGGTGTATCTGTTCATAAATATTTCAGGTAAACTAGTTGAAGGTACCTGCCATTCACATTACACTGTGTCATGTTACACTGCTTTGTTACCACAGCTTATTTTATTTTAGGATCACTGCACCTATCATTGATTTCCTGTGTGCTTATGTTTACTAATATATTTTTAAATAATTATGCAAAAGTGATTTCAAATAATTTTATTTTTTGTAAAGCACTTTCATTACATTATGTATTTTTAGGGAAATAATTTAAAAATTGGTGGTTAGGGGATAGTGATCTAAACTAAAATGCAGGGTCTAACATCTTAAAAAAGCAACCACTACTCAGTTGAATCAAAAGAATGGTTTAACTCTCTGAGTTAAATCCATAAATCTCCTCAGTTTCACAGATAGCTTCTTCAAGTTTCTATCATGGGATATTAGATATTTCCCCATAGGCCTCAATGGGCTCCCAAATGTTACTTCATAGATCCTCTAAAAAGAGTGTTTTGAACCTGATGAATCAAAGGAAAAGTTCAACTCTGTGAGATGAATCCAAACATAATAAAGCAGTTTCACAGATAGATTCTTTCTAGTTTTTATCCAGGAATATTAGTGTTTTTTTCCATAGGCCACAATGGGCTCCCAATGTCCCTTTGTATATTCTCCAAAAAGTGTTTCCAACCTGCTCAATAAAAAGGGTGGTTTAACTCTGTGAGATGATTCCACACATCACAAGGTAGTTTCACAGATAACTTCTTCCTAGTTTTTATCTGGGGATATTTCGGTTTCGCCCCATAGGCCTAAAAGCGCTCCCTAATGTCCCTTCACAGATTTTCCACAAAGAGTGTTTCCAACCTGGTGAATCAAAAGAAAGTTTTAACTTCAGATAAATCCACACATGACAAAGCACTTTCACAGATAGCTTCCTTCAAGTTTTTATCTGGGATATTCAGATTTTCCCCATAGGCCTCAATGGGATCCCAAATGTCGCTTTGCAGATTTTCTAAAAAAGAGTGTTTCCAACCTGCTGAATCAAAAGAAGGGTTTTGCTCTATGAAATGAATCCACACATCACCTCACTTTCACACATAGCTTCTTTGAGTTTCCATGTTGGGATATTCAGTTTTTCTCCATAGGCCTCAAAGGGCTCCCAAATGTTCCTTCATAGATTCTCTAAAAAGAGTGTTTCAACCTGCTGAATGAAAAGAAAGTTTTAACTTGGTAAGATGAATCCACACATTACAAAGCAGTTTCACAGGTAGCTTCTTTCTAGTTTATATCTGGGGGTATTTGGCTTTTCCACATAGGCCTAAATGGGCTCCCAAGTGTCCCTTAGCATATTCTCCTAAAAGAGTGTTTCCAACCTGCTGAGTCAAAAGAATGGTTTAACTGTGAAATAAATACATATATCACATCAGTTTCACATGGGATATTAGATTTATCCCCATAGGCCTCAAAGGGCTCCCAAATGTTTCTTTGCAGATCCTCTAAAAAGAGTGTTTTCAACCTGCTGAATCAAAGGAAAGGTTCAACTCTGTGAGATGAATCCACATATCACAAAGCAGTTTCACAGATAGCTTTCTTTTTAGTTTTTATCCAGTGATATTAGTTTTTTTTCCCCATAGGCCACAATGGGCTCCAAATTGTCCCTTTGCATATTCTCCAAAAAGTGTTTCCAACATACTGAATCAAAAGAGTGGTTTAACTCTCTGAGATGAATCCACACATAACAAAGTATTTTCACAGATAGCTTCTTCTTAGTTTTTAATCTCGGGTTATTTCGGTTTTGCTCCATAGGCCTTAAAGCACTCCCAAATGTCCCTTCACAGATTTTCCACAAAGAGTGTTTCCAACGTGGTGAAACGGAAGAAAGGTTTAACCCTGCAAGATAAATCCACACATCACAAAGCACTTTCACAGATAGATTCTTTCAAGTTTGTATCTGTGATATTCAGTTTTTCCCAAAAGGCCTCAATGGAATCCCAAATGTCCCTTCACAGATCCTCCAAAAAGAGTGTTTCCAACCTGCTGAATCAAAAGAATGGTTTTACTCTGTAAAATGAATACACACCTCACATCACTTTCACATATAGCTTCTTTTGAGTTTCTATCTTGGGATATTCAGTTTTTCTCCATAGGCCTCAAAGGGCTCCCAAATATTCCTTTGTAGATTCTCTAAAAAGAGTGTTTTCAACTTGCTGAATCACAGGACAGGTTTAACTCTGTAAGATGAATCCACACATCACAAAGCAGTTTCACAGATAGATTCTTTCTATTGTTTCACTGGTGTAATTTGGTTTTTCTCCATAGGCCTCAATGGGTTTCAATATATCCCTTTGCAGATTCTCCTAAATGAGTGTTTCTAACCCTGCTTAATCAAAATAAAGTTTTAATTCTGAGAGATGAACCCACACCTCACACAACTCACAAGGGAGTTTCATGAAGACCTATGTTCTAGTTTTGATCTCAGAATATTCAGCCTTTCCATATAGGCCTCAAACAACTCCCAAAAGTCCCTTTGCAGATTCTACCAAAAGAATGTTTCTAACTTTCTGAATCAAAAGAAAGTTTTAACTCTGTAAGATGAATCCACATATCACAAAGCAGTTTCACAGATAGTTTCTTTCTAGTTTTTATATGGGGATATTCGGTTTTTACTCATAGGCCTCAAGGGGCTCCCAAATGTCCATTTGCAGATTCTCCAGAAAGAGTGGTTCCAATCTGCTGAATCAAAATAAATGTTAAACCCTGTGACATGAATCCACACATCACAAAGCAGTTTCAAAAATAGCTTCTTTCTAGTTGTTTTCTGTGGATATTTCATTTTTACCCATAGGCCTCAATGGGCTCCCAAGTGTTCCTTCACACATTATCCAAAAAGAGTGTTTTCAACCTGCTTAATCTAAAGAAAGGTTTATCTCTGTGAGATGAATCCATGTATCACAAAGCAGGTTAACAGTTTCTTTCTGGTTTTTATCTGGAGATATTTGGTTTTCCCCATAGGTGATAATGGGCTCTGAAAAGTCCATCCACAGATTCTCCAAAAAGAGTGTTTCCCACCTGCTGAATCAAAAGAATGGTTTAACTCTGTGACCTGAATCCACACGTCACAACAGTTTCCCACATAAATTCTTTGGAGTTTCTATTTTAGGATATCCAGTTTTTCCCCATACACCTCAATGGGCTCCCAAATGTTCATTCATAGATTCTGCAAAAGGAGTGTTTTCAACCTGCCGCATCAAGAGAAACGTTTATCTCTGTGACATGAATCCACATATTTCAAGCAGTTTCACAGAGAACTTCTGTCTAGTTTTTTTCAGGAGATATTCCATTTTTTTTTCCTTAGGCCACAATGGGCTCAAAAATTTCCCTTCACATATTCTCCAAAAAGTGTTTCCAATCTACTGAATCAAAAGAATACTTTAACTCTTTGAGATGAATCCACATATCACAAAAGAGTTCCACAGACAGCTTCATTTGAGTTTTTTTCCTGGGGATATTCGTTTTTTTTCCCCCTTAGGTCCCAATGGGTTCCAAAATATCCCTTCAGAGATACTTTGAAAAGAGTGTTTTCAACCTGCTGAATCAAAAGAAAGTTTTAATTCTCTGAGATGAAACCACACATCACAATCCAGTTTCACAGTTTGTTTCTTTTCAGTTTTTATCAAAGGATATTTAACTTTTTCTTATAGGCCTTAATGGGCTCCCATGTGTCCCTTCACAGATTTTCCACAAAGAGTGTTTCCAAACTGCTAAATTGAAAGAAAGTTTTAACTCTGTGGGAAGAATCGACACATCACAAAGCAGAGTCACAGATAGCTTCGTTCTAGTTTTTTTCTGGCGTTATTCTGTTTTTCCCGATAGGCTTCAATGGGTTCCCAAATGTCCATTCACAGATTATCCAAAAAGAGTGTTTCCAACATGCTGAAACAAAAGAAAGGTTTACCTCTGGGAGGTAAATCCACACGTCACAAAGCAGTTTCACAGATAGCTTCTTTCTGGTTTTTACCTGGTGATATTGGATTTTTCCAAATAGGCCACAATGGGCTCCCAAATGTCCATTCGCAGGTTCTCCAAAAAGAGTATTTTCAACTTGCTGGATAAAAAGAAATGTTTAACTCTCTGAGATGAATCAACACATTACAAAGCAGTTTCACAGATAGCTTCTTTCTAGTTTCTATCTGGGAATTTTTCATATTATCATATTGAATTAATTTTTGTATAAGGTGTAAGGGAGGGATCCAGTTTCAGCTTTCTACATATAGCTAGCCAGTTTTCCGAGTACCATTTATTAAATAGGGAATCCTTTCCCCATTGCTTGTTTTTCTCAGGTTTGTCAAAGATCAGATGGTTGTAGATATGCAGCATTATTTCTGAGGGCTGTTATCTGTTCCATTGATCTATATCCTGTTTTGGTACCAGTACCATGCTGTTTTGGTTACTGCAGCCTTGTAGTATAGTTTGAAGTCAGGTAGTGTGATGCTTCCGGCTTTGTTCTTTTGGCTTAGGATGGACTTGGTGATGCGGGCTCTTTTTTGGTTCCATATGAACTTTAAAGTAGTTTTTTCCAATTCTGTGAAGAAAGTCATTGGTAGCTTGATGGGGATGGCATTGAATCTATAAATTACCTTGGGCAGTATGGCCATTTTCATGATATTGATTCTTCCTATCCATGAGCATGGAATGTTCTTCCATTTGTTTGTATCCTCTTTTATTTCATTGAGCAGTGGTTTGTAATTCTCCTTGAAGGGGTCCTTCCCGTCCCTTGTAATTTGGATTCCTGGTATTTTATTCTCTTTGAAGCAATTGTGAATAGGTTTTCACTCATGATTTGGCTCTCTGTTTGTCTGTTATTGGTGTATAAGAATGCTTGTGATTTTTGCACATTGATTTTGTATCCTGAGACTTTGCTGAAGTTGCTTATCAGCTTAAGGAGATTTTGGGCTGAGACAATGGGGATGTCTAGATATACAATCATGTCATCTGGAAACAGGGTCAATTTGACTTTCTCTTTTCCTAATTGAATATCCTTTATTTCCTTCTCCTGCCTAATTGCCCTGGCCAGAACTTTCAACAGTATGTTGAATAAGAGTGGTGAGAGAGGGCATCCCTGTGTTGTGCCAGTTTTCAAAGGGAATGCTTCCAGTGTTTGCCCATTCAGTATGATATTGGCTGTGGGATTGTCATTGATAGCTCTTATTATTTTGAGATAAGTCCCATCAATACCTAATTTGAGAGTTTTTAGCATGAAGGTTTGTTGAATTTTGTCAAAGGCCTTTTCTGCATCTATTGAGATAATCATGTGGTTTTTGTCTTTGGTTCGTTTATATGCTGGATTACATTTATTGATTTGCATATGTTGAACCAGCTTTGCATCCCAGGGATGAAGCCCACTTGATCATGGTGGATAAGCTTTTTGATGTGCTGCTGGATTTGGTTTGCCAGTAATTTATTGAGGATTTTTGCATCAATATTCATCAAGGATATTGGTCTAAAATTCTCTTTTTTGTTGTGTCTCTGCCCAGCTTTCATATCAGGATGATGCTGGCCTCATAAAATGAGTTTGGGAGGATTCCTTCTTTTTCTATTGATTGGAATAGTTTTGTCTCACAGGAGTACCTGGCCATGTGAGATATCTCTTTGCCCCTACTGGGGGGTGCCTCCCAGTTAGGCTGCTCAGGGGTCAGGGGTCAGGGACCCACTTGCGGAGGCCGTCTGCCCATTCTCAGATCTCCAGCTGCGTGCTGGTTGAACCACTACTCTCTTCAAAGCTGTCAGACAGGGACATTTAAGTCTGCTGAGGTTACTGCTGTCTTATTGTTTGTGAGTGTCCTGCCCCCAGAGGTGGAGCCTGCAGAGGCAGGCAGTCCTCCTTGAGCTGTGGTGGGCTCAACCCAGTTCGAGTTTCCTGGCTGCTTTGTTTACCTAATCAAGCCTGGGCAATGGTAGGTGCCTCTCCCCCAGCCTCGCTGCTGCCTTGCAGTTTGATTTCAGACTGCTGCGCTAGCAATCAGCCAGACTCCATGGGCATAGGACCCTCTGAGCCATGTGCGAGATATAATCTCCTGGTGTGCCGTTTTTTAAGCCCACTGGAAAAGCACAGTATTAGGGTGGGAGTGACCCGATTTTTCAGGTGCCATCTGTCACCCCTTTCTTTGACTAGGAAAGGGAACTCCCTTACCCCTTGCACTTCCAGAGTGAGGCAATGCCTCACCCTGCTTTGGCTCATGCACGGTGCACTGCACCCACTGTCCTGCACCAACTGTCTGGCACTCCCTAGTGAGATGAACCTGGTACCTCGGTTGGAAATGCAGAAATCCCCCATCTTTGGCATTGCTCAAGCTGGGAGCTGTAGACCAGAGCTGTTCCTATTCGGTCACCTTCACTTCTTTATAGTTTTTATCTGGGGATATTCACTCTTTTCCCAAAGGCATCATTGGGCTCCCAAATATCCCTTTGCAGATTGTCCATAAAGAGTATTTCCAACCTGCTGTATCAGAAGAATGGTTTGACTCTGTGAGATAAATCCACCCATCACAAAGCAGTTCCATGGAATGCTTCTTTCTAGTTTTTATCTGGGGATATTTGATTTTTCCCCATGGGCTTCAATGGGCTGCAAATATCCCTTCACAGATTATCCAAAAAATGTGTTTCCAACCTACTGAGTTAAAAGAAAAGTTTAACTCTGTGAGATGAATCCACACATCAGAAAAGAGTTTTGCATATAGCTTCCTTCTGGTTTTTATTTGGGGATATTCTGATTTACCAACTGGCATCAATGAGCTCCAAAATATCACTTTGCAAATTCTCCAAAAGAGTGATTGCAACCTGCTGAATCATAGAAAAGATTTCTTCTGTAAGATTAATCCACACATCAAAAAGCAATTTCACAGATAGCTTCTTTCTACTTTTTATCTGGGGATATACAGTTTTTCCCTATAGGTCTCAATGGGCTTCCAAATGTACCTTCACAGTTTCAACAATTAGAGCGTTTTCAACCTGCTGAATCAAAAGCAAGGCTTAAATCAGTGAGAGAAATTTGCACATCACAAGGTGGTTTCACAAATACTTTTTCTAGATTTTATTTGAGGATATTCAGATTTTTCCCCATAGGCATCAAGTGGCTTGCAAATGTCCCTTCACAGGTTCTACAAAAAGAATGTTTCCAGCCTGCTGAATAAAAAAATAAAAAGGTTTAGCTCTGTGAGATGAATCTGCATGTCAAAAAGCAGTTTCACAGTTAGTTTCTTTGTAGTTTTCTTTGATGGGTATCCTGTTTTTCCCCCTAGGTCTCAGTGGGCTCCTAAATATCCACTAGCAGATTCTTCAGATAAAGTTTTTCCAACCTGCAGATTCGATAGAAAGGTTTAACTCTGTGAGATGAATCCACCCATCACAAAGCAGTTTCACAGAAAGCTTCTTTCCAGCTTTTATCTGGGGATATTCATTTTTTCCTATTAGGCCTCAATAGGCTCCAAAATGTCCCTTCACAGATTCTACAAAAGGAGTGTTTCCTACCTACTGAATTAAGGAAAAGTTTTAACTCTGTGAGATGAATCCAACATCACAAAGCAGTTTCACAAGTAACTTCTGTCTAATTATTATCTGGGGATATTTGGTTTTTCCCCATAAGTCTCAATAGCTCCCTAATGACTCATTGCAGATTCAACAATTACAATGTTTCCACCCTGATGAATCACAAGAATGTTTTAACTCTGTGAGATGAATCTGCATATACCAAAGCCATTTTACAAATAGCTTCCTTCCATTAGTTAAGGAGAAATTCTCTTTTTCCCCATAGGTCTCAGTGGGTTCCCAAATGTCCCTTCATTTATTCTCCAAAAATGTGTTTATAATCTGCTGAATTAGGAAAAAGTTTTAACTCTATGAGGTGAATGCATGCATCACAAAGCAGTTTCATAGATAGGTTTTATTTAGTTGTTATCTGGGGATATTCTGTTTTTCCTGTAGGCCTCAATGGGATACAAATATCCATTCACAGATCCTCCAAAAATAGTGTTTCCAACCTGCTGCATCAAAAGAGAAGCTTAACTCCCTGAGATGAATCACAAAGCCATTTCACAGATAGCTTCTTTGTGGGTTTTATGTGTAAATATTCGGTTTTTCCCAATAGGCCTCAATGGGCTCCCCAAAGTCCCTTTGAAGCCTCTACAAAAAAATGTTTCCAACTTGCTGAATCAAAAGAAAGTCTTAAATCTGTGAGATGAATCCACATATAACAAAGAAGTTTCACAGTTAATTTCTTTCTAGTTTTTCTCTGAGGATATTTTGTTTTTCCCAGTAGGCCTCAATGGGTTCCAAAATGTCCTTTTGCAGATTCTACATAAAGAGCTCTTCCAACCAGCTGCATCAAAAGAAAGTTTTAAATCTGTGATATGAATCCACACATAACAAAGCAGTTTCATGGATAACTTCTTTCTAGTTTTTATCTGCAGATATTCATTTTTTTTCCATAGGCCTCAACTGACTTCCAAACGTCTATTTGCACATTCTCCAAAAACAGTATTTCCAACCTGCTTAATCAAAATACAGTCTTAACTCCGTGAGATGAATCCATACATCACAAAGTGGTTTCACAGATAGCTTCTTTCTAGTTTATATCAGTGGATATTCCATTTTTCCCTATAGGATTCAAAGGTCTCCCAAATATGCCATCGCAGACTCTACAAAAAGAGTGTTTCCAACCTGCTGAATCAAAAGAAACATTTAACTCTGTCAGATGAATCCAAACTTCACAAAGCTGTTTAACAGATTGTTTCTTTCTAGTTTTTATCTGGGGATATTCTTTTTTTTTTCATGTACATCAATGGACTCCCAAATGTCCCTTTGCAGATTTTCCAGAAAGAGTGCTTCCAACGTGCTGAATTAAAAGAAAGCTTTAACTCTGTGAGATAAATCCACACATCACAAAGCAGTTTCACAGATTGCTTCTTTCTAGTTTTATCTAGGGATATTCTGTTTTTTCCCATAGGCATCAATTGTCATCCAAATATTCCTTCACAGATTCTTTAAAAAGAGTGTTTCCAACCTCCTGAATCAAAATAAACGTTTACCTCTTTGATATGAATCCACACATCACAAAGCAGTTTCACAAATTGCTTATTTCTAGTTTTTATCTGGTAATGTTCAGTTTTTCTCCATATGCCTAAATGGGCTCCCAGCTGTCCCTTTGCAGATCCTCCAAAAAGAGTATTTACAACATGCTGAATCAAAAGAAAGGTTTATCTCCCTCAGATGAATCCACACATCAAAAGCAGTTTCACAGATAGCTTCTTTCTCGTTTTTATCTGGGGATATTTGGTATTTTAACATTGGCCTCCATTTGCTCCAAAATGACACTTCACAAATTCTCTAAAGAGAGTGTTTCCAACCTTCTGAATGAAAAAAGTTTAACTTTGTAAGATGAAAGCAAACATCACCAAGCAGTTTGACACATTGTTTCTTTCTAATTCTTATCTAGGGATACATGATTTTCACCATAGGCCTCAAAGGGCTTTCAAAGGTCCCCTTGCAGATCCTCCAAATAGAGTGTTTCCAACGTGCAGAATCAAAAGAAAGATTCAACTCTGGAAGAGGAATGCACACATCACAAAGCACTTTCTCAGATAGCTTCTTTCTAGTTTTTATCAAGGGATAATCAGTTTTACCCCATAGGCCTAGAGGGGCTCCCAAATGTACCTTTGCAGATCCTCCAATTAGAGTCTTTCCAACCTGCTGAATCAAAAGAAAAATTTAACTCTGTAAAATGAATCGACACATCACAAAGCAGTTTCACAGGTAGCTTCTTTCTCATTTCTATCTGGGGCTATTCAGTTTTCAACACAGGCCTCCATGGGCTACCAAATGTCATTTCATAGATTTTCCAGTAAGAGTTCTTCCAATGTACTGAATCAAAACAAAATTTTAACTCTGTGAGAAGAATCCACAAGTTACAATACTGTTTCACAGGTAACTTCCTTCTACCTTTTATCTGTAGATATAAGTTTTTCCCAGTAGGTCTCAATGGGCTTCCAAATGTTTCTTCACAGTTTCTACAAAAAGGGTGTTTCCAACCTGCTGAATCAAAAGGAAAGTTTAACTCTGTGAGATGAATTTACACATCACAAAGGAGTTTCACAGATAGCTTCTTTCTAGTTTTTATCTAGTGATATTAGGCACTACACCGTTGGCCTCAATGGGTGCTCAAACATTAATTCGCAGATCCTCCAAAAAGAGTGTTTCCAACTTGCTGAATCAAAAAAGTAGTTTAACTCTGTGAGATGAATCCCCACATAACAAAGCAGTTTCACAGACAGTTTCTTTCTAGTTTTTATCTGGGGATATTCAGATTTTCCCATACGCCCCAATGGATTCATAAATGGCCCATTGCATATTTTCCAAAAAGAGTGTTTCCTGCCTGCTGAACGCAAAGAAAAATTTAAATCTGTGACATGAATCCACACATCACAAAGCAGTTTGACAGATAGCTTCTTTCTAGTTTGTATCTGGGGATATTATTTTTTTCCCAATAGGCCTCACTGGGTTGCCAAATGGCCCTTTGCAGATTCTCCTTAAAGAGTTTTTCAAACCCCTTTAATCAAAAGAAAAGGTTTAACTTTGTGAGATGAATCCACACAACACAAAGCAGTTTCACAGATAGATTCTTTTTATTTTTATCTGGGGATATTCTGTTTTTCCCCATAGTCCTTAATGTTCTCCCAAATATCCCTTTGCAGATTCTCCAAAAACAGTGTTTCCAACCTGCTGAATAAAAGAAAAGTTTTAACTCCGTTAGCTTAATCCACACATTAAAAGCAGTTTCACAGATAGCTTCCTTGTAGTTTTTACCTGAGGATGTTGGGTTTTTCGCCATAAGCCTCAAAGGCCTCCTAAATGTCCATTGACAGAATCTTTAAAAAGAATGTTGCCAACCTGCTGATTAAAAGAAAGGTTTAAATCTCAGATAAATCCAAAAATCATAAAGCAGTTTCACAAGTAGCTTCTTTGTAGTTTTTTTTTTTTCCTGGGCATATTGGCTTTTTCCCCATAGGCCACAATGGGCTCCCAAATTTCTTTTTGCACATTCTCCAAAAACAGTCTTTTCAACTTGCTGAATCAAAAGAAAGGTTTAACCATGTAAGATGAATCCACACATCACAAATCAGTTTCACAGATAGCTTGTTTTTAATTTTTATCTGGGGATATTCAGCTTTTCCCCATAGGCCTTAAATGACTACCAAAAATCCATTCCCAGATTCTCCAAAAAGAGTGTTTCCACCCTGCTGAATCAAAAGACAGTTTTAACTCTGTGAGATGAATATACACATCACAAAGCTGTTTCACAGATAACTACGTTATAGTTTTTTTCCTGAGGATATTTTATTTTTCTCCATAGGCCTCAATAGGCTCCCAAATGTCCCTTCACAGATCCTTCAAAAAGAGTGTTTCTAACGTGCTGAATCAAAAGAAAATTTTAACTCTCTGAGATGAATACACACATCACAAAGCAGTTTCAGAGATGGCTTCCTTCTAGTTTTTATCTGAGGATATTTGATTTTTCGCCATAGGCCCCAAAAGGCTCTCAAATGTCCCTTCACAGATTCTCCAAAAAGTGTGTTTCCATTTTGTAGGTTGCCTGTTCACTCTGGTGGTAGTTTCTTTTGCTGTGCAGAAGCTCTTTAGTTTAATTAGAACCCATTTGTCAATTTTGGCTTTTGTTGCCATTGCTTTTGTTGTTTTAGACATGAAGTCCTTGCCAATGCCTATGTCCTGAATGGTATTGCCTAGGTTTTCTTCTAGGGTTTTTATGGTTTTAGGTTTAACGTTTAAGTCTTTAATCCATCTTGAATTAATTTTTGTATAAGGTGGAAGGAAGGGATCCCATTCCAGCTTTCTACATATGGCTAACCAGTTTTCCCAGCACCATTTATTACATAGGGAATCCTTTCCCCATTGCTTGTTTTTCTCAGGTTTGTCAAAGATCAGATAGTTGTAGATATGTGGCATTATTTCTGAGGGCTCTGTTCTGTTCCATTGATCCATATCTCTGTTTTGGTACCAATAACATGCTGTTTTGGTTACTGTAGCCTTGTAGTATAGTTTGAAGTCAGGTAGCGTGATGCCTCCGGCTTTGTTCTTTTGGCTTAGGATGGACTTGGTGATGCATGCTCTTTTTTGGTTCCATATGAACTTTAAAGTAGTTTTTTCCAATTCTGTGAAGAAAGTCATTGGTAGCTTGATGGGGATGGCAGAAAATTTTCACAACCTACTCATCTGACAAAGGGCTAATAACCAGAATCTACAATGAACTCAAACAGATTTACAAGAAAAAAAAACAACCCCATCAAAAAGTGGGCGAATGACATGAACAGACACTTCTCAAAAGAGGACATTTATGCAGCCAGAAAACACTTGAAAAAATGCTCACCATCATTGGCCATCAGAGAAATGCAAATCAAAACCACAATGAGATACCATCTCACACCAGTTAGAAGGGCAATCATTAAAAAGTCCGGGAACAATAGGTGCTGGAGAGGATGTGGAGAAATAGGAACACTTTTACACTGTTGGTGGGACTGTAAACTATGTTCACCCACTGTGGAAGTCAGTGTGGCGATTCCTCAGGGATCTAGAACTAGAAATATCATTTGACCCAGCCATCCCATTACTGGGTATATACCCAAAGGACTATAAATCATGCTGCTATAAAGACACATGCACACGTATGTTTATTGCCACACTATTCACAATAGCAAAGACTTGGAACCAACCCAAATGTCCAACAATGATAGACTGGATTAAGAAAATGTGGCACGTACACACCATGGAATACTATGCAGCCATAAAAAATGATGAGTTCATGTCCTTTGTAGGGACAAGGATGAAATTGGAAATCATCATTCTCAGTAAACTATCGCAAGGACAAAAAAATCAAACACCGCATATTCTCACTCATAGGTGGGAATTGAACAATGAGAACACATGGACACAGGAAGGGGAACATCACACTCTGGGGACTGTTGTGGGGTGGGGGGAGGGGGGAGGGATAGCATGAGGAGATATACCTAATGCTAAATGACGAGTTAATGGGTGCAGCACACCAGCATGGCACATGTATACATATGTAACTAACCTGCACATAGTGCACATGTACCCTAAAATTTAAAGTATTATAATAAGAAAATAGAAAAGTGTTTCCAACCTGCTGCATGAAAAGAAAGGTTTAACTCTGAGAGCTGAATCTACACATCACAAAGCAGTTTCAGAGGTAGCTTCTTTCTTTTTTATATCTGTGGATATTTGTATTTTGCTTATAGGCCTCAATGAGCTCCCAAATGTTCCTTCACATATTCTCCAAAAAGATTGTTTACAACCTTTTGAATAAGAAGAAAACTTTCACACCATGAGATGAATCCACATATCACAAATCAATTTCACAGATAACTTCATTCTAGTTTCTATCTGGCAATCTTTGGTGTTTCCGCATAAGCCTCAATGGACTCCCAATGTTTCTTCACAGATTCTCCAAAAAAAAAGTGTTTCCAAACTGCTGAATCTAGAGAAAGTTTTAAATTGGTGCGATGAATACACACATCACAAAGCAGTTTCACACATAGCTTCTTTCTAGTTTTTGTCTGAGGATATTTTGTGTTTCTCCATAGGCTTCAATGAGCTCCCAAATATCTTTTCACAGATTGTACAATTAGAGTGTTTCCAACCTGCTGAATCAAAAGAAAAATTCAATTATGTGTGATAGCCACACATTACAAAGCAGTTTCTCAGATAGTTTCCTTCCAGTTTTTATCTGGGAATATTCAATTTTTCCCCATAGGCCTTAATGGCTTCCCAAACATCCCTTCAGATATTCTCAAAAAAGAGTGTTTCTTACCTGCTAAATAAAAAAAAAAAAAAATGTAACTCTGTAAGATGAATGCACACAAGACAAAGCAGTTTCACAGATAGCTTCTTTCCAGTATTTTTCTGGGGATATTCTGTTTTTCCCCATATTCTTCAATGGGCTCACAAATGTCTTTTTGCAGATTCTCCTAAAACAGTGTTTCTAAACTGAGGAATCAAAAGAATGGTTTAACTCTGTGAGATGAATATACAGATACAAAGCAGTTTCACAGACAGCTTTCTTGTAGTTTTTATCTTCGGATATTCAGTCTTCCCTGTTAGGTCACAATGGGCTCCCAAACGTTGCTTCACAGATTCTCCAAAAAGAGTGTTTCCAACCTGTGGAATCAAAAGAGGGTTTAACTCTGTGAGATAAATCCAGCCATCACAAAGCTGTTTCACAGATAGCTTATTTCTAGTTGTTTTTTTTTTTTTTTTTTTGATGGAGTCTCACTGTGTTACCCAGGCTGGAGTGCAATGGTGCAATCTGAGCTCCCTGCAAGCTTTACCTCCTGGGTTCATGCCATTCTCCTGTCTCAGCCTCCTGAGTACTTGGGACTACAGGCTCCTGCCACTACACCCAGCTAATTTTTTGCAGTTTTAGTAGAGACTGGGTTTCACTGTTAGCCAGGATGGTCTCTCTCCTGACCTCGTGATCAGCCAGCCTCAGCCTCCCAAAGTGCTGGGATTACAGGCATGAGCCTCCACGCCTGGCCCTTTTTTCTAGTTTTCATCTTCGGATATTCAGGTTTCCCCGTAGGCTTCACTGAGATTTCAGATGTCCCTTCACAGATTCTCCAAAAAGAGTGTTTCCATCCTGCTGAATTAAATGAAATGTTTATCTCTGTGAGATGAATCCACTTTACAAAGCAGTTTCACAGATAGCTTATTTCTATTTTTTTCTGGCAATATTAATTTTTTCCCCATAGACCTCAATGGGCTCCCAAATGTCCCTTCGATGTTCTGCATAAAGAGTGTTTCCAAACAGCTGAACCAAAGGAAAACTTGAATTCTGTCACATGAGTCTATACGTCAAAATGTAGTTTCACAGAGAGCTTCTTTCCAGTTTTTATCTGGGAATATTTGGTTTTTCGCCATAGTCCTCAAACGGATCATAAATGCCTCTTTGCTGATCCTCCAAAAACAGTGTTTCCAACCTGCTGAATCAAAAGAAAAATTTAACTCTGTGAGATGAATCTATGTATCACAGTGCAGTTTCCCAGGTAGCTTCTTTCTTGTTTTTATCTGGTTATATTTGGTCTTTCCCTATATTGTAAAAGGGCACTTAAAAGTCCCTTTGCAGAGTCTCCAAAAAGAGTGTTTCCAACCTGATGAATTAAATGAAAGTTTAACCTTTCATGAATCCACTCAACACAAAGCAGTTTCATGGATAACTTCTTTCTAGTTTTTATCTTGGGACATTACGTTTTTACCAATAGGCCTCCATGGGCTCTTAAATGTACCTTCCAAGATTCTACAAAAAGTGTGCTTCCAATCTTCTGGATCAAAAGAATGATTTAATGTTATGAGATTTATCCACACATCACAAAGCAGTTTCACAGATAGTTTATTTTCTAGGTTGTTATCTGGGGATATTCGCTTTTTACCCATAGGCCTCAAAGGGCTCCCAAATGTCCCTTTGCAGATTCAACAACTAGTGTGTTTCCAACCTACTAAATCAAAAGAAAGTTTGAACTCTATGAGATGAATTTACACATCATGAAGCAGTTTCACAGATATTTTCCTTCTAGTTTTTATCTGGGGATATTTGTTTTTTCTTCATAGTCCTCAAATGTCTCCCAAATATCCCTTAGTAGATTCTAGAAAAAGAGTGTTTTGAATCTGCAGAATCCAAAGAAAGTTTTAACTCTGTGAGAGGAATCCACACATCACAAAGTATTTTCACAGATAGTGTCTTTCTAGTTTTTAGGTGGGGATATATGGTTTCAACCCATGGGCCTCAAAGGGCTGCCAAATATTCCTCCACAGATTCTCCAAAAAAAAGTTTTTTCAACCTGCTGAATCAAAAGAGGTTTCACTTTGAGAGATGCATCCACACATCACAAAGTAGTTTCACAGTTAGCTTCTTTCTAGTTTTTATCTGGGTATATTCTGTTTTTCTTCATAGGCCTCAAAGAGCTCCCAAATATGTCTTCACAGATTCTACAAAAAGAGTGTTTTTAACCTGCTTAATCAAAAGAAAGGTGAAACACTGTGAGATGAATCCACACATCACAAAGCAGTTTCACAGACAGCTTCTTCTAGTTTTTATCTGGGGATATTTGGCTTTTATCCATACTCCTCATTGAGTTCCCAAATGTTTCTTCACAGATACTCCAAAAAGAGTGTTTTTAACCTGCTGAATCAACAGAAAGGTTTAAGTTTGTGAGACGAATCCACACATCACAAAACAGTTTCACAGATAGCTTCTTTCTAGTTTTTATCTGAAGATATTCGGCTTTACCAAATAGACCTCAATGTGCTCCAAGAGGTGCCTTTTCAAGTCCTCCAAAAGATTATTTTCAATCTGCTGTAACAAAAGAAATGTTTAACTCTGTGTGATCCATCCACACATTACAACACAGTTTAACAGATAGCTTTTTTCTACTTTTTATCTGGGTATATTCAGTTTTCCCAATAGGTCTCAATAGTATTCCAAATTTCCCTTCACAAAATCTCCAAAAAGAATGTTTCCAAACTGCTGAATCAAAAGAAAGATTTAACTCTGTAATACAAGTTCACACATAACAAAGCAGTTTCACAGAATGCTGCTTTCTGGTTTTTATCTAGGGATATTTGGTTTTTCCCCATAGGCTTCAATGGGGTCCTAAATGTCCCTTTGAAGATTATACAAAAAGACTGTTCCCAACCTGCTGAATAAAAAGAAAGGTATAACTCTATGAGATGAAACCACACATCACAAAACATTTTCACAGATAGCTTCTTTCTAGTTTTTACCTGGGGATATTCTCGTTTTACACATTGGCCACAATGGGCTCCAAAATGTCCTTTCGGACATTCAACAATTAGAGTGTTTCTAACCTGCTGAATCATAAGAAAGTTTTAACTCTGTGAGATGAATCCACACATCACAAAGTAGTTTCACAGATAGCTTATTTTTAGTTTTTATCTGTGGATATTTGTTTTTTTTCCAATAGGGTTCAATAGGCTCCCAAATATCCCTTCACAGATTCTATAGAAAGAGTGTTTAAAACCTGTTGAATAAAAACAAAGGTTTAACTCTGTGAGATGAATCTACACATCACAAAGCAGTTTCACAAATAACTTCTTTCTCGTTTTTACCTGGGGTTATTTGGTTTTTCCTAATAGGCCTCAAAAGGCTCCGAAATGTGCCTTCACAGATTCTCTAAAGAGAGTGCTTCCCACCTGCTGGGACAAGAGAAAGTTTCATGGTGATATGAATCCACACATCACAAAGCTGTTTCACAGGGAGATGTTTCCAGTTTTTGTCTCGGGATATTTGTTTTTTTCCCATAGGCCTCAATGGGCTCCCAAATGTCCCATCACAGATTCTGCAAAAAGAAGAGTATTTCCAACCTTCCGAATCAAAAGAAAGGTTTAACTCTCTGAGATTAATCCACACATCACAAAGAAGTTTCATAGACAACTTTTTTCTCGTTTTTATCTGGGGATGTTCAATTGTTCCCCATAGGACACAAAGGGCTCCAAAATATCCCTTTGCAGATTCTACAAAAAGAGTGTTTCCAACCTGATGTATCAACAGAATGGCTTAACTCTTTGAGATGAATCCACACATCACAAAGTAGTTTCACAGATGCTTATTTCTAGTTTTTAATCTGGGGATATTCAGTTTTTCCCCAGAGACCTCAATGGGCACTGAAATGTCCCTCCACAGATTCTCCAAAAGAAATGTTTCCCACCTTCTGAATCAAAAGAAAATTTTAACTCTGTGAGATGAATCCATCTATCACAAAGCAGTTTCACAGATAGATTTTTTTCTAGTTTGTATGTGGGAATATTGTGTTTTTTCCATAGACTGCAAAGGACTTCCAAACGTCCCTTCACATATTCTCCAAAATGAGAGTTTCCAACCTACATATGCAAAGGAAAAATTTAACTCTGTGAGGTGAATCCACATCATAAAGGAGTTTCACAGATAGCTTTTGTCTGGTTTTTATATGGGGTTATTCTGTTTTACTCATAGGCCACAATACATTACAAAATGTCCCTTCACAGATACTCCAAAAAGAGTGTTTCCAGCCTGCTGAAAGAAATGAAAGGTTTAAGTCTGTGAGGTGAAACCACACATCACAAAGTATTTTCACAGATAGCTTCTTTCTTGTTTTCTCTGTAGATATTTTGTTTTACCCCATAGGCCTCAATAGACTCCCAAATGTCCCTTTTCAGATTCTTCAAAAATAGTTTTTCCAACTTGCTGAATAAAAAGAAAGGCTTAACTCTGTGAGATGCACCCACACATCACAAAGCAGTTTCATAGATAGCTTCTTTCTAGTTTTTATCTTGGGATGTTGGTGTTTTCCCAATAGCCATCAATGGGCTCTCAAATGTTTATTTGCAGATTCTATGAAAAGAGTGTTTTCAACCTGCTAGATCAAAAGAAACGTTTAACTCTGTTGGATGAATCCACACAATGCAAAGCAGTTTCACAGAGAGCTTCTTTCTAGTTTTTAATCTGCAGATATTTGGTTTTTCCCTATAGGCCTCAATGGGCTCCAAAATGTACCTTCACAGATTCCACAAAAATAGTGTTTACAAATTGTTGAATCAAAAGAAATGTTTAACTCTGTGAGATGAATCTCACATTACAAAACATTTTCATAGATAGCTTCTTTCTAATTTTTATGTGGGGATATTCAATTTTTCCCCATGGGCTTCAAAGGGCTCACAAATCTCCTTTTGCAGAGTCTCCAAAAGGAGTGCTTCCAATTTGCTGAGGCAAACGAAAGCTTTACCACTGTGAGATGAATCCACACATCACAAATCAGTTTCACAGATTGCTTCTTTCTAGTTTTTATACAAAGATATTCAATTTTTCCCCATAGGCTTCAATGGGCTCAAAAATGTCCCTTCTCAGAGTCTCCAAAAGGACTGTTTCCAATATGTTAAATCAAACGAAAGATTTAACTCTCTGAGATGAATCCACATATCACAAAGAAGTTTCATGGATAACTTCTTTCTACTTTTTCTCTGTATATGTTCAGTTTTTCCACATAAGCCTCAATGGGCTTCCAAATGTCCCTTCCCAGGTTCTCCAAAAAGAGTGTTTCCAACCAGCTGAATCAAAAGAAATGTTTAACTCTGTGATATGAATCCAAACGTTACAAAGCTGATTCACAGGTAGCTTCTTTCTAGTTTTTATATGGGGATATTCTGTTTTTCCCCATAGGCCACAAACAGCTACAAAAGGTCACTTTGCAGATTCGACAAAAGTGTTTCCAACCTGCTGGGTCAAATAAAAGGTTTAACACTGTGAGATGAATCCACACATCAAAAAGCAATTTCACAGATAACTTGTTTCTAATTTTTATCTCAAGATATTTTGTTTCTCCCCATAGGCCTCTATAAACTCCCAAAAGATCCTTCACAGATTCTACAAAAAGAGTGTTTCCCACATGCTGAATCAAAAGAATGGCTAAACTCTGTGAAATGAACCTGCACATCACAAAGCAATTTCAAAGATGGATTCTTTCTAGTTTTTATCTTGGTTATATTATTTTCCCCATAGATGTCAATGGACTAAAAAATGTCCCTTCCCAGATACTCCAAAAAGGGTATTTCCCATCTGCTGAATCAACAGACAGGATTAGCTTTGTGAGATGAATTCACACATCACAAAGGGTTTCAAAGGAAGCTTTTTTCTAGTTTCTATATTAGGATATTTTGTTTTTCCCCATAGGCTTCAATGGGCTCCCAAATGTCCCTTTGCAGATTCCACAAAAAGATTGTTTCCAACTTCCTAGATTAAAAGAAAAATTTAAATTTGTGAAATCAATCCACACATCATGAAGAGGTTTCACATATACTTTCTTTCTACTTTTTATCTGGGGATATTCAGGTTTTATCCAGAGGACTCACAGGACCCCCAAATGTCTTTTCATGGATTATTTAAAAAGAGTATTTTCAACTTACTGAATCAGAAGAAAGGTTTTCATCTATGGGATGATTTTACACATCCCAGAGAATTTTCACAGCTAGCTTCTTTCTAGTTTTTATCTGAAGATATTTGGTTTTTCCCATAGGCCTCCATAGGATCCTAAATGTCCTTATGCAGATTCTCCAAAAACAGTGTTTCCAACCTCCTGAATCAAAAGAAATTTTAACTCAGTGAGATAAATGCACATATCAAAAAGCAGTTTCACAGATAGCTTCTTTCTGGTTTTTATCTTGGAATATATGGTTTTGCCCCAGAGGCTACAAGGCTTTCAAATGTCCTTTTGCAGATTATCCAAAAAGAGTGTTTCTAAGCTGCTGAATCAAAAGAAAGTTTTAACTCTGTGAGATGAATCCACACCACAAAGCAATTTCACCGATAGCTTCATACTACTTTTCATTTGAGGATAATCTGTTTTTCCCCATAGGCCTTGATGGCCTGGGAACTGTCCCTTCACAAATTCTACAAAAAGAGTTTCCAACTTGCTGAATCAAAAGAAAGTTATAACTCTGTGAGATAAATCCACCTATCACAAAGGTCTTTAACAGATAGCTTCTTTCTGCTTTTTATCTTGGGATATACAGTTTGCCCCATAGGCCACAGGGCTCCCAAATGTCCTTTTGCAGATTCTCCAAAAAGAGCGTTTCCAAACTGCTGAATCAAAAAAAAGGTTTAATTCTGTGAGATGAATTCATACATCACAAAGGGGTTTCACAGATAGCTTCTTTCTAGTTTTTATTTGAGGATATGTGGTCCTTCCTCAAAGGCCTCAATGGGTTCCCAAATGTCCCTTTGCAGATGCTACAAAAAACATATTTTCAACCTGCTGAACCAAAAAAAAAATGCTTAACTCTGTGAGATGAGTGCATAGATCACAAAGCAGTTTCAAATACAGATTCTTTTTAGTCTTTATCTAGGAATATTCACTTTTTCCACATAGGCCTCAATTGGCTCACAAATTTTCCTTTACAGATTATCCAAAGAGAATATTTGCAACCTGCTGAAACAAATAAAGGTTTACTCTGTGAGATAAATCCACACATCACAAAGCATTTTAACAGAAAGATTATTTTTAGTGTTTATATGGGATTATTTGGTTTTTCTCCATAGGCCTCAAAGGGCTCCCAAATGTCCTTTCACAATTTGTACAAAAAGAGTGTTTCCAACCTGCTGAATCAAAAGAAAACTTTTACTCTCTGAGGCTAATCCACATATCAGAAAGCAGTTTCTCAGATAGCCTCTTTCTGTTTTTTTTTTTTCTGGGGATTTTTGGTTTTTCCCCTTAGGCCTCAGTGGGCTTCCAAATACTCCTTTGCAGATTCTCCAGTTAGAGTCTTTCCAACCTGCTGAATCAAAAGAAAGTTTTAATTCTTTGTGATTAATTCTTTAATCCACATGTCACAAAGCCATTTCACACATAGCTTCTTTCTTGTTTTTATCTTGGGATATTAAGTTTTTCCCCATAGGCCTCAATGGTGTCCTAAATGTCACCTTGCAGATTCTGTAAATAGAGTGTTCCAACCTGCTGAAACAAAAGAAAGGTTTAACTCTGAGATGAATTTACACATCACAAAGCAGTTTCACAGATAGCTTCTTTCTGGTTTTTTATCAGGAGATACATGGTTTTTCTCCATAGTCCTTAATGTGTTCCCAAATGCCCCTTCTCAGTTTATCCAAAAAGAGTGTTTCCAACCTACTGGATCAAAGAAAGGTTTATCTCTGTGAGATGAATCCACACAACACAAAGCAGTTTAACAGATAGCTTCTTCCTAGTTTTTAATCTGAGGATATTTGATTTTTACTTATAGGCCTTATTAGGCTCCCAAATGTCTTTTCTCAGATTCTACAAAAGCAGCGTTTCCAACCTTCTGAATCAAAGAAAATTATAACTCTGTGAGATGAATCCACACATCACATAGCAGTTTCACAGATAACTTTTTTTTAGTTTTTGTCTGGGGATATTCGGTTTTTTCCCTTAGGCAAGAATGAGCTACCAAATGTCCTTACACAGATTCCCCAAAAAGAAAGTTTACAAACTGCTGAATAAAAAAAAAAAATGTTCACCTCTGTTAGAGGAATCTACAGGTCACAAAGTAGTTTCACAAATAGCTCCTTTCTAGTTTTTATTTGGGGATATTGTCTTTTTCCCCATAGGCCTCAATGGCCTGTGAAATGTCCCTTCACAGATTCTACAAAAAGAGAGTTTCCAAATTCTGTGAGATGAATCCACACATCACAAAGTAGTTTCACAGCTAGCTTCTTTCTAGTTTATATCTAGGGATATTCAGTTTTCTTTCTTAGGCCTCAATGGGTTCTGAAACGTGCCTTTGCTGAGACTCCAAAATGTGTGGTTCCAATCTGCTGAATCAACAGCAAGGTTTAACTCTGTGAGATGAATTCACACACCACAAAGCTGTTTCACAGAAAGCTTCTTTATAGTTTTTTTTTTTTTTCTGGGGATATTCTGTTTTTTCCCATAGGCCTCAATGGGCTCCCAAATGTCCCTTCACAGAATATCCAAAAAGAGTATTACCAACCTGCTGAATCAAATGAAAGCTTTAACACTGTGAGATGAGTCCAGCATCACAAAGCTGTTTTACAGATAGATTCTTTCTTGTTTTTATCTTGAGATATTCTGTTTTTCCCCATAAACTCTATGGGATACCAAATGTTCCTTTGCAGATTCTAAAAAAAGAGTGTTTCCAACCTGCTCAAAGGAAAGAAAGTTTTAAGTCTG
Source organism: Homo sapiens (assembly GCF_000001405.40). Lineage (NCBI taxonomy): Eukaryota > Metazoa > Chordata > Mammalia > Primates > Hominidae > Homo > Homo sapiens. The sequence continues at coordinate 39,022,178 of NC_000010.11, forward strand.
TGAGATGAATCCACACATCACAAAGGAGTTTCACAGATAGCTTCTTCCTAATTTTTATCTGGGGATATTCCATTTGTCCCCATAGCCCTCAATGCTCTCCCAAATGTCTGTTCGCAGTTTCTACCAAAAGAGTGTTTCCAAACTGCTGTATCTAAAGAAAAGTTTAACTTCATGAGATGAATCCACACATCACAAAGCATTTTCACACATAACTTCTTTGTAGTTTTTATTTGTGGATGTTCGGTTTTTCTCCATAGACCTCAAAGGACTCTCAAATATCCCTTTGCAGATTCTCCCAAAAGAGTGTTTCCAACCTGATGTTTCACAAGAAAACTTTAAATCAAGAGCTGAATCCAAATATCACAAAGCAGTTTTGGAGGTAGCATCTTTCTTCCTATTATCTGTGGATACTTCTTTTTTTCTTATCAGCCTCAATGGGCTCCCAAATATCCCTTCACAAATTCTACAAAAAGATTGTTTAAAACCTTTTGAATAAGAAGAAAAGTTTCACACTGTGAGATGAATCCATATATTACAAATCAGTTTCACAGATAGCTTCATTCTAGTTTCTATCTGGGAAAATTTGGTGTTTCCCCAAAAGCCTCAGTGGGCTCCCAAATGTTTCTTCACAGATTCTCCAAAATGATTGTTTACAATCTGATGAATCAAAAGAAAGTTTTACCTCTGTGAGATGAATCCACACATCACAAAGCTGTTTCAGAGATTAATTCTTTCTAGTTTCAATATAGGGATATTCTGTTATTTCCCACAGTCCTCAAAGGTTTCACAAGTTTCCCTTTGCAGATTCTCCAAAAAGAGTGTTTTCAATGCTGAATAAAAGAAAGGTTTAAGTCAGTGAGTTGAATCCACACATCAACAAGCAGTTTAACAGATAGCTTCTTTCTAGTATTTATCTGGGGATAATCCATTTTTCCCCTTAAGCCCCAATGGGCATCCAATTGTCCCTTAGCAGATTCTCCAAAAAGAGTGTTTAGAGGCTGATGAAAGAAAAGAAATATTTATATCTGAGATCAATCCACACATCGCAATGCTGTTTCACAGATAGTTTCTTTGTAGTTTTTACCTAGGATTATTCAGTTTCTCCCCATAGGCCCCAATGGGCTCCCAAATATCCCTTTGCAGATTCCACAAAAGGAGTGTTTCCAGCCTGCTGAATCAGCACAAAAATTTGCAGTGTGAGAAGAATCCACACATCACAAAGCAGTTTCACAGATACCTAATTTCTAGTTTTTATCTGGAGATATTCAGTATTTCCCCATAGGCCTATTTCAGTGCCCAAATTTCCCTTCACAGATTCTACAAACAGAATGTTTCCAAACTGTTGAATAAATACAACAGTTTAACTCTCTGATATGTATCCAGCAATCATAAAGCACCTTCACAGTAACTTTCTTAGACCCCAATGGGCTCTAAAACGTCCCTTCACAGAGCCTCCAAAAAGTGGTTTTCCAATCTGCCGAATCATCAGGAAGGTTTAACTCTGTGAGATGAATCCACACATCACAAAGGAGTTTTTGGAAATATGTTTCTAGCTTTTATATGTGAATATTCCATTTTCTCCACTCTCCTTAATGATCTCCAAAATGTCCCATTTCATATTCTACAAAAAGAGTGTTGCCAACCCACAGAATCAAAAGAAATTTTAAACTCTGTAAGATGAATTCACACATCACAAAGCAGTTTCACAGGTAGATTCTTTCTAGTTTTTATATGGGGGATATTTGGCTTTACTCCTTTGGCCTCAATGGGCTTCCACGTGTCCCGTCAGAGATTCTCCAATCAGCGTGTTTTCAACCTACTGAATCAAGAGAAACGTTTACCTATGTGAGATGAATCGACATATCAAAAAGCAGATTCTCTTTATCCAATTTGCCAGTCTGTGTCTTTTAATTGGAGTATTTAGTCCATTTACATTTAAAGTTAATATTGTTATGTGTGAATTTGATCCTGTCATTATGATGTTAGCTGGTTATTTTGCTCGTTAGTTGACGCAGTTTCTTCCTAGCCTCGATGGTCCTTACAATTTGGCATGATTTTGCAGTGGCTGGTACCGGTTGTTCCTTTCTATGTCTAGAGCTTCCTTCAGGAGCTCTTTTAGGGCAGGCCTGGTGGTGACAAAATCTCTCAGCATTTGCTTGTCTGTAAAGTATTTTATTTCTCCTTCACTTATGAAGCTTAGTTTGGCTGGATATTAAATTCTGGGTTGAAAATTCTTTTCTTTAAGAATGTTGAATATTGGCCCCCACTCTCTTCTGGCTTGTAGAGATTCTGCCGAGAGATCCGCTGTTAGTCTGATGGGCTTCCCTTTGAGGGTAACCCGACCTTTCTCTCTGGCTGCCCTTAACATTTTTTTCTTCATTTCAACTTTGGTGAATCTGACAATTATGTATCTTGGAGTTGCTCCTCTCGAGGAGTATCTTTGTGGTGTTATCTGTTTTTCCTGAATCTGAATGTTGGCTACCTTGCTAGATTGGGGAAGTTCTCCTGGATAATATCCTGCAGAGTGTTTTCAACCTTGGTTCCATTCTCCCGGTCACTTTCAGGTACACCAATCAGACGTAGATTTGGTCTTTTCACATAGTCCCATATTTCTTGGAGGCTTTGTTCATTTCTTTGTATTCTTTTTTCTCTAAACTTCTCTTCTCGCTTCATTTCATTCATTTCATCTTCCATCACTGATACCCTTACTTCCAGTTGATTGCATTGGCTCCTGAGGCTCCTGCATTCTTCACGTAGTTCTCAAGCCTTGGCTTTCAGCTCCATAAGCTCTTTTAGGCACTTCTCTGTATTGGTTATTGTAGTTATACATTTGTCTAAATTTTTTTCAAAGTTTTTAACTTCTTTGCCTTTGGTTTGAATTTCCTCCTGTAGCTCAGAGTAGTTTGACCATCTGAAAGCTTCTTGTCTCAACTCATCGAAGTCATTCTCCATCCAGCTTTGTTCCATTGCTGGTAAGGAACTGCATTCCTTTGGAGGAGGAGAGGCCCTCTGCTTTTTGGAGTTTCCAGTTTTTCTGCTCTGTTTTCCCCATCTTTGTGGTTTTATCTATTTTTGTGCTGTATTCAGGAAACCCATCTCACATGCAGAGACACACTTAGGCTCAAAATAAAAGGATGGAGGAAGATCTACCAAGCAAATGGAAAGCAAAAAAAGGCAGGGGTTGCAATCCTAGTCTCTGATAAAACAGACTTTAAGCCAGCAAAGATCGAAAGAGACAAAGAAAGCCATTACTTAATGGTAAAGGGAGAAATTCAACAAGAAAATCAACTATCCTAAATATATATGCACCCAATACAGGAGCACCCAGATTCATAAAGCAAGTCCTGAGTGACCTACAAAGAGACTTAGACTCCCACACAATAATAATGGGAGACTTTAATACCCCATTGTCAACATTAGACAGATCAATGAGACAGAAAGTTAACAAGGATACCCAGGAATTGAACTCAGCTCTGCACTAAGCAGACCTAACAGACATCTACAGAACTCTCCACCCCAAATCAACGGAATATACATTTTTTTCAGCACCACACCACACCTATTCCAAAATTGACCACATACTTGGAAGTAAAGCACTCCTCAGCAAATGTAAAAGAACAGAAATTATAACAAACTATCTATCAGACCACACTGCAATCAAACTAGAACTCAGGATTAAGAAACAACCTACTCCTGAATGACTAATAAAGACGTTCTTTGAAACCAATGAGAACAAAGACACAACATACCAGTATCTCTGGGACACATTCAAGGCAGTGTGCAGAGGGAAATTTATAGCACTGAATGCCCACAAGAGAAAGCAGGAAAGATCCAAAATTGACACCCTAACATCACAATTAAAAGAACTAGAAAACAAGAGCAAACACATTCAAAAGCTAGCAGAAGGCAAGAAATAACTAAAATCAGAGCAGAACTGAAGGAAATAGAGACACAAAAACCCTTCAAAAAATTAATGAATCCAGGAGCTGGTTTTTTGAAAGGATCAACAAAATTGATAGACTGCTAGCAAGACTAATAAAGAAGAAAAGAGAAAAGACTCAAATAGATGCAATAAAATATGATAAGGGAGATATCACCACCGATCCCACAGAAATACAAACTACCATCAGAGAATACTATAAACACCTCTATGTGAATAAAATAGAAAATCTAGAAGAAATGGATAAATTCCTCGACACATACACCCTCCCAAGATTAAACCAGGAAGGAGTTGAATCTCTGAATAGACCAATAACAGCCTCTGAAATTGTGGCAACAATCAATAGCTTACCAACTAAAAAGAGTCCAGGACCAGATGGATTCACAGCCGAATTCTACCAGAGGTGCAAGGAGGAGCTGGTACCATTCCTTCTGAAACTATTCCAATCAATAGAAAAAGAGGGAATCCTCCCTAACTCATTTTATGAGGACAGCATAATCCTCATACTAAAGCTGGGCAGAGACACAACCAAAAAAGAGAATTTTAGACCAATATCCTTGATGAACATTGATACAAAAATCCTCTATAAATTACTGGCAAACCAAATCCCACAGCACATCGAAAAGCTTATCCACCATGATCAACTGGGCTTCATCCCTGGGATGCAAGCCTGGTTCAATGTACACAAATCAATAAATGTAATCCAGCATATAAGCAGAACCAAAGACAAAAACCACATGATTATCTCAATAGATGCAGAAAAGGTCTTCGACAAAATTCAACAAGGTTTCATGCTAAAAACTCTCAATAAGTTAGTAATTGATGGGACGTATCTCAAAATAATAAGAGCTGTCTATGACAAACCCACAGCCAATATCATACTGAATGGGCAAAAACTGGAAGCATTCCCTTTGAAAACTGGCACAAGAGAGGGATTCCCTCTCTCACCACTCCTATTCAACATAGTGTTGGAAGTTCTGGCCAGGGCAATTAGTCAGGAGAAGGAAATAAAAGGTATTCAATTAGGAAAAGAGGAAGTCAAATTGTCCCCGTTTGCAGATGACGTGATTGTATATCTAGAAAACCCCATTGTCTCAGCCCAAAATCTCCTTAAGCTGATAAGCAATTTCAGCAAAGTCTCAGGATACAAAATCAATGTACAAAAATCACAAGCATTCTCATACACCAACAACAGACAAACAGACAGCCAAATCATGAGTGAACTCCCATTCACAATTGCTTCAAAGACAATAAAATACCTAGGAATCCAACTTACAAGGGAGGTGAAGGACCTCTTCAAGGAGAACTACAAACCACTGCTCAAGGAAATAAAAGAGGATACAAACAAATGGAAGAACATTCCATGCTCATGGGTAGGAAGAGTCAATATCGTGAAAATGGTTATACTGCCCAAGGTAATTTAGAGGTTCAATGCCATCCCCATCAAGCTACCAATGACTTTCTTCACAGAATTGGAAAAAACTACTTTAAAGTTCATATGGAACCAAAAAAAGAGCCCGCATCACCAAGTCAATCCTAAGCCAAAAGAAAAAAACTGGAGACATCACGCTACCTGACTTCAAACTACACTACAAGGCTACAGTAACTAAAACAGCATGGTACTGGTACCAAAACAGAAATATAGATCAATGGAACAGAACAGAGCCCTCAGAAATAATGCCACATATCTACAACTATCTGATCTTTGACAAACCTGAAAAAAACAAGCAATGGGGAAAGGATTCCCTATTTAATAAATGGTGCTGGGAAAACTGGCTAGCCATATGTAGAAAGCTGAAATTGGATCCCTTCCTTACACCTTATACAAAAATTAATTCAAGATGGATTGAATACGTAAACATTGGACCTAAAACCATAAAAACCCTAGAAGAAAACCTAGGCATTACCATTCAGGACATGGGCATGGGCAAGGGCTTCATGTCTAAAACACCAAAAGCAATGGCAACAAAAGCCAAAATTGACAAATAGGATCTCATTAAACTCAAGAGTTTCTGCACAACAAAAGAAACTACCATCAGAGTGAACAGGCAACCTACAAAATGGGAGAAAATTTTCACAACCTACTCATCTGACAAAGGGCTAATATCCAGAATCTACAATGAACTCAAACAAATTTACAAGAAAAAAACAAACAACCCCATCAAAAAATGGGTGAAGGACATGAACAGACACTTCTCAAAAGAAGACATTTATGCAGTCAAAAAACACTTGAAAAAATCCTCACCGTCACTGGCCATCAGAGAAATACAAATCAAAACCACAATGAGATACCAACTCATACCAGTTAGAATGGCAATCATTAAAAAGTCAGGAAGCAACAGGTGCTGGAGTGGATGTGGAGAAATCGGAACACTTTTACACTGTTGGTGTTACAGTAAACTAGTTCAACCATGTGGAAGTCAGTGTGGTGATTCCTCAGGGATCTAGAACTAGAAATACCATTTAATCCAGCCATCCCATTACTGGGTATATATCCAAAGGACTATAAATCAAGCTGTTATAAAGACACATGCACACGTATGTTTATTGTGACACTACTCACAGTAGCAAAGACTTGGAACCAACCCAAATGTCCAACAATGACAGACTAGATTAAGAAAATGTGGCACATATACACCATGGAATACTCTGCAGCCCTGAAAAAGGATGAATTCAGGTCCTTTGTAGGGACATGAATGAAATTGGAAATCATCATTCTCAGTAAACTATCACAAGGACAAAAAAACCAAACACCCCATATTCTCACTCATAGGTGGGACTTGAACAATAAGAACACATGGACACAGGAAGGGGAACATCACACTCTGGGGACTGTTGTCGGGGGGGGGTGGGGGTACGGATAGCTTTAGGAGATATACCTAATGTTAAATGATGAGTTAATGGGTTGCAGCACACCAGCATGGCACATGTATACATATGTAACTAACCTGTACATTGTGCACAGGTACCCTAAAACTTAAAGTATAATAATAATAAAATAAAAAAAAAATTCCATCTCAAAAGCATAAATAAATAAAATAAATAAATAGAAAAAAAGATTTCTCAGGTAGCTTTTCCAAGTTTTTATCTGAAGATATTATTTGCTTTTTCACCGTAGGCCTCAATGTGCTCTCTAATGTCCTTTATAGAATTTTACAAAAACAGTGTTTCCAAACTGCTGAATCAAAAGAAACCTTTAACTGGGTAAGATGAATGCACACATCAGAAAGCAGTTTCTTAAATAGCTTCTTTTTAGTTTTCATCTTGGGATATTCACTTTCTAACTATTGGCCTAAGTGAGCTCCCAAATATTCCTTTGCAGATTCTAAAACAACAGTGTTTCCAAACTAAGCTGCAGAATCAAAAGATAGGTTTAACTCTGTGAGATGAATCCACATATCAGAGAGCTGTTTCAAAGAGAATTTCTTTCTAGTTTTTATCTGGGGACATTCACTTCTTTGCAGTAGGCCTCAATGAGCTCCAAAATGTCCCTTCACAAATTCTGCAAAAACAGTGTTTCCAAACTGCTGAATCTAAAGAATGCTTGACTTCTGTAAGTTCAATGCAAGCATCACAAAGCAGTTTCTCAGAAAGCTTCTTTCTAGTTTTTATCTGGGGATATTCTATATTTCACCACAGGCCTCAATGTGCTCCAAAATGTTTTTTTCACAGTTTTTTAAAAAACAGTGTTTCCAAACTGCTGAATCAAAGGAAAGATTTACCTCTGAGAGATGAATACACACATCACAAAGCAGTTGCTCAGATAGCTCCTTTCTAGTTTTTATCTTAGGATGTTTGCTTTTTCACCCTAGGCCTCAAAGCGCCTCAAAATGTCCCTTCTCAGATCCTACAAAACCTGCATTTCCAAACTGCTGAATCCAAAGGAAACTTTAACTCTGTGAGATGAATACACACATCAAAAAGTAGTTTCGCAGATTGTTTCTTTCAAGTTTTTATTGGAAGTTGTATGCTTTTTCACCATAGGCCTCAATACGCTCTTAAAGTCCTTTCTAGGATTCTCCAAAACAGTGTTTCCAGAATGCTAAATCAAAAGAAGTCTTTAACTGTGTAAATTGAATGCACACATCCAAAGCAGTGTCTGAGATAGCTTCTTTTTAGTTTTAATCTTAGGATATTTGCTTTTTCACCATTGGCCTCAATGAGCTCCCATATGTTCCTTTGGAGATTCTAAAACAACAGCGTTACCAAACCGCTGAATCAAAAGATAGGTTGAATGCACACATCACAGAGCAGTTTCAGAGAGTGCTTCCTTGTAGTTTTTATCTGGGGATATTCACTTATTTGCAGTAGGCCTTAATGAGTTCTAAAGTCTCCCTTTGAAGATTCTACAAAAACTGTGTTTCCAAACTGCTGAATCAAAAGAAAGGTTTAACTCTTTGAGATGAAGACACACATCACAAAACAGTTACTCAGAAAGCTTCTTTCTAATTTTTATCTGAAGATATTTTCTTTTTCACCATAGGCCTCAAAGAGATCGGAAATATCCATTTGCAGAACGTACAAAGGCAGTGTTTCCAAACAGCTGAAACAAGAGAAAGGTTTAAGTCTGGAGATGAATGCACACATCACAAAGCAGTTTCTCAGAAAGCTTCTTTTAGTTTTTATCTGAAGATATTTTCTTTTTCTCTGTAGGCCTCAAGTGGTTCTCAATGCCTTTTGCAGATTCTACATAAACACTCTTTCCAAACTGCTGTATAAAAAGAAAGGTTTAACTCTTCAAAGTGAATGCACACATCACAAAGTGGTTTCTCAGATAGCTTCCCTCTAGTTTTTATCCTGGGATATTAGCTTTTTTGCAATTGGCCTCAATGAGCTCCCAAATTTCCTCTTACAGAATGTACAAAAACAGTGCTTCCAAACTGCTGAATCAAAAGAAAGTTTTAATTTTGTGAGATGAATGCACACGTCACAAAGCAGTTTCTCAAAAAACAACTTTCTAGTTTTTATCAGAAGATGTTTTCGTTTTCACCTTAGGCCTCAATAAGCTCCCAAATGTCCATTCACAGAATGTACAAATATACTGTTTCCAAACCACTGAATCAAAAGAAAGGTTTACCTCTGCAAGATGAATGCACACATCAAAATTCGGTTTCTCAGATAGCTTCCTTCTATGTTTTATCTTGGGATATTCACCTTTTCACCACTGGCCTCAATGAGCTCCAAAATGTCCATTTGCAGAATGTACAAAAAGAGTGCTTCCAATCTACTGAATGGACGGAAAAGTTTAACTGTGTGAGATGAATTCACACATCATGAAGCAGTTTTTCAGAAAGCTTCTTTCCAGTTTTTGTCTGAAGATAATTTCTTTTTCACCATAGGCCTCAATGCTCTCCCAACTATCCTTTCTCAGATCCTACAAAAACAGCATTTCCAAACTGTTGAATCAAAATAAAAGTTTAACACTTGGAGATGAATGCATACATCACAAAGCATTTTCTCAGATAGTTCCCTTCTAGTTTTCAGCCTGGAATATTCCCTTTTTTGCCATTGGCCTCAATGGGCTCTGAAATGTCCATTCACAGAATGTACAAAAACAGTGTTTCCAAACTGTTGAATCAAAAGAAGGGTTTAACATTGTGTATCAATGCTCAGATCATAAAGACATATCTCAGAAAATTTCTTTCTAGTTTTTATCTGAAGATGTTTTCATTTTCACAATAGGCCTCAATGTGCTCTCAAATGTCCGTTCACAGAATGTACACAAACAGTGTTTCCAAACTGCTGAATCAAAAGAATCATTTAACTCTGTGAGATCAATGCACAGAACAAAGAAATTTCTCAGAAAGCTCCTTTCAATTTTTTATCTGAAGTTATTTTCTTTTTCACCATAGGCATCAATACACTCCCAAATGTACTTCCACAGATTCTACAAAAACAGTGTTTTCAAATTGTTGAATCAAAAGAGAGGTTTAACTCTGTGAGAGGATGCACACATCACAAAGTGGTTCCTCAGATACTTTCCTTCTAGTTTTAACTTGGGATATTCACTTTTTCACCATTTGCCTCAATGAGCTCCCAAAAGTCCATTTGCATAAGGTCCAAAAACAGTGTTTCCAAAGAGCTAATCAAAAGAAATGTTTACCTCTGTGAGATGAATGCACTCATCACAAAGCAGTTTCTCAGCAAGCTTCCTTCTAGGTTTCAAGTGAAGATATTTTCTTTTTCACTAAAGGCCTCAATGGGCTCCCAAATGTTTTTCATAGATTCTACAACAACGTTTCCAAACTGCTGAATCAAAAGAAAGTTTTAACGTTAGGAGATATACCTAATGCTAAATGATGAGTTAATGGGTGCAGCACACCAACATGGCACATGTATACATATGTAACAAACCTGCATGTTTTGCACATGTACCCTAAAACTTAAAGTATAATAATAATAATAATAACAATAAACATTGAGAGATGAATGCACACATCACAAAGTATTTTATCAGTTATCTTCCTTCTAGTTTTAATCTTGGGATATTCACCTTTTCACCATTCACCTCAATGAGCTCACAAATATCCGTCTGCAGCAGGCACAAAAACCGTGTTTCTAGACTCGTGAATCAAAAGAAAGGTTTAACTCTGTGAGATGAATGCCCACATCACAAAGCAGTTTCTCAGAAGCTTCTTTTTAGTTTTTATTTGTCAATAATTTTGTTTTCACCACAGGCCTCAATGAGCTCTTAAATGTACATTTGCAGAATGTACAAAAACAGTGTTTCCAGACTGCTTAAGCAAAAGAATGGTTTAACTTTGTAAGATGAATGCAAACATCACAAAGTAGTTACTCAGATAACTTCCTTCTAATGTTTATCTTGGGATACACGCTTCTCCACCATTGGCCTCAATGAGTTCCCAAATGTCCACTCACAGAACATAGAAAAAGAGTGTTTCCAAGTTGCTGAATCAAAAGAAGTGTTTAACTCCATGAGATGAAAGCACAGATCACAAAGCTCTTTCGCAGAAAGCTTCCTTCTAGTTTTTATCCTGGGATATTCACTTTTTCACCATTGGCCTCAGTGAGCTCCCAAATGTCCATTAGCAGAAAGCACAAAAATAGTGTTTCCAAACTGCTGAATCAAGGGACAGTTTTAACTTTGTGAGATGAATGGACACATTAACAAAGCAGTTTCTCAGAAAGCTTCCTTCTAGTTTTTATCTTTAAAGATATTTTATTTTTCAACATAGGCCTAAATGCGCTCCAAAAAGTCCTTTTGCAGATATTACAAAAACAGTGTTTCCAAACTGCTGAATCAAAAGAAAGGTTTATGTCTGCCAGATGAATGCATACATCGCAAACCAGTTTCCCAGATAGCTTCCTTGTAGTTTTTATCCTGGGATATTTTCTTTTTTGTCATTGGCTTCAGTGAACTCCCAAAGGTCCATTTGTAGAAAGTACAAAAATAGTCTTTTGAAATTGCCGAATCAAAAGAAAGGTTTAATTCTGTGAGATGAATGCACACATCAGAAGCAATTTCTCAGAAAGCTTCCTTCTACTTTTTATCATAGGATATTTGCTTTTATGCCATTGGCCTCAGTGAGCTCCCAAATGTCCATTTGCAGAATGTACAAAAAAAGCATCTCCAAAATGCTGTATCAAAAGAAAGACTTAACTCAATGAGATAAATGCACATATCACAAAGCAGTTTGTCAGGAAGTTTCCTTCCAGTTTTTATCTGAAGGTATTTTCTTTTTCAGCATAAGCCTCAAAGTTCTCCCAAATGTCTTTTCCCAGATTCTACAAATACAGTTTATTTAAACTGCTGTATCAAAAGAATGGTTTAACTCTGCGAGATGAATGCACACATCACAAAGCAGTTTCTCAGACAGCTTCCTTCTAGCTTTTATCTTGGGATATTCACATTTTCACCACTGGCCTCAGTGAGCTTCCAAATGTCCATTTGCAGAATGTACAAAAACAGTGTTTCCAAACTGCTAAATGAAAAGAAGTGTTTACCTCTGTTAGATGAATGCATACATCACAAAGCAGTTTCTCAGAAAGCTTCTTTCCAGTTTTTATCTGAAGATAAAGATATTTTCTCTTTCACCTTAGGCCTCATTGAGATCCACAATGTCCATTTGCAGATTTTAGAAAAACATTGTTTCCAAAATGCTGAAAGGCAAGAATGTTTTAAATCTGTGAGATTACTTCACACATCACAAAGCAATTTCTTAGAAAGCTTCTTTCCATTTTTTATCTGAAGATATTTTCTTTTTCACCACAGGCTACAATGACCTCTTAAATGTACTTTCACAGATTCCACAAAAACAGTGTTTCCAAACTGTTGGATCAAAAGAAAGGTTTAACTCTGTGAGAGGAATGTACACATCACTAAGTGGTTTCTCAGATAGCTTCCTTCTAGTTTTTATATTGGAAAATTCACTTTTTCACCATTGGCCTAAATGACTTCCCAAATGTCCATTCACAGAATGTACAAAAATAGTGTTTTCAAACTGCTGGATCAAAACAAAAGTTTAACTCTGTGAGTTTAATGCACACAACAAAAAGCAGTTTCTCAGAAGGCTTCTTTCTTGTTTTTATCTGAAGATATTTTCTTTTTCACCATAGGCCTCAATGGGCTCCCAAATGTCCATTAGCAGAATGTACAAAAAAAGTTTCCATACTCCTGAGTCAAAATAAATGTTTGCCTTTGTGAGGTGAATGCACACATCAGAAAGCAGTTTCTCAGAAAGCTTCTTTCTAGTTTTTATCTGAACACATTTTCTTATTTCACAATAGGCCTCAAAGCACTCCCAAATGTCCTTTCTCAGATTCTACAAAAACAGTGTTTCCAAACCACTGAATCCAAAGAAACGTTTAACTCTGTGGGATGAATGCACAAATCACAAAGCGGTTTCACAGATTGCTTTCTTCTAATTTTTGTCTTGGGATACTTTCTTTTTCACCATTGGCCTCAATGAGCTCCCAAATATCCATTCACAGAATGTACAAAAAGAGTGTTGCCAAACTGCTGAATCAAAAGAAATTTTATCTCTGCCAGATGAATGCACACATCACAAACCAGTTTCTCAGAAAGCTTCATTGTACTTTCTATCCTGGGATAGTCTCTCTTTTGCCATTGGCCTCAGTGAGCTCCTGAATGTCCATTCGCAGAAGGTACAAAAACTCTGTTTCCAAACTGTGGAATCAAAAGAAAGGCTTAATTGTGTGTGATGAATGGACATTTCAACAAGCAGTTTCTCAGAAATCTTCCTTCTAGTTTTTATATAAAGATATTTTTTTCACCATAGGCCTAAATGCACTCCCAATTGTCCTTTCACAGATATTACAAAAACAGTGTCTCCAAACTGCTGAATCAAAAGATTCAAATCTGTGAGATGAATGCCCATAACAGAAAGCAGTTTGTCAGGAAGTTTCTTTCTAGTTTTTATTTGAAGATGTTTTATTTTTCACCTTAGGCCTCAATGAGCTCCCAAATGTCCATTTGCAGATTTCAGATAAACATTGTTTCTGAAGAGCTGAATGAAAAGAAAGTTTTAACTCAGAGTAATTCACACATCACAAAGCTGTTTCTTATAAAGCTTCTTTCCAGTTTTTATCTGAGGATATTTTCTTTTTCACTATAGACCTCAATGAACTCCCAAATGTTCTTTCACAGATTCTACAACAACATTGTTTCCAAACTGCTGAATCAAAAGAAAGTTTCAACATTGTGAGATGAATGCACACATTAAAAAGTGTTTTATCAGATAGCTTCCTTCTAGTTTTAATCTTGGGTTATTCACTTTTTCACCATTGACCTCAATTGAGGTCACAAATATCCATCCACAGAATGCGCAAAAGCAGTGTTTCCTAACTCCTGAAGCAAAAGAAATGTTTAACTCTGTGAGGTGAATGCTCACATCACAAAGCATTTTCTCAGAAGTTCTTTCTAGTTTTTATTTGTAGATATTTTTGTTTTCGCCATAGGCCTCAATGAGCTCTTAAATGTCCATTTGCAGAATATATAAAAACAGTGTTTCCAGACTGCTTAAGCAAAGGAATGGTTTAACTTTGTAAGATGAATGCACACATCACAAAGCAGTTCCTCACAAAGCATCTTTCTAGTTTTTATGTGAAGATATTTTCTTTTTCACCATAGGCCTCAATGCACTCCCAAATATCCTTTCACAGATTTTACAAAAACAGTGATTCCAAACTGCTGAATCAACATAAAGCTTTAACTCTGTGAGATGAATGGACACATAACAAAGCAGTTTCTCAGAAAGCTTCTTTCTTGTTTTCATCTAAAGATATTTTCTTTTTTAACATAGGCCTCCAAGTACTCCCAAATGTCCTTTTGCAGATTCTACAAATACAGAGTTTCCAAACTGCTGAATCAAAAGAAAAGTTTTTCTCAGCCAGAGCAATGCACATATCACAAACCAGTTTTTCAGATAGTTTCCACCTAGTTTTTATCCTAGGGTATTTCCTTTTTTGCCATTGGCCAGAGTGAGTTCCCAAATGTTCACTTGCAGAATGTACAAAAAGAGGGTTTCCAAATTGCTGAATTGAAAGAAATGTTTAATTCTGTGAGACAAATGCACACATCACAAAGCAATTTCTCAGAAACCTTCCTTCTACTTTTTAATCCTAGGACATTCCCCTTTTCACCATTGGCCTCAGTGAACTCCCAAATGTCCATTCAAAGAATGTAGAAAAACAGGGTCTCCAAACTGCTGAATCAAATGAAAAGTTTAACTCTGTGAGGTGAACGCACACATCATGAAGCAGATTCTCAGAAACCTTCTTTCTAGTTTTTATCTGAAGATATTTTCTTTTTCACCACAGGCCTCAATGCACTCCCAAATGTCCTTTTGCAGAATCCACACAAACAGTGTTTACCAAATCCTGTATCAAAAGAAAGGTTTAACTCTGCCAGGTGAATGCACACATCACAAAGCGATTTCCCAGATAGCTTCCTTCTAATTTTTATCTTGGGATATTCACTTTTTCACCATTGGCCTCAATGAGCTCTAAAATGTCCATTCACAGAAAGTACAAAAACAGTGTTTCCAAACTGCTGAATCATAAGAAATGTTTAAATCTCTGAAGTGAATGTACACATCACAAAGCAGTTTCTCAGAAAGCTTCTTTGTAGTTTTTATCTGAAGATATTTTCTTTTTCACTTTAGGCCTCAATGAGCTCCCCAATGTCCTTTCGCCGATTCTAGAAAAACATTGTTTCCAAACTGCTGAATCAAAAGAAAGTTTAACTCTGTGAGATGAAATCATACATCACAAAGTGGTTTCTCAGAAAGCTTCTTTCTAGTTTTTATCTGAAGATGTTTTCTTTTTCACCATAGGCCTCAATGAGCTCCCAAATGTCTATTCGCATAATTTACAAAAACAGTGTTTCCAAACTGCTGAATCAAAAGAAAGATTTACCTCTGTGAGTTGAATGCACACATCACAAAGCAGTTTCTTAGAAAGCTTCTTTCTATTTTTTTTATCTGAAGATATTTTCTTTTTCACCATAGGTTTCAATGCTGTCCCAAATGTACTTTTGCAGATTCTAAAAAACAGTGTTTCTAAGCTGTTGAATCGAAAGAAAGGTTTAACTCTGTGAGAACAATGCACACATCACAAAGTGGTTTCTCAGATAGCTTCCATCTAGTTTTTATCTTGGAATATTCACTTTTTCATGAT
This sequence comes from Homo sapiens, assembly GCF_000001405.40. Taxonomy (NCBI): domain Eukaryota; kingdom Metazoa; phylum Chordata; class Mammalia; order Primates; family Hominidae; genus Homo; species Homo sapiens. The sequence goes on from NC_000010.11 coordinate 39,037,776, forward strand.
TGGCCTCAATAACCTCCCAAATGTCCATTCGCAGAATGTACAAAAACAGTTTCCAAACTGCTGAATAAAAAGAAAGCTTTAACTCTGAGAGATGAATGCACACATCACAAAGCATTTTGTCAGAATACATCTTTCTAGTTTTTATCTGAATATATTTTTTCTTTTTCACCATAGGCCTCAAAACACTCCTAAATGTCCATTTGCAGAATGTACAAAAAAACTGTTTCCAAATTGTGAATCAAAAGAAAGGTTAATCTATGTGGGATGAATGCACACATAACAAAGAAGTTTCACATAAAGTTTCCTACCTATTTGTATCCTAAGATATTTGCTTTTTTGCCTTTGGCCTTAGTGAGCTCCCAAATGTCTATTTGCAGAATGGACAAAAACTGTGTCTCCAAACTACTGAATCAAAAGAAAGGTTTAACTCTGTGAGATGAAGGCACACATCACAAAGAAGTTTCTCAGAAAGCTTCTTTCTACTTTTTATCTGAAGAAATTTTCTTTGTCACGATAGGCCTCAAAGTGCTCCCAAATGCCTTTTCTCAGATTCTACAAAAAAAGAGTTTTTAAACTGCTGAATCCAATGAATGTTTTAACTCTGTGAGATGAATCCACACATCACGAAGGAGTTTCTCATATAGCTTCCTGCTAGTTTTCGTCTTGGAATATTTTCTTTTTCACCATTGGCCTCAATGAACTTCCAAATGCTCATTGACAGAATGTACAAAAACATTATTTCCAAACTGCTGAATCAAAATAAAATGTTAACTCTTTGAGTTAAATGTACCCATTACAAAGCAATTTCTCAGAAAGCTTCACTCTAGTTTTTATCTGAAGATACTTCCTTTTCACCATAGGCCTCAATATTCTCCCAAATGTTTTTTTCACAGATTCTACAAAAACAGTGTTTCCAAACTGCTGAATCAAAAGAAAGTTTTAACTTTATGATATGAATGCACACATCACAAAGCAGTTTCTCAGAAATCACCTTTCTACTTTTTATCTGAAAATATTTTCTTTTTCCCCATAGGCCTCAATGGACCCTCAAATGTCCATTCTCAGAATGTAGCAAAACAGTGTTTCCAAATTCTGAACCAAAAGAATGGTTTATCTCTGTGAGGTAAATGGAAACATCACAGAGAATTTTTTCAGAAAGCTTCTTTTTAGTTTTTATCTGAAAGTATTTTCTTTTTCAGCATAGGCTTCAGCACACTCTTCAGTGTGCTTTTGCAGATTCTACAAAAAGTAAAAAGAAGATTTCTGACATTGATGCCAATGGCAAAAAAGTGAATATCCCAGGATAACAACTACAAGGAAGCTATCTGATAAACCACTTTGTGGTGTATGCATTCATCTTGCAGGGTTAATCTTTTCTTTGGATTTGGGAGGTTGGAAACACTGTTTTTGTAGAATCTGTGAAGGCACATTTGGGAGCTCACTGTGGCCAATGGCGAAAAAATGAATATCCCAGGACAAAAACCTAAAGGAAGCTATCTGAGAAACCACTTTGTGATGTGTGCATTCATCTCACTGAGTTAAACCTTACTATGATTCAGCAGCTTGGAAACACTGTTTTTGTAGAATCTGCAAAAGAACATTTGGGAGAGCATTGAGGCCTATCATGAGAAAGGAAATATATTCAGATAAAAACTGTAAAGAAGATTTCTGAGAAACTGCTTTGTGATGTGTGCCATCATCTCACAATGTTAAACCTCTTTTTTGATCCAGCAGTTTGGAAACACCGTTTTCATAGAATCTGCGAATGGACATTTGGGAGCTCATTGAGGCCAATGGTGAAAAAGCCAATGTCCCAAGATAAAAACTGGAAAGCAGTTGCCTGAAAAACCGCTTTGTGATGTGTGCATTCAACCTGCAGAGTTAAAACTATCTTTTGATTTAGTATGTTGGAAGCAGTGTTTTTGTAGAATCTGCAAAAGGACATTTGGGAACTCATTGGGCCAATGGTGAAAATGCCAATATAACAAGATAAAAACTAGAAGGAAGCTATCTGAGAAACCACTTTGTGATGTGTGCATTCAACTCAGAGTTAAATCTATCTTTTGATTCAGCAGTTTGGAATCAATATTTTTGTAGAATTTGCGAATGCACCTTTGGGAGATCATTCAGGCCAAAGGTGAAAAAGCCAATATCCCAAGATAAAAACTAGATGGAAGCTATGTGAGAAACCACTTTGTGATGTGTGCATTCAACCTGCAGAGCTAAATCTTTCTATTGATTCTGCAGTTTGGAAACTGTTTTTCTAGAATCTGTGAAAAGACATTTTGGAGTGCTCTGAGGCCTATGGTGAAAAAGAAAATATCTTCAGATAAAAACTAGAAATAAGCCATCTGACATACTGGTTTGTGATGTGTGCATTCATCTCACAGACTTGAACCTTTCTTTTCATTCAGTAGTTTGGAAACACAGTTTTAGTAGAATCTGGGAAAGGACATTTGGGAGCACATTGAGGCCTAAGCTGAAAAAGTAAATATCTTCTGATGAAAACCAGAAAGAAGCTTTATGCGAAAGCGCTTTTTGGTGTGTGCATTAATCTCACTGTGTTAAACCTTTCTTTTGATGCAGCAGTTTGGAAACACTGTTTGCATTCATTCTGTGAAAGGACTTTTGGAAGCTCATGTAAGTCAATGGTGAAAAAGTGAATATCTGAAGATAAAAACTAGAGGGATATATCTGAGAAACCACTTTGTGATGTGTGCATTCATCTCACAGAGCTAAAACTTTCTATTGATTCAGCAGTTTGGAAACACTGTTTTTGTAGAATCTGTGAAAAGACATTTGAGAACCATTTGAGGCCTATGGTGAAAAAGAAAATATCTTCATATAAAAACTAGGAAGATGCTTTCTGACAAACTACTTTGTGATGTGTGCATTCATCTCAAAGAGTTAAACCTTTCTTTTGATACAATAGTTTGGTAACACTGTTTTTGTTTAATCTGGGAAAAGACATTTGGGAGTGCATTGAGGCATATGATGAAAAAGAAAATATCTTAAGATAAAAACTGGAAAGAAGTTTTCTGAGAAACTGCTTTGTGATGTGTGCATTCATCTCACAAAGGTAAAACTTTCTTTTGATTGAGCAGTTTGGAAACACTGTTTTTGTACAATCTGTGATTGGACATTTGGGAGCTAATTGAAGCCAATGATGAAAGAGCATATACCTCAAGATAAAAACAAAAAGGAAGCTATCTGTGAAACCTTTTTGAAATGTATGCATTCATCTCACAGATTTAAACCATACTTTTGATTCAGCAGTTTGGAAACACTGTATTGTAGATTCTGTGAAAGGACATTTTGGAGAGCATTGAGGCCTGAGGTAAAAAAGGAAATATCTTCAGATAAAAACTACAAAGAAGCTTTCCGAGAAACTGCTTTGTGGTGTGTGCATTCATCTCACAGAGTTAAAAATTTCCTTTCTTTCAGCATAGAGGCCTGTGGTGAGAAAAGAAAATATCTTCAAATAAAAACTAGAAAGGAGCTTTCTGAGAAACTGCTTTGTGTTGTGTGCATCTCACGAAGTTAAACCTTTCTTTTGATTCAGCAGTTTAGAAACACTGTTTTTGTACATTTTGTGAGTGTTCATTTGGGGGCTCATTGAGGTCTACGGTGAAAAATAAAATACCTTCAGATAAAAACTAAAAAGAACCTTTCTGAGAAACTGCTCTGTAATGTGTGCATTCATCTCACAGAGTTAAACCTTATCTTGATTCAGCAATTTAGAGACACTGTTTATGTACTTTCAACGAATGGACAGTTGGCAGCTCACTGAGGCCAATGATGAAAAAGAAAATATATTCGGATAAAAACTACAAAGAAGCTTTCTGAGAAACTGCTTTGTGATGTGTGCATTCATCTCACAGAGTTAAAGCTTTCTTTTGATTCAGCAATTTGGAAACACTGTTTTTTACATTATGTGAAAGGACACTTGAAAGTGCATTGAGGCCTATGGTGAAAAATAATATATCTTCAGATAAACACTAGAAAGAATCTTTCTGAGAAATGTTTTTGATGCATGCATTCATTTCATAGAGTTAAAACTTTCTTTTGATTCAGCAGTTTGGAAATAATGTTTATGTACATTCTGCCAATGGACATTTGGGAACTCATTGAGGCCTGTGGTGAAAAATCATACATCCCAAGATAAAAACTAGAGGGAAGCTATCTGAGAAACCACTTTGTGATGTGTGCATTCATCTCACAGAAATAAACCTTTCTTTTCATTTAGCAGTTTGGAAACACTGTTTTTATAGATTCTGTGAAAAGACATTTTGGAGCACAATTAAGACTATGGTGAAAAAGAAATTATCTTCAGATAAAAACTGGAAAGAGTCTTTCTGAGAAACTGCTTTGTGATGTGTGCAGTTATCTCACAGAGTTATTCATTTGATTTAGCAGTTTGGAAACACCATTTTTTTTGCATTCTGGGAATGGACATTTGCGAGCTTATTGAGGCCTATAGTGAAGGCGAAAATATCTTCAGATAAAAACTAGAAAGAAGCTTTCTGATAGGCTGCTTTGTGATGTCTGCTTTCATCTCACAGAGTGAATCCTTTCTTTTCATTCAGTGGTTTGGAAACACTGTCTTTGTATAGTCTGTGAAAGGCCATTTGAGAGCTCATTGGGGCCAAAGGCAAATAAGTGAATATCCCAGCATAAAAACTAAAAGGAAGCTATGTGATGTTGTGGGAAATCAGGGACCCAAAATTGAGGGACGGGCTGAAGCCACAGCAGAGGAACATTAATTGTGAAGATTTCATTTTAATATGGACATTTATCACTTTCAAAATAATAGTTTCATAATTTCTCATGCCTATTTTACTTTAATCTCTTAATTCTGTTATCTTCATAAGCTGTGGATGTACATCACTTCAGGATCATTGTGATGATTGTTTTAACTGTACAAATTGATTGTATAGCATACTAGCAGTGGATATCGATATTTAATACTCCGGGAAAAGAATTGCAATCCTGGGGCGAGGTCTGTAAATGACTGTTCTGTGTCTGCCTTATGCAGTTGAGATAAGGACTGAGATATGCCCTGGTCTCCTGCATTCCCCTCGGGCTTATTAGGGTGGAGAAAACCCCACCCTGGTGAATTTCAGGTCAGACCGGTTCTCTGCTCTCAAACCCTGCTGTCTGTTAAGATGTTTATCAAGGCAATGCGTGCACCACTGAACATAGACCCTTATCAGAACTTCTGGTTTGCCCTTGTCCTGTTTCCTCAGAAGCATGTGATCTTTGTTCTCCTTTTTGCCGTTTGAAGCTTGTGATCTTTGTGACCTACTCACCGTTCATACACCCCTTCCCCTTTTGAAATCCTTAATGAAAACTTGCTTTTTTTTGGCTCAGGAGGGCATCACGGTCCTATCAATATATGAAGTCACCCCTGGAGGCACAGCTGTAGAATTCCTTTCTTTGTACTCTTTCTCTTTTTCTCAGCCAGCCAACACTTAGGGAAAGTAGAAAGAACTTACGTGCAAATATTGGGGGTGGGTTCCCCGGTATGTGGTGCACCAATGTGGTTTTTCTTTTTCCTAAATGCATGTGGCAACCCAATTCCTTTGGTAGGTATGGAGAAATGTTCATTGGTCCGGTCCACAGAAACGCTTGTTTGGCTCCCTGATGTTTGGTAAGTTGACCGTGTATTGTTTGGGGTAACTCTGGATCACATGGAATTTAAACATTATGCTTATCTCTGCTATATTAAACTCATGTTAAAACAGGGTGGGGTTCAGGTGCCCATGGAAAATATGGTCACTCTATTAAGGGCATTGGAAGAACACTGTCCTTGGTTTCCTGAAAAGGGAACATTAGATGTGGAACTATGGGATCATGTTGGTGCAAAATTCTGGGAACTGGTCCCAGCAGAAAATTATGTTCCCATCACTGTTTGGGGTGATTGGGCCTTGGTACATGCCATCCTAATGACATGCAAATCCTGTGACCCCTTGCAGTTACCACAGTTTTCTGAATCTGGCGACCTCTACCTCTTCCTCAGCTTTCCTCTCACAAGTGGCCTTCATTATCTGCTCAGTGTCTCCCTTCACCTACTCGTCCCCCACCTGATGATGTTGAGGATTCAATATCTAACTCTGGTGACTTTGGCTTAACATCACACCCTGATGATTTTATTTCTTTTCATTAAAAATTGATACTTGTATTTCCCATGGCCCTGACTCAGACAGCCCAGGACCATATCTATGCTAACACTTCCCTCTTCAAACCTTTGCAGCCTTTGCCTCCGGAGACACCTAGTGGCTCCAGGGCCAAACTACAATTTACCTGTTATTCTGCAGGCCCTCCCCCACCCACCACTGTCCCTCACCCTCCTGTCATTTCAGTCCCTCAACTGGTCACCTTGCCATCCACTCAACCTGCTTCTCTGTACACTTCTTCATGCATGGTTGCCAATAATCACCAGTATGCTTCTGCCTCTTCTGCCCCTACAATTCACCTTTCTCACACTCTCATATTGTTCTGACTTCCTCAAACTCAGTTTCCCTTATCTACATATGCTTTTTCTGTCACTTCTATACCGACTCCTTCTCATGTGCCTTTTCTTGAAACTTCCATACAACACCTATTATGCCAAAACAAAGAAACAAGTGGATTAGAGACATGGGCTTATCCTGTTGCGCTGGAACCTCCTAACGCTTAAGGGGAACAAGTGCATCAATATGCACCACTCAATCTTACCTTTTTAAAAGAATTCAAGGATGCTTTTACTCAGTATGGTCCTACTTCTTCATATGTTAAAATGATATTACACACTCTTTGTACTAAAGACTTTTTCTTCCTTTAGACTGGGACATTTTGGCAAAAGCTGTTCTAACTCCTTCTCAGCATTTACAATTCTGTACCTGGTGGTCAGAGGAGGTCTGTCTGCAGGCTCAGCTAAATCGGCCTGATGGCATTCTAATTACTCAGGCTCAGCTCACAGGCTCCGATAATTCCTCTGACACTGCCGCTCAATTAGGCTTTGGTGCTCTCACCATGGAACAAGTAACAAAGGTGTGTATGAGAGCTTGGGATAAATTATACACCCCAGGCCAAACTCCTGTTTCTTTTAGTACTGTTAAACAGGGTCACAATGAATTATATCCTGATTTTCTGGCTAAATTACAAGATGCTGTTGAAAAATCTGTCTCTGAAGAGAATGTTCAAGGTATTTCCCTTTGCATGTCAGGTGTTGAAAATGTGGACCATGAATGTAAAATGGCCATGTGTTCCATCCAACGTTAAATTTACCTGATCACGAATTGTTGCCTGCATATATTAAGGCTTGTGAAGGCATGGAATCAGAGACCCACAAAGCTATTCTATGGGCACTGGCCATGAAGGATGCCAATCAAAGTGGCTCAACTGATTCTTTACTTGGAGCCTGCTATAATTGTGCTCAAATTGGTCTACTCAATAAAATTGCACTGTTAAAAACTTAAAAGTGGCCAAGCTGGCTCAAAAAACATGGCCAAATGCTGCTCCTACTGTTTGCCTGCATTGTCATAAGGTTAAACAGTGGGTAAGTACTTGCTGCTCTAAGTCTGATATAGATGGCAATCCCCTGCCACAGAACCAGGGAAACGGGAAGTGGGGCCAGTCCCAGGAGCCAATATCAAATAGGACACCTCAGACTCAGACCAATGTTGCATTTCCACTTCAAGTGGTCCCAATGCAGCCCCCAGCACAAACAAGTTTATATGCAGCCAAGCCAGATTGGCCCCAGCCTCTTCTTTTGTCTCTGTACAAAGCTTGTCCACATCCACAGTAGAGGGTGGGGCAGTCAATCTCTGTAGTACCATCCCTTTAAATTTACTACCTAATTCTTTGCCATTAATTGTCCCCACTGGGGTCACTGGCCCTTTATCTCAAGGTTCGGTGGGCCTGATATTAGGTAGGGCATCCACCTCTGCTAAAGGTATCACTCATCATACTGGCCTCATTAATTCTGATTCCTCTGATGACATTAACCTTATATTGTGCGCCAAGGTTCTTGTTTCCATTCTGGCCAGTGAGTCAATTGCTCAATTACTTTTATTACATAATATTGTTTTAAACAAGGGAGATAAGTCATGGGGCCCTGGAATGGGCTATGGCGGTGAAAAACCTGCTTAATGGATTAATGTAATTTCTAAACCATGGGCCACCTGCACCATACACATTCAAAGAAAAAAGTTTGAGGGCCTAGTAGATACTGGGGCTGATGTTTCTATTATTTCCTCTAATTTACAGCCTTCCTCTGGGCTTAAACATCTTGCCAACATGGGAGTAATAGGTGTTGGAAAGGCTGATGAAGTTCACCAGAGCACATTTATCTTGCCTTGCACTGGCCATGATGGTCAAAATGGTCCAATTTAGCCTTATATCACGCCAATCCCCATCAATCTTTGGGGTAGAGATTTGCTGGCACAATGGGGGGCTGAAATTAATATTCCACATAACTCTTATAGTGCTCCCAGTCAACATATAATGGAAAACATGGGGTTTGTTCCCAGACTAGGTCTTGGTCAAAAACATGAAGGAATTATTAAACCCCTTCAAGTTACTTTAAAAGAGGACAGGGTTGGTTTAGATCATCCTTTTTAATGGCAGCCACTCACAAACCTCCTAATCTTATTCCTTTACAATGGAAATTGGAAACACCTGCTTGAATTGAGCAGTGGCCACTCTCTAAAGAAAAACTGGAGGCTTCAACTCAATGGGTTTCTGAACAGTTACTACTTGGAAATGTGGAATGTTCTCTTCCCCTCCTGGAATTCTTCTATGTTTCTAGTAAAAAAGAAATCAGGCAACTGGCCAATGATAACTGATTTAAGGTCCATTAATGCTGTAATTAAACCTATGGGAGCAGTCCAACCTGGCATGCCTGCCGCTGCTTTAATACCTAAAAATTGGCCTCTCATAGTTATTGGTCTTAAAGATTGCTTTTTTCATATTGCTTTGCATGAATTGGATTGTAAATTTTTGCCTTTACTTTTCCATCTATCAATAATCAGGAGCCTGCAGCTCATTATCAATGGAAAGTACTTCATCAGGGAATGCTGAATAGCCCTACTATCTGCAAGATTTATGTTGGACAGGTGCTTTCACCAGTTCGAGCTCAATTTCAACAGGCTGATATTCTTCACTATATTGATGATATATTAATTTTTGCCTCCATTGATAAACAATTAATTGACTGTTATCAATTTTGGAGCCACCATGTTATAGAGGCTGGATTACACATCACTCAGGATAAAATTCAACAGTCCACTCCTGTTCAATATTTTGGAATGCTGGTCGATAAGAATGTATTCAACCTCAAAAAGTTCAGATTAGGAGAGTTTCTTTGAAAATCTTAAATGATTTCCAAAAACCATTGGGTAACAATCATTATTGAAGACCTACTTTAGGCATTCCAACAACATATGTGCTGTCTAACTTGTTTTCTATGCTTCGTGGAGATTCCAATCTCCACAGTCCCAGGACTTGCACCCCTGAGGCTTCACTTGAATTGCAATTCATAGAATAAAAAATCCAAACTGCTCAATTGTCTAGGGTACAGCCGTCTCAGCCTTTTCATGTTCTGGTTTTTGCTTCATTGCACTCCCCTACTGGGCTAATAGTTCAATGTAATGATTTAGTGGAGTGGTGTTTTCTTCCTCATTTGGTTTCAAAAACTTTGTCCGCTTATCTGGACAAAATGTCCACCCTAATTGGACAAGTTCAGTTTAGAATACTTAAACTTTCTGGATTTGATCCAAATTTAATTGTGGTTCCTTCAAATTGGCTCGAAGTTCAAGCTGCTTTTCAACATTCCATACTGTGGCAAATTCACTTGGCTGATTTTATTGGTTATTGACAGTCATTATCCAAAAAACAAATTGTTTGATTTTATAAAAATGACTTATTGGGTGGTCCCTTGATTGACCAAAAACCAGCCCATTCCTGAGGCTGTTGCAGTGTTCACTGATGGCTCCAGTAATGGAAATGCTTGTTAAGTGAGTCCTACAGACAAGCTTATTTCTACCCCTTACACCTCTTCTCAAAAAGCAGAGTTAATTACTGTAATTACTGCCTTACAAGATTTCCCCAAACCTTTAAATATTCTCTCTGATTCTGCTTATGTTGTACTTCCCACTAAAAATGTAGAAACCGCTACTGTCAAACATATTGATAATTCTGAATTGGCTTCTTTATTTTCAAGATTACAACAGGTGGTTTTCCAACATAGACATCCTTTCTATATTACACATATTAGATCTCATACTACTTTACCAGGACCCATGTCTACAGGTAAACATAAAGTCGAGTGTTTGGTCTCTTTTGCAACCCAAGAAGCTCAGGAGTTCCATAATCTCTCTCATGTCAATGTTATGGATTAAAAGATAAATTTGCTCTCACCTGGAAGGAGGCTAAGCTTATTGTCAACTGCTTCCCTCAGTGCCAAGTTTTTATACTTCCAAATCAGGAACATGGTGTTAATCCCACAGGCCTAACTCCTAATGATTTGTGGCAAATGGATGTGTATCATGTTAGCTCCTTTGGCAGATTTTCATATGTGCATGTTTCCGTAGACATCTTTTCAGGCTTTACCTGGGCTACTTGCCAAACAGAGGAAGGCATGGCCCATATTAAAAGACATCTGTATCCTTGCTTTGCAGTTATGGGGCTTCCATATCAAATAAAACCAGACAGCACCCCTAGATATGTGAGTAAGGCTTTTGATTTATTTATGCAACAGTGGGGAATTTCCTGTATTACCGGAATCCCTTACAATCTTCAGGGAAAGGCTCTGGTGGAAAGGGTCAATCACACTTTAAAAACTCAATTGTCCAAAGAGTCTGAACAACAAAAGCATAATTTAATCACTCCCCACTCCCAATTATATTTAGCATTGTTTTCTTTAAACTTTCTAAATGTTCCTAAAGACAATACTCTGATTGCAGCTGAATGCCATTATACAGGCAAAAAATTCTCCCTAAATGAAGGACAAGCCAGTCTTATTGAAAAACTCCCAGGCCAATACCTGGGAACCTGGAAAAATTATAACGTGGGGAAGAGGGTATGCTTGTATTTTACCAGGAGATCATCAGTCCCCTGTCTGGGTGCCTACTAGGAGACTTAAACTTCCTGTGAATTTTGACTATAAAAACCACAGGGAAAAGACGTCCACGCCAGAGGTCACCATCGTATCTGGTGAGATCTGAACCAACTCCTCAAAGTCTGGCATGCCAAATCAAAATTTATCTGGTTCAATCCTCCCTAATGGCAACGGAGACCCATCTAACTAATCCCACTTCTCCTAAACCTAAAAATCTCACCATTCTATTTGCCTGAAAATAACATCCTTCTGTTCTTCTCTTCCTTCTTCAGCACTGGATCTCACTTACTATAGGTTTTATTTAGTAATTCTCCTCCTTATATTTTCTGTCTCAGCAGGTTCCCCTCACAATGATGTACCTGCTACACAAAATTACTCTTAATGGGTTTATGTGCCTTTTCCTCTACTTATTCGTCCTCTCACCTGGATGGATACTCCTGTGAAAATCTATACTAATGATAGTGTGTGGATGCCTGGACCTACAGATGACCGTTTCACCTTTCAACCAGGAGAAGAAGGCACTGCATTTAATGTTACTATGGGTTATATATACCCTCCCATTTGCCTCAGACATGCACCTGGTTGCATCCATCTAGAAACTCAAGTCTGGGCTGCTGATCTTCTGGAGAGATTAACTACAAAGGAACAGGGACATTTTGTCTCTGGTCTCTCCCTTTCTCCTTTAATACAAATGAAAAGGGGAATAATAGGATATACTCCATACTTTCAATATAAACATGTAGGAAAACCGTGTCCTAAAAATTTTGAGGGCCCAACTAAAACTTTAATTTGGGAAGATTGTGTTAAGTCACATGCAGTAGTATTAAAGAATGACTCATATGGTTTAGTAATAGACTGGACACCAAAGGGCTGTTTAAAAAACAATTGCTCCTCTGGCAGAAGGGAATTCCTGGAGGCTACTTATTTTATTTCTTATTGGGAGGACGGGATCATCATCTTCCTTTGCATAGGAGGTTCGGCCCTTTCTTACCCTTAAAATGGGAAGATAAGGGCTTTACCCCCTACCCAAGGCCTCATATGCTATTCCCCATTCTGAGCCCATAACACTCAGAATTTTGGAAATCGGCTATTGCCATGTCCGCCGGACTGTGAGTAAAGGAAGGGGAAAGGTTTCTGTCTGTTGTCCCCACTACTGTCCCTCACATTCATGATTCTGAACCCCATGGTAAATCCCCTTTGAGCTCTTTTCTTCTTTTTGACACCAGTCCTCCTTTGTGGACTCCAATTGGCATTATGATAACTCTTCTCGACCAACGTATGCCCCTCTACCTCTTTGGCATTCCCAGGCACCTCAGAATACTTCTTTATCGCAGAGAACATTGGGCATTGCCACTGCCACTCCTCTCCCTCAGTAACAAAATAGATTCAGACATTCTGCTTCTTTTACCTCCAACCTGACTATTACTATACAGAGTTGCGTTAGACCTCCTTACATGCTGTTAGTGGGAAATATCAAAATTTGGCTGAACAATCAAACTGTCTAATGCATTAATTGTCATTTATACACTTGTATTAACTCCCATTTTGACTCCAGGAAAAGTGTAATATTGGTTCGAGCTCGAGAAGGAATCTGGATACCAGTAACCTTACACAGACCTTGAGAATCTTCCCACTTAGTACATTTAATTAATGAAGTGTTACAACGAATTCTTAAAAGAACTAATAGATTTGTTTTCACTTTAATTGCTGTGATCTTGGGCCTAATTAGAGTCAGTGCACTGGCCGCTACTGCCAGAATGGCATTACATTAATCTATTCAAATCTCTCATTTTGTTAAGGATTGGCAAGCCAATTACACCCAAATGTGGAATTCTCAACAGGGCATTGATCAAAAATTAGCTAATCAAATTAATGATTTAAGACAATCTGTTATTTGGCTTGGAGATCTGCTAGTGAGTCTTGAACATTGCATGCAAATGCAGTGCAATTGGAATACTACTGATTTCTGTATCACACCATATTCCTACAGCAAGACTGATCATTCATGGGAAATGATGAAAGGACACCTTTTGGGTAGGGAAGATAACTTATCCTTAGACATAACTAAATTAAAGAAACAAATTTTTGGAGCCTCTCAAGCTCATTTATCCATTGTGCCTGCTGCTGAGGCGTCTGATCAGGTGGCAGAAAGTCTTTCCGGACTAAACCCCAATACTTGGATTAAGTCTATTGGTGGCTCCACTGTAGTAAATTTTGGATTTACGTTTCTCTGTTTAATTGGCTTGTTTTTAGTGTGCTGGACAAGTAAAAGAATCCTTCATCAAAACTGAGAGAATGAGCAAGCATTCATCTCCATGGCACATTTATATAAAAAGAAAGGAGAGATGTTGAGGGAAGTCAGGGACCCCAAAATGGAGGGACCGGCTGGAGCCATGGCAGAGGAACATAAATTGTGAAGATTTCATTTTAATAGGGACATTTATCACTTTCAAAATAAAACTTTCATAATTTCTTATCCTTGCCTTACTTTAATCTCTTAATCCTGTTATCTTCATTGGCTGAGGATGTACATCACCTCAGGATCACTCTGATCACTGGGTTAACTGCACAAATTGATTGTAAAATGTGTGTTTGAACAATATGAAATCAGGGCACATTGAAAAAGAGCAGAATAACAGCGATTTTTAGGGAACAAGGGAAGACAGCCATAAGGTGTGAGACATTTGGGAGCCCATTGAGGCCTATGCAAAAAAGTTGAATATCCACAGATTAAAACTAGAAAGAAGCTATCTGTGTAACTGCTTTGTGAAGTGTGGATTCATCTCACAGATTTACAACTTTCTTTGATTCAGCAGGTTGGAAAACTCCTTTTGGAGAATATGCAAAGGGACATATAAGAACCCATTAGTTCTAAGGGAAAAAAAAGCCAAATATCCCCATACAAAAACTAGAAAGAAACTATCTGTGAAACTGCTTTGGGATGTGTGGATTCATCTGACAGAATTAAACCCTTCTTTAGATTTCAGAAGTTGGAAACACTCTATTTGGAGAATCTGTGAAAGGACATTTGAGAGCTTATTGCTGCCTGGGGGAAAAACCCAATATCCTTAGATAAAAACTAGAAAAAAGGCTTCTGTGAAACTACTTTGTGATGTGTGGAAACTTCTCACGGAGTTAAACCTTTCCTTTCATTCAGCAAGTTGGAAACATTCTTTCTGGAGAATCTGCAAAGGGACGTTTTGGCACCCATTAAGGCCTATGGGGGAAAACAGATTATCCCCCAATAAAAACTGCAAAGGAGCTATCTGTGAATCTGCTTTGTGATGTGTGGTATCATCTCATAGAGTTAAACCTTTGTTTTGATTCACCATGTTCAAAACATTCTTTTTGGAGAATCTGTGAAGGGACATTTGGGAGCCCATGGAGGCCTATGGAGAATTACTGAATAAGCCCCAACAACAACAAAAAAAAAATAGAAAAAAAGAAATCTATGAAACTGCTTTGTGTTGTTTGGATTATTCTCACAGATAAAACCATTCTTCTGATTCGGCAGTTTGGAAAAACTGTTTTTGTATAATCTGTGAAGAAAAATATGTGAGCAAATTGAGGCCTAAAGGGAAAAATTGAATATCCCCTGATAAAATCTGGAATGAAGCTATCTGTGAAAACATTTTGTGATATGTGGATTTATCTGACATAGTTAAAACTTTCTTTTGATTCAGCAGGGTTGGAAACACTCTAACTGGGGAATCTGTGAAGAGACATTTGGGAGCTCTTTGATGCCTATAGGGATAAACTGAATACCCAAGGAAAAAAAGAAAACTAGAAAGAAGCTATCTGTGAAACTGCTTTTTGAGGTATGGATTCATCTCACAGAGTTGAAACTTTCTTTTGATTCAGCACATTGGAAAAACTTTTTTTTGGAGAATCAGTGAAGAGACATTTGGGAGCCCATTGAGCCTCTGGGGAGAAACAAAATATCCCCAGCTAAAAATTAGAAGGAAGCTATCTATGAAACTGCTTTGTGATGTGTGGATTCATCTCACAGATTTAAACCTGTGTTTTGAATCAGCAGATTGAAAACACTCTTTTTGAAGAATCTGTGAAGGGACATTTGGGAGCTCATTGAGGCCAATGGAAAAAAACTGAATGTCTCTGGATAAATACTAGAAATAAGCTATCTGTGAAACTGCTTTGTGAGGTGTGGATCCATCTCACAGAGTTAAACCTTTTTTGTTAATCCAGCATTTTGGAAACACTCCTTTTGGAGAACCTGTGAAGCAACATTTGGGAGCCCATTGAGAAATATGGGAGGAAAAACGAATATCCTCAGACAAAAACTAGAAAGAAGCTATCTGTGGAAGTTCTTTGTGATGTGTAGATTCACCTCACAGAGTCAAACCTTTCTTTTGATTCAGCAGGTTGGAAAACTCTTTTTAGAGAATCTGTGAAGGGACACTTGGAGCCCATTGAGTCCTATGGGAAAAAAACAGAATATGCCCAGATAAAAACTAGAAAGAGGGTATCTGTGAAGCTGCTTTGCGATGGGTGGATTCATCTCCGAAGGTTAAACCTTTCTTTTGATTCATCAGGTTGGAAACACTCTTTTTCGAGAAACTGAGAAGTGACACTTGGGAGCCTTTGAGTACTATGGGAAAAAACCCAATATCACCAGATAAAAACTAGAAAGAAGCAATCTGTGAAACTGCCTTGTGATGTGTGAATTCATGTCAGAGAGTTAGCTCTTTCTTTTTTTCAGCAGGTTGGAAACACTCTTTTTAGAGAATCTGTGAAGGGACATTTGGGAGCCCATTGAGGCCAAAGGGGAAAAACAGAATACTTTAAGATTAAAACTACAAAGAAGCTATCTGCAAAACTGCTTTGCGATGTGTGGATCATCGCACGTGGTTTAATCTTTTATTATTATAATTATTCAACAGGTTGGAAACCCTCATTTTGGAGAATCTGCAGAGAAATATTTGACTGCCCATTGAGGCCAATGGGGTAAAACAAAATATCCCTAGGTAAAAACTAGAAAGAAGGCATCTGTGAAACTGCTTTGCGATGTGTTGATTCATCTCACAGAGTTAAAATATTTTTTGATTCAGTAGGTTGGAAACACTCTTTTTGGAGAATCTGCAAAGCTATATTTGGGAGCCATTGAGGCCTATGGGAAAAAACTGAATATCTCCAGATAAAAACTAGAAAGAAGCTATCTGTGTAACTGTTTTGTGATGGGTGGATTCATCTCACAGAGTCAAAACTTTTTGTTGATTCAGCAGGTTGAAAGGACTGTTTTTAGAGAATCTGTGTAGGGACATTTGGGAGACCATTGAGATCTATGGAAAGAACGAATATCCCCAGGTGAAAACTAGAAAGAAGTTATTTGTGAAACTGCTTTGTGATGTGTGGATTAATCTGCAATAGTAAAGCCTTTCTTTTCATTCAGGAGGTTGGAAACAGTCATTTTGGGGAATCTGTGAAGGGACACTTGGGAGCCCATTGAGGCCTATGGGGAAAAAAGGAATATCCCCAGATAAAAACTACAAAGAAGCAATCTGTGAAACTGCTTTGTGATGTGTGGATTCAGCTCAGAGATTTAAACCTTTCTTTTGATTCAGCAGGTTGCAGATCTTCTTTTTATAGAATATACAAAGGTCAATTTAGGGGCCCTTTGAGGCCTATGGGGAAAAACAGATTATCCCCAGATAGAAAGAGAAGAATCTACCATGAAACTGCATTGTGATTTGTAGACTCACCTCACAGAGTTAAGCCTTTCTTTTATGCAGAAAGTGCCAAGCCCTTTTTTTGGAGAATCAACGAAGAAATATTTAGGACCCCATTGAGGCCTATGGGGAGAAACAGAATATCCCCAGATAGAAACAAGGGAGAAGCTATCAGTGAAACTGCCTCATGATGTGTGCATTCATTTCTCAGAATTAAACTTTTCTTTGGCTTCAGCATGTTGGAAACACTGTTTTGTAGAATCTGCGAAGGGACTTTTGAGAGCCCAGTGAGACCTATGGGGAAAAATTGAATATCCCCATGTGAAAATGACAAGGAACCTAGCTGTAAAACTGCTTTGTGATGTGTGTATTCATCTCATAGAGATAAAAGCTTCTTTTGATTCAGCAGGTTGGAAACTTTTTTTTTGAAGAATCTGCAAAGGGACATTTGGGAGCCCATTGAGGTCTATTTGATAAAGCTGAATATTCCCAGATAAAACTAGAAAGAAGTTGTCTGTGAAACTGCTTTCTGATGTGTGGATTCATCTCACAGAGTTAAACCTTTCTTGTGATTCAGCAGGTCAGAAACTCTCTAATTGGAGAATCTCTGAAGGGGCATTCTGGTGCACATTGGGTCCTATGGGGAAAAATCGAATATCCCCAGATAAAAACTAGAAAAAAGCTACCTGTGAAACTGCTTTGTGATGCCTGGATTCACTTCACAGAGCTAAACCATTTTTTTGTCTCTGCAAGTTGGAAACACTTCTTTTGGAGAATCTGCAAAGGGTTATTTGCAAGCCCATTGAGGGCTATGGGGAAAAACAAAATATCCCCAGATAAAAACTAGAAAAAAATCTATCTTTTACTCTGCTTTGTGATGTGTTGATTCATTTCACAGAGGTAAACTTTTACCTTGATTCTGCAAGTTGGAAACACTCTTTATAGAATCTGTGAAGGTCCATTTGGAAGCACATTGAGGCCTATGGAGAAAAACTGAATATCTCAAGATTAAAAACTAGAAAACAGCTTTTTGTGACACTGCTTTGTGATTTGTGGTTTCATCTCACAGAGTTCACCCTCTCTTTTGTTTCAGCAACTTGGAGGCACTCTTTTTGTAAAATCTACAGAGGGACATTTTGGAGCCCATTAAGGCCTATGGGAAATAATTGAATGTCCCAAGAAAAAAACTAGGAAAAAGTTACCTGTGAAACTGCTTTGTTATGTGTTGATTCATCTCATAGACTTAAACCTATGTCCTGATTCACCAGATTGGAAACATTCTTTATGGAGAATCTACGAAGGGCCATTTGGGAGCCCACTGAGGCTGATGGGGAAAGACTGAATACACCAGATAAAAACTAGAAGGAAGCTATCTGTGAGACTGCTTTGTGATGTGTGGATTCTTCTCACAGACTTAAAACTTATTTTCATTCATCAGGTTGGAAACACTCTTTTTGGAGAATATGCAAAGAAACATTTTGGAGCCCGTTGAGGCCTTGGGGAAAAACTGAATATATCCAGATAAAAACTAGAAAGAAGCTATCTGTGAAACTATTTTGTGATGTGGGGATCCATCTCACAGAATTAAACTTTCTTTTGGTTTAGCAGTTTGGAAACACTCTTTTTGTAGAATCTGTGAAGAAACATTTTTGGTCAAATTGAGGCCTAAGGGGAAATACAAATTATCCCCAGATAAAAACAACAAGAAGCTAACTGAGAAACTGCTTTGTTTTGTGTGGATTCATCTCATGGAATTAAACCTTTCTTTGGATTCACCAGTTTATAAACACTTTTTTTGGAGAATCTGTGAGGAGATATTTGGGAGCCCATGGAGGCATATGGAGGAAAACTAAACATTCCCAGATAAAAACTAGAAAGAAGCTATATGTGAAACTGGTTTGTTATGTGTTGATTCATTTCACAGAGATAAACCTTTATTTTGATTCAGCACATCAGAAACATGTTTTTTGAAGAATCTGCAAAGGGACTTTTGTGAGCAAATTGAGGCCAATCAGGAAAAACAAAATATCCCCAAATAAGAACTTGAAAAATATCTATGTGTCAAACTGACTTGTAATGTGTGGATTCATCTCAGAGTGTTAAACCTTTGACTTGATTCAGCAGGTTAGAAAAACTCTTTTTGGAGAATATCCAAAGGGACATTTGGCAGCCAATTGAGGCCTATGGTAAAAAAATGAATAATCAATGATTAAAAACTAGAAAGAAGCTATCTCTGAATCTGCATTGTGATGTGTGGATTCATCTCACAGAATTAAACCTTTCTTTTGATTCAGCATGTTGGAAACATTATTTTTGTAGAATCTGTGAAGAAACATTTGAGAGCAAATTGAGGCCTAAGGGGAAAAATGAAATATTCCCAGATAAAAATTACAAAGAAGCTATCTGAGAAACTGCTTCATTACGGGTGGATTCATTGCAAAGAATTAAACCTTTCTTTAGATTCAGCAGGTCATAAACACTCTTCTTGGAAAATCTGCAAAGGGACATTTTAAAGCCCATGGACACCTTTGTGGAAAAATATAATGTCCCCAGATAAAAATTAGAAAGAAGCTATCTGTGAAACTCCTTTGTTATATATGAATTCATCTCACAGAGGTAAAACTGTATTTTGATACATCAGGTTGGAAACACTCTTTTTGGAGAATCTGTGAACTGACATTTTGGAGGCCATTGAGGCCTATGGGGAAACACGAAATACCCCCAGATGAAAACTAGAAAGAAGCTATCTGTGAAACTGCCTTGTGGTGTGTGCATTCAGCTCACAAAGTTAAAAGTTTCTATTGATTCAGCAGGTTTTAAACATTCTTTTTAGAGAATCTGTAAAAGGATATTTCAGAGCTCATTTAGACCTATGGAGAAATACCAAATAAATCAAGATAAAAATTAGAAAGAAGCCCTCTGTGAAACTGCTTTGTGATGTGTGGATTGATCCCACAGAGTTAAACTTTTCTTTTGATCCAGCAGGTTGAAAGCACACCTTTTGTAGAATCTGCAAATGAACATTTGGCTGCCTGTTGAGGCCTATGAGAAGAAAGTAAATATCCTCAGATGAAAACAGGAAGGAAGCTCTCTGTGAAACAACTGATATGTGTGGATTCATCTCACAGAGTTAAACTTTGTTTTGATTCAGCAGGTTGGGAACAATGTTTTTGGTGAACCTGCGAATGGAAATTTCAGAGCCCACTGAGGCCTATAATTAAAAATCTAATCTCTCGAGATAAAAGCTAGAATGAAGGTATCCATGAAACTGATTTTTGATCTGGGGATCCCTGTTACAGAGATAAAACTTTCTTTTGATTCAGCAGGTGGAACACTCTTTTTAGACAATCTGCAAAGGGACATTTGGGAGTTCATTGAGACCTATGGGGAAAAACGAAATACCCCACATAAAAACTAGAAAGTCGCTATATGTGAAACAGTTTTGTGACATGTGGACTCATCTCAGAGATTTAAACCATTCTTTTGATCCAGCAGGTTGGAAACACTCTTTCTGTAGAATTGGAGAAAAGACATTTTGGTGCTCATTGGGGCCTTTGGGAAAAAAACTGAATATCCCCAGGTAGAAACTGGAAAGAAGCTCTCTGTGAAACTACTTTGTGTGGCCTGGATTCATCTCACAGAGTTAAAAATTCCTTTTGATCCAACAGGTTGGAAACACTCTATTTAAAGAATCCGCCAAGGGACATTTTAGAGCCCATTTAGGCCTATGAAGAAAAACAGAATATATGCAGATAAAAACTAGAAAGAAACTATCTGTGAAACTGCTTTGTGATGTGAAGATTCTTCTCACAGAGGGAAAACTTTATTTTTATTCCACAAGTTGGAAACACTCTTTTTGTAGAACATGCAAGGAAACATTTGGGATTCCATAGATGCTTATGGGAATAAACTGAATATTTCCAGATAAAAACTAGAAACAACCTAAATGTGAAACTGCTTGGTAATGGTTCAATTCATCTCACAAAGTTAAACTTTGTTTTGATTCAGCAGGTTGGAAACACTGTTTTGGAGAATGTGTGAAGGGACATTTGGGAAACCATTGAAGGCTATGGGGAAAACAAATTATCCACACATAAAAGCTACAAACAAGATATCTTACCTGTGAAACTGCTTTGTGATGTGTGAATTCAACTCACAAAGTTAAACCTTTCCTTTCATTCAGCAGGTTGGAAACACTCTTTTTCAAAAATACATAAAGGGACATTTGGGAGCCCATTGAGTCCTGTGAGGAAAAACTGAATATCCCCATATAAAAACTGCAAAGACGTTATCTATGAAACTGCTTTGGGATGTGTGAATTCATCTCACAGACTTAAACCCTTCTTCTGATTCAGCAGGTTGAAAATACTCTTTTCAAAGAATATGCAAAAAGACATTTGGAAGCCCATGAGGCCTAAGGAAAAAAAAAGGAATATTTTTTAGGGAAAAAATTGAAAAAATATCTGTGCAACTGCTTTGTGATGTGTGGCTTCATCTCCCACAGTTAAGCTATTCTTTTGATTCAGTAATGTGGAAACACTCTATTTGAAGTATCTGTGAAGGGACATTTGGAAGCCCATTGAGGACTATGAGTAAAACTGAATATTCCAAGATAAACACTAGAAAGAAACTATCTGTCAAACTGCTTTGTGATGTGTGGATTCATCTCACAGAGTTAAACATTTATTTTGATAAAGCAGGTTAGAAATAGTGTTTTTGGAGTAACTATGAAGAGACTTTTGGGAGCCCTTTGGGATCTATGGGGATAAATCGAATATCCCCAGAGAAAAACTGGAAAGAAGGTATCTGTAAAACTGCTTTGTGATGTATGGATTCATCTAACAGAGATAAACCTTTCTTTTGATACACTAGTTTGGAAATATATTTTTGTAGAATGTGTGGATTGACACTTTGGAGCCGATTAAGGCCTATAAATAAAAATTGATAACCCACAAGAAAAACTAAACAGAAGCTATCTTTGAAACTGCTTTGTATTGTCCGGGTTAGTCTCACAAAGTTAAAGATTTCTTTTGATCCAGTTAAACCACCCTTCTGATTCAGGAGGCTGGAAATGCTTTTGTTGGAGTATCTGCAAAGGGACATTTGGAAGCCCATTGAGTCCTATAAGTGAAAACTGAATATCCCCAGATACAAACTAGAGAGAAGATATCTGTGAAATTGTTTTGTGATGTGTGAATTCATCTCAAATAGTTAAACCTTTCTTTTGATCCAGCAGGTTGAAAACACTCTTTTTGAGAATCTGACAAGGGACATTTGTGAGCCCATTGAGGACTATGGGGAAAAACTGGATATCCCCAGAGAAAAACTAGAAAGAAGCTATCTGTGATACTTCTTTGTGATGTATGGATTCATTTCACATAATTAAATATCTCTGTTCATTCAACAGATTAGAAACAATCATTTGTAGAATCTGCAAAGAGATATTTGGGAGCCAACTGATGCCTATAAGTAAAAACTGAATATTCCCAGATAAAACCTAGAAAGAAGCTATCAGTGAAAATACTTTGTGATGTGTGGATTCAGCCCACAAAGTTAAATCTTTCTTTTGATTCACCAGGTTTAAAAGACTTTTTCAAGACTGAAACTGCTTTCTGATTTGTGAGTGCATCTCATAGAGTTAAACATTTCTTTTGATTCAGAAGACTGGAAATACTCTTTTGGGAGAATTTGCAAAGAAATATTTGAGAACCCATTGAAAACTTTGGGAAAAACCCAAGTATCCACAGATAAAAACTAGAAAGAAGCTATCTTTGAAACTGCATTTTGTTGTATGGATTCATCTCACAGAGTTAAACCTGTCTTTTGATCCAGCAGGTTTTAAACTCTCTTTTTGGAGAATCTGCAAAGGGACATTTAGATGCTCTTGGAGGCCTACCAGGAAAAGCTGAATATGTGATTTACATATTTCATATTGGGATATTCCCTTTTGCCCCATAGACCTCAATAGGCTCACAAATATCCCTTCACATCTGTTCCAAAAAAGAGTGTTTCCAACCTGCTGATTCAAATGAAAAGTTTAACTGTGTGAGATGAAACTGCACATCACAAAGCAGGTTCACAGAAAGCTTCTTTCTAGTTTTCTTCTGGCAATACTGGGTTTTTCCCCATAAGCCTCAGTGGGCCCCCAAATATCTCTTCACAGATAATATAAAAAGAGTGTTTCCACCCTGTTGAATCATAAGAAAGATTTTACTCTGTGAAATAAATCCACATATCAAAAAGCAGTTTCAAAGAAAGCTTCTTTTAAAATTTTTAATGGAGATATTCTGTTTTTCCCAACAGTCCTCAATAGGTTACCATAAGTCCCTTCACAGATTCTCCAAAATGAGTGTTTCCAACTGGCTGAAATAAAAGAAAGGTTTAATCTTGTGCAATGAATCCACACATCACAAAACAAGTTTATAGATAGCTTCTTTCTAGTATTCATCTGGCTATATTCGATCTTTCTCTCTAGACCTCAATGAGCTCCCAACTATGCCTTCTCAGATTCTCCTAAAAGAGTGTTTGCAACCTGGTGAATCAAAAGAAAGATTTAATTCTGTGAGATGAATCCACACATCACAAAACATTTTCATAGATAGCTTCTTTCTAGTTTTTATCTGGGGATATTCTGTTTATTTCTATTGGCCTCAAGAGGCTTCCAAATGTCTCTTCACAGATTCTTCAAAAAGTGTTTCAAATCTGCTCAATCAAAAGAATGGTTTAACTGTGTGAGATGAATCCACACATTACAAAGCAGTTTCACAGATAGCTTCTTTCTAGTTTTTCTCTAGAGATATTCAATTTATCCCCATAGGACCCTGTGGGCTCCCAAATGTCCTTTCACAGATTCTCCAGAAAGAGTGTTTCCAACCTGGTGTATCAAAACGAAAGTTTAACTGTGTGTGATGAATCCACACATCACAAAGCTTTTTCACACACAGCTTCTTTCTATATTTATCTGGGGATATTTTTTTTCCTCCATAGGCCAAAATGGGTTCCCAAATGTCCCTTTGAAAATTCTCCAAAAAGAGTGTTTTCACCCTTCTGAATCAAAAGAAAGGTTTAATTCTGTGATATAAATTCAGACATCACAAAGCAGTTTCACAGATAGCTTCTTTCTAGTTTTTATATGGGGAATTTCTGTTTTGCCTTACAGGACTCAAAGAGCTTTCAAATGTCCCTTTGCAGATGCTCCAAAAAGAGTGTTTCGAACCTGCTAAATCAAAAGAATGGTTTAACTCTGTGAGATGAATCCACATGTCACAAATCCATTTCACAGATAGCGTCTTTCCTGTTTTTATCTGGGGATATTTGCTTTTCCCCCATAGGCCTCAATAGACTCCCAAATGTCCCTTCACAGGTTCTCCAAATAGAGTGATTTCTATCTGCTGAATAAAAAGAAAGGTTTAACTCTGTGAGATAAATCCACACATCAAAAGGCAGTTTCACAGATAGCTTCTTTCTCGTTTTTATCTGGGGATATTCACTTTTTCCCCACAGGCCCCAGTGGGCTCCAAAATGTCCCTTTGCTGATACTCCAAATAGAGTGTTTCCAAACTGCGAATCAAAAGAAGGTTTTAACTCTGTGAGATTAATCCACAAATCAAAAGGCATTTCACAGATAGCTTCTTTCTAGTTTCTATCTGCTCTATCTGGGGATATTCAGCTCTTCCACATTGGCCTTAATGGGCTCCAAAATGTTTCATTGCAGATTCTCTAAAAAGTCTTTCAAACCTGTTGAATCAAAATAAGGTTTAACTCTGTGAGATGACCCACACATCACAAGTGGTTTTAAGAGACCTTCTTTGTACTTTTTATCAGGGAATACTCGGTTTTGCCCATAGGCTTCAGTGTGCTCCAAATGTGCATTCGTAGATTTTCAAAATAGATGGTTTCCAAACTGCTGAATCAAATGAAAGCTTTAAGTCTGTGAGATGGATCCACACATCACAAAGCAATTTCACAGATAGCTTCTTTCTAGTTTTTATCTGGGGACATTCGGATTATTTCCATTGGCCTCAAGTGGCTCCTAAATATTCCTTCACAGATTCTCCAAAAAGAGTATTTTTAAAACTGCTGTAACAAAATAAATGTTTAACTCTGTGAGATGAATCCACACATCACAAAGGAGTTTCAAAGATAGTTTCTTTCTAGTTTTTATCTTGGGATATTACGTTTTTCCCCATAGGCATCAAAGGGCTCAAAAATGTCCCTTTGCAAATTATCTAAAAAAAGCGTTTCCAACCTGCTGAAACAAAATAAAGTTTTTATTATATGAGATGATTCCACACATCACAGAGCAGTTTTACAGAAAGCCTCTTTCTAGTTTCTATCCAGGGATATTCAATTTTTCCCCATAAGTTTCAATGGTCTCTCAAATGTCAGAGCGAGTGTTTCCAACCTGCTTAATGAAAAGAAAAATTAAACTCTGTGAGATGAATTGACATATCACAAATCTGTTTCACACAAACATTTATCTGGTGATATACTGTTTTTCCCCTAGGCTTCAATGGGCTCCCAAATATCTCTTTGCAAATTCTCCAAAAAGAGTGCTTTCAACCTTTTGAATCAAAGAAAAGGTAAAAATCCGTGAGATGAATCCACACATCAATTAGCAGTTTCACTGATAACTTATTTGTAGTTTTTATCTAGGAATAGTTTTTCCCTTAGGCCTGAATAAGCTCCAGAATGTCCCTTCACAGATTTTCCAAAAAGAGTGTTTCCAATCTGCTGGATCAATGGAAATGTTTAATTCTTGCAGATGAATCCACACATCACAAAGCAGTTTCACACATAGCTTCTTTCTAGGTTTTATATGGGGATGTTCATTTTTTCCCCATAGGACTTAATGGGATCACAAAGATCCCTTTGCAGATGCTCCAAAAAAGGTGTTTCCAACCTGCTGAATCAAAGAAAGATTTAACTCTGTGAGATGAATCCACACATCACAGAACAGTTTCACAGATAGCTTCATTCTACTTTTTTATCTGGTGATATTCACTTCTTCCCCACAGTCCTCACTGGGCTCTAAAATGTTCCTTCGTAGAGTCTCCAAATAGAGTGTTTCCAAACTGCTGAATCAAAAGAAAGTTTTAACTCTGTGAGATTAATCCACACATCACAGAGCAGTTTCACAGATACGTTCTTTCTAGTTTCTATATAGCGATATTTGCCTTTTACACTTAGGACTTAATGGGCTCCCAAATGTTTCATCGCAGATTCTCCAAAAAGAGTGTTTCCAACCTGTTGAATCAAAATAAGCTTTACCTCTGTGAGATGACCCACACATCACAAGCAGTTTCAAGATATCTTCTTTGTACTTTTTATAAGACAATAATCGTTTTTACCCCATAGGCCTCTGTGGGCTCCCATTTGGGATATTTATCCCTTAGCAGACTCTCAAAAAAGACTGTTTCCAACTTGCTGAATCAGAAGAAAGATTTAACTCTGTGAGATGAATCTACACATTATAAAGCAAGTTCACAGATAACTTCTATCTAGTTTTCCTCTGGAAATATTTGGTTTGCCAGAAAGGCCTCAATGGGCTTCCAAATGTCCCTTCACAGATTCTCTCAAAAGAGTGTTTCCAACCTGAAGAATCAAAAGAAAGCTTTAAGTCTGTGAGACGAATCCACAAATCACAAAGCAGTATCACAAATAGCTTCTTTCTCATTTTCATCTGGGGATATTCCATTTGCCCCACAGGTCTCAATGGGCTCCCAAATATCCCTTTGCAGCTGCTCCAGAAAAAATTGTTTCCAACCTGCCAATTCAAAAAAAAGTGTTATCTCTGTGAGATGAATCCACACATCACGAAGAAGTTTCACAGATAGTTTCCTGCTAGTTTTTTTCTGGGGATATTCGGTTTTGGCCCATAGGCCTAAAGGGGCTCCAAAATGTCTTTTTGTAGATTCTGTAAAAACAGTGTCTCCAAACTGTTGAATCAAAAGAAAGGTTTAAATCTGTGAGATGAATCCACACATCAAAAACCAGTTTCACAGATAGCTTCTTTCTAATTTTTAACTGAATATATTCAGTTTTGCCCCATAGGACTCAACAGGCTCAGAAATGCCCCTTCACAGACACTTGAAAAAGAGTCTTTTAAACCTGGTGAATCAAAAGAAAGATTTAAGTCTGTGAGATGAATCCACACATCACAAAGAATTTCCACGGACAGACAGCTCCTTTCTAGTTTTTATCTGGGGATATCCAGTTTATTTCCATTGGCCTCAAGAGGCTCTCAAATGTCCATTTGCAGATTCTTCAAAAAGAGGGTTTCAAACCTGCTCAATCAAAAGAATGGTTTAACTGTGTGAGATGAATCCACACATTAGAGTGCAGTTTCACATATAGCTTCTTTCTAGTTTTTCTCTAGAGATATTTGATTTATCCCCATAGGCCCCTGTGGGCTCCCAAATGTCCTTTCGCAGGTTCTCCAGAAAGTGTTTCCAAACTGTAGTAGCAAAAGAAAGGTTTATCTCTGTGTGATGACTCCACAAATCACAAAGATGTTTCACACAGAGATTCTTTCTTGTTTTTATCTGCGGATAATTCATTTTTCCCTGTATACATCAATGGGCTCCCAAATGTCCCTTCACAGATTCTGCAAAAAGAGTGTTTTCAACTTCCTGCATCAAAAGAAAGGTTTGTCTCAGTGAGATGAATCCACATCTCACGGAGTAATTTTACAGATAGCTTCTTTCTAGTTTTGATCTGAGGATATTGTGTTTTTTGCTACTGGCCTCAATGAGCTCCCGAATGTCCCTTTGCAGATTCTCTAAAAAGAGTGTTTCCAACCTGTTGAGTCAAATGAAAGATTTACCTCTGTGAAATGAATCCCCACCTCAAAAAGCAGTTTTTCCAATAGCTTCTTTCTATTTTTTTATCTGGGGATATTCTGTTTTTTTCCACTGGCCTCAATGAGCTCCCCAGTGTCCCTTTGCAGATTCTCTACAGAGAGTGTTTCCAACCTGGTGAGTCAAACGAAAGGTTTAACTCCATGGCATGAATCCACACATGACAAAGCAGTTTCACAGATAGCATCTTTCTAGTTTTGTTCTGGGGATATTGGTTTTGTTGTTGTTGTTGTTAGGTTTCAATGGCTTCCAAACTGTCCTTTCAGTGATTCTACAAGAGTGTTTCCTACCTGCTGGATCAAAAGAAAGTTTTAACTCTGTGTGATGAGTCCAAGCAACATAAAGCAGTTTCAGAGTTATCTTCTTTATAGTGCTTGTCTGATGATTACCTGTTTTTACTTATAGGCCTTAATGGGCTCCCAAATATCTTTTTGCAGTTCCCACAAAAGGAGTGTTTCCAACTTTCTGTATGAAAAGAAAGTTTTAACTCTGTGAGTTCAATCCAAATATCACAAAGCAGTTTTACAGACAGCTTCTTTCACCTTTTATATGGGGATATTCACTTTATCCTCACAGACCTCAATGGGCTCCCAAATGTCTTTTCAGAGGTTCTAGAAAAAAGAGTATTTCCAACCTGCAGAATCAAAAGAAATGTTGAAATTTGTGAGATGCATCCACGTGTAACAAAGCAGTTTAACAGATAACTTCATTCTACTTTTTATCTGGGGATATTCAGTTTTTCTGCTAGGCATCAATGGGCTCCAAAATGTACATTCACAGATCCTACAAAAAAAGTGTTTCCAACCTGCTGGATCAAAAGAAAGGTGTAAATCTGTGAGATGAATCCACACATCACAAACCAGTTTCACAAACTTATTTCAGTTTTCATCTGGGGATATTCAATTTTTCCTTATAGGTTTCAATGGACTTCCAATTATCCCTTCACAGATTATACAAAGAGAGTGATTTGAACCTGCTGAATCAAAAATAAAAGTTTAACTCTGTGAGATGAATCCTCACATTGCAAAACAGTTTCACAGATACCTTCTTTCTAGTTTTTATCTAGGGATATTCAATTTTCTTCCTAGGCCTCAATGGGCTCCAAGACGTCACTTCATAGATTCTCCAAAAAGAGTTTTTCCAACCTGCTGAATTAATTAAAATGATTAACTCTGTAAGATGAATCCAGCTATCATAAAGCAGTTTCACAGGTAGCTTTTTTCTAGTATTTACCTGGGGATATTTGTTTTTTCCCAGTGGCCCAAATGGGATCTCAAATGTCCCTTCACAGATTCTACAAAAACAGTGTTTTCAATCTGCTGCATCAAAACAAAGGTTTAACACTTTGAGATGAATCCACACATCAAAAAACATTTTCACCAATAGCATCTTTCTAGGTTTTTCCCCTTAGGGCTCAATTGTCTACAAAACGTCCTTTTGCTGATTGTCTAGAAAGAGTGTTTCCACCCTGCTAATTAAAAGAAGCTTTAACTCTGTGAGATAAATCCACACATACAAAGCGGTTTCACAAAACGCATCTTTCTAGTTTTTACTTGGGGATATTCAATTTTTCTCCATAGGCCTCAATGGGCTCCCAAATGTCCCTTCACAGGTTCTAGAAAAAGAGTGTTTTGAACCTGCTGAATTGAAAGAAAATTTTAATTCTGTGATTGAATTTACACATCACAAAGCAGTTTCACAGGTAGCTACTTTCTAGTTTTTATCTTGGGATATTCAATTTTCCCCCTATGCATCAATAGGTTCCAAAATGTCTCTTTGCAGATTCTCCAAAAAGAGTTTTTCCAACCTTTGGAATCAATACAAACATTTAACACTGTAAGATAAATCTGCACATCACAAAGAAGTTTCACAGATTGCTTCTATATAGGTTTTATCTGAGGATGTTAGGTTTTTCCTCATGGGCCTCAATGGGCTCTCGAATATCCCTTTGCAGATTCTTCAAAAAGAGTGTTTCCAAAGTGCTGTACAATAAAACGTTTTAACTCTTTGAGATGAATCCAAACATCACAAAGCAGTTTCACAGATATCTACTTTCTAGGTTTTCTCTGGGAATATTTGGTTTTGTTCCATAGTCCTCATCCACTACAAAATGTCCCTTCGCTGATTCTACAAAAAGAATGTTTCCAACCTGCTGAATCAAAAGAAAGGTTTAAACTTGTTAGATGAATTTACAAATCACAAAGCAGTTTCACTTAGCTTCTTTCTGGGTTTTACCTGCACATATTGGTTTTACCAAATAGGCTTCAGTGGGCTTTGTGATATGTGAATTCATCTCACAGAGGTAAATTTTTCTTTTGATTCACCAGGTTCAAAACACTTTTTTTGGAGAATCTGCAAAGGGACATTTGGGAGTCCATTGATGACTATGGGGAAAAGTCAAATATTTGCAGATAAAAACTTGGAAGAAAGTATCTATGAAACTGCTTTGTGAAGGTGATTCATTTCACAGAGTTTAACTTTTCTTTTGATTCAGCATGTTGGGAGTGCTCTTTTTGGAGAATAGTCAAAGAAATATTTGAGAGCCCTTTGAGTCCTATGAGGGAAAAACTGAATATCCCGAGATAAAAACTAGAAATAAGCTATCTATGAAACTGCTTTTTGATTTCTAGATTCATCTCACAGAGTTAAACCTTTCTATTGATCCAGCTGGTTGGAAACACTCTTTTTCTAGAATCTGTGAAGGGACTTGTGGGAGCTTATTGAGGCCTATGAAGAAAAACAGAATATTCCCAGATAAAAACTAGAAATAAGCAATCTGTGAAACTGCTTTGTTATGCGTGGATTCATCTCACAGAGTTAAAACTTCGTTTTGATTCAGCAGTTTGAAAACAATATTTTTAAAGAATCTGAGAAGGGACATTGGAGAACCCATTGAAACCTTTGGGGAAAAACTTAGTATCCCAGATAAAAACCGGAATAAAGTTATCTGTGAAAGTGCGTTGTCACTTGTGAACTTATCTCACAGAGTTAAACCTTTCTTTTGATTCAGCATTTTGTAAACACTATTTTTAGGGAATCTGCATAGAGACATTTTGGAGCCAATGGAAGCCTATGGGGAAAAAAGGAATATCCCAAGATAAAAACTAGAAAGTAGGTATCCATCAAACTGCTTGGTGATTTGTGGATTTATCTCACATAGTTCAAACATTCTTTAGGTTGAGCAGGTTGGAAAAACTTTTTTTAGAATATGGAAAATAATATTTTGAAGGCATTTGAGGCCTAGAGGGTAAAACTGAATATCCCCAGATAAAAACTAGAAAGAAGTTATCTGATAAACTGATTTACGATGTGTGGATTCATCTCACAGAGTTAAAACTTTCTTTTGATTCAGCATGTTGGAAAGTACCTTTTTAGAGAATCTGTGTAGGAACATTTGGAAACCCAGTGATGCCTACTGGGAAAAACCAAATATTGCCAGATAAAACATAGGAAGAAGCTATCTGTGAAACAGCTTTGTGATGTGTGGATGCATCTTACAGAATTAAACCTTTCTTTTGATTCAGGAGGTTGGAAACACTGTTTTGGAGAATCTGTGAGGGGACATTTTTGAGCCCATTGAGGCCTATGGGGAAAAACTGAATATCCTGAGGGAAAAAACTAGAAAGAAGCTATCTGTGAAACTATCTGTGAAACTAGAAAGGAGTTATTTGTGAAACATCTGTGATGTGTGGATTCATTTAAGAGAGTTAAACCATTGTTTTGTTTCAGCACGTGGTAAACCCTCTTTTTGGAGAATATAAGAAAGGGTATTTAAGAGCCCACTGAGTCCTATAGGGAAAAACAAAATATCCCCAGATAAAAACTATAAAAAAGCCATAAGTAAAACTGCTTTGTGACGTGTGCATTTATCTAACAGTGTTAAGCCTTTTTTTTATTCAGCAGGTTGGAAACAGTCTTTCTGGAGAATCTGTGAATAAACATTTGGAGTACATCAAGGCCTATGAGGAAAAGTGGAATATCCCCAAATAAAAACTAGAAAGAAGCTATCTCTGAAAACTGATTTGTGATGTGTGTATTCATCACACAGAGTTACACCTTTCTTTTGATTTGGCATGTAGGAAACACTCTATTTGGATAATCTGTGAAGGGACATTTGGGAGCACGTTGAGGTTTATAGGTAAAAACACTATATCCCAAGATAGAAAGTAGAAAGAAGCTATCTGTGAAACTGCCTCATGATGTGTGGATTCCTCTCAGAGAGTTAAACCTTTGTTTTGATTCAGCAGGTTGGAATCACTCTTTCTGCAGAATCTGTGGGGGGACATTTGGGAGCATTGAGGCCTACAGGAAAAAGCTGAATATCCCCAGATAAAAACTAGAAAGAATCTATCTGTTAAAGTGCTTTGTTATGTGTGGATTTATCTCACAGAGCTAATACTTTCTTTTCATTCATCAGGTTGGAAACACTCTTTTTGTTGAACCTGTGAAGTGATATTTGGGAGCCCATTGTGGATTATAGGGAAAAACAAAATATACCCAGATAAAAATTAGAAAGAAGCGATCTTGAAACTTCTTTGTGATGTGTGCATTCATCTCATAGTGTTAAAGCATTCTTTTGCTTCAGCAATTTGGAACACTTTTTTTTTGAGAATCTCTGATGGGACATTTAGGAGCCCACTGACGCCTAGGTTAAAAGCCTAACATACTTAAATAAAAACTAGAAAAAAAGCTATCTGTGAAACTGCTTTGTGATGTGTGGATTATTCTCACAGAGTTATAACTTCCTTTGATTCAACAGGGTGGAAACACACCTTTCAGAGAATCTGCTAAGTGACATTTGGAAGCCCATCGAACCCTATAGGGAAATATCAAATATCCCTAGATAAAAACTAGAAAGAAGCTATCTGTGAAAGTCCTTCATGATGTGTGGGTTCATCTCAAAGAATTAAAGCTTTTTTTAAATTTAGTAGCTTGGAAACACTCTTGGAGAATCTGCTAAGGGACATTTTGGAGCCCATTGAGGCCTATGGAGAAAAGCTGAATATCCCCAGATCAACACTAGAAAGTAGCTATCCATGAAACTGCATAGTGATTTGTGGATTCATCTCATAGAGTTAAAACTTTCTTTTGATTTAGCAGGTTGGAAACACTCTTTTTGGAGAATCTGTGAAGAGATATTTGGGATCCCGTTGAAACCTAAAGGGAGAAAAGGAGTATACCCAGATAAAAACTAGATATAAGCTATCTGTGAAACTTCCTTGTGATGTGCGGATTCATCCCACAGAGATAGACCTTTCTATTGATTCAGTAGTTGGGAAACATTGTTTTTACAGATTCTACGGAGAGACATTTGGGAGCCCTTGGTGGCCTAAATGGAAAAACCAACAATCCCCAGATAAAAACTAGTAAGAAGCTATGTGTGTAACTATTTTGTGAAGTGGGGATTCATCTCAAACAGTTAAACCTTTGTTTTTATTCAGTACTTTGGAAACATTCTTTTTGGAGAATCAGTGAAGGGACATTTTGGAGCCCATTGAGTCCTTTGGGGTAAAACTGAATATCCTCAGAAAAAAATAGTAAGAAGCTCTCTCTGAAACTGCTTTGTAATGTGCAGATTCATCTCACAGAGATAAAACTCTTTTTTTGTTTCAGCAGGTTGGAAACCCTCTTTTTGGAGAATATTTAAACGCACATTTGAGAGTCCATTTATGTGTTTAAGAAAAAACTGTATATCCCCAGAAAAAAAGCTAGAAAGAAGATATATATGAACTTTCCTTGTATTGACTCATTTCAAAGAGTTACTCTTTTTCTTTGATTCAGCACGTTGGAAACACTCCTTTTGGAGAATCTGTGAAGAGACATTTGGGAACCCATTGAGACGTATGGTGAAAGAGAAAATTTCTCGAGATGAAAAGTAGAAATAAGCAATCTGTGAAACTGCTTTGTGATGTGTATGTTCATCTCACAGAAATAAAACTTTCTTTTGATTTAGCATTTTGGAAACACTTTTTTGGAGAATCTGTGAAGGTACATTTTGGAGCCCATGGAGTCCTGTGGGGAAAAACCAAATATCCACAGATAAAAGCTAGAAAGAAGCTATGTGTGAAACAACTTTGTGATGTGTGAATTTATCTCACAGAATTCAACCTTTCTTTTGATTCAGCAGTTGGAAACACTGTTTTTGGAGATTATGTGAATGGACATTTTGTAGCTGACTGAAGTATATGCGTAAAAATTGGATAACCCCAGATAAAAACTAGAAAGACATATATGTAATATTGCTTTGTGATGTGTATATTCATCTCACAGAGTTAATATTTTTTTACTCAGCTGGTTGAAAACAATCTTTTTGGAGAATCTGTGAAGGAACATTTGGGAGCCTATTAAAGACTATGGATGATAACCAAATATTCCCAGATAGAAAATAAAAAGAAGCTATCTTTGAAATTGATGTGATATGTGGATTCATCTCAAAGAGTCAAACTTTTCTTTTGATTCAGCAGGCTGAAAACCCTCTTTTTGTAGAACTATGAAGGGACATTTGTGAAGCCTCTGGAGAAAAACTGAATATCCCCAGATAAAAACCAGAAAGAAGTCATTCGTGAAATTGCTTTGTGATGTGTGCATTCCTCTTACACAGTTAAACCTTTGTTTTGATTCAGGAGATTTGAAACATTCTTTTTGGAGAAACTGCGAAGGGACATATGGGAGCCCATTGAGGACTCTGCAGAAAAACCAAGTGACCCCAGAGATAACCTAGAAAGTAGCTATCTGTGAAACTGCTTTGAGATGTGTGGATTCATCTCACAGAGTTTAACTTTTCTTTTGATTCAGCAGTTTGGAAACATATTTTTGGAGAATTTGCAAACGGACCTTTGAAAGCCCATTGATGCCTATGGGGAAAAACTGAATATTCCCAGATAAAAACTAAAAAGAAGTTATCTGTGAAACTTCTTTGTGATGTGTGGATTCATCTCACAGAGCTAAACATTTTTTTTGATTCACCACATTGGAAATGCTTTTTCTGAAGAATCTGCAAAGGGACATTTGGGAGCCAATTTAGGCCAATGGGGAAAAAAATCCGCAGATAAAAACTAGAAAGAAGCTATCTGTGAAACGATTTGTGATGTGTGGATTTCTCTCATACAAGTAAAACTGCCTTTTAATACATCAGGTTGGAAACACTGTTTTTGGATATTCTGTGAAGAGACATGTAAGAGCCCATTGAGGCCTATGGGAAAAAACCGATTATCCAGATAAAAACTGGAATGAAGCTATCTGTGAAAGTGCTCTCTGAGGTGTAAATTCATCTCACATTGTTGAAACATTTTTTTAATTTCATAGGTAGGAAATTAAATTTCCATATCCATTTTGGAAAATCTGTGACAGGACATTTGGGAACCCATTTGGGCCTCTGGGTAGAAACCAAATATCCGCAGACAAAAAATAGAAGGAAGCTATCTGTAAAACTGCCTTGTGATGTGTACATTCAACTCCCAGAGTTAAAACTTTCTTTTTATTCAGCAGGTAAGAAACACTATTTTTGGAGAATCTACAAAGGACATTTTGGAGCCCATTGAGGCAAATGGTGAAAAACTGAGAATCCTAAGATAAAAATTTAAAGAAGCTATCTATGAAAGCTCTTTGTGATGTGTGAATTCATCATACAGAATACAACATTTCTTTTGATTCAGCACGTTGGAAGCACATCATTTTGGAGAATCTGTGAATGGACTTTTAAGAGCCCATTGAGGCCTATGGGGAAAAGCGAAATATCCCCAGATAAAAACTAGAAAGAAGCTATCTGTGAAACTACTTTGTGATGTGTCAATTCATCTCACAGATTTAACCCTTTCTTTTGACTCAGGAGGTTGGAAACACATCTATTTGGAGAATCTGTAAAGGGACACTTGAAAGCCCATTGAGGCCTTTGGGGAAAAAGTGAAAATCCCCAGATAAATACTAGAAAGAAGCTATCTGTGAAACTTCTTTGTGAAGTGTGGATTCATCTCACAGATTCAAAAATTTCTTTTGGTTCAGCAGGTTGGAAACACTCTTTTTGAAGTATGTGCGAAGGGTCATTTGAAAGCCCATTGAGGGCTATGGGGAACAATGAATATTACCAGATGGAAATTAGAAAGAACCTATGTGTGAAACTTATGTGATGTGATGTGTGGATTCACATCATAGAGTTAAAACTTTCTTATGATTCACCTGGTTGGAAACACACATTTTGGCGAATCTGTGAAGGGACATTTAAAAGCCCATTGAGGCCTATGGGGAAAAACAGAATATCTCCAGATAAAAAAAATAGAAAGAAGATATCTGTGAAAATATTTTGTGATGTGTGGATTCATCTTACAGAGATAAACCAATTCCTTTGATTCAGCAGGTTAAAGACACTCTTTTTAGTGAATCTGTGATGGAATATTTGGGAGCCCATTGAGGCTTACAGGGAAAAATCTAATATCCCAAGATAGAAACTCAAAGAAGCTACGTGAGAAACTGATATGGTGTGTGGATTCATCTCACAGAGTTAAAACATTCTTTTGATTCAGCAAATTGGAAGCACTCTTTTTGGAGAATCTGCAATAGGAAACTTTGGAGCCCATTGAGGGCTATGGGGAACAGCCGAATATCCACAGATAAAAACTAGAAAGAATCTATCTGAAACTGCTTTGCGATTTGTGGAAACATCTTTCAGATTTAAAATTTTCTTTTGATTCAACAGGATGGAAACATTTCTTTTTGGAGGATCTGAGAAGGGACATTTGGGAGCCCATTGAGGCCTATGGGAAAAAATTGAATATCCCCAGCTAAAAACTAGAAAGAAGCTACCTCTGAAACAGCTTTGTGATGTGTGGACTCTTATCACAGAGTTAAAACAGTCTTGTGACTCAGCAGTTGGAAATATTCTTTTTGGAGAATCTGTGAAGGGATATTTAGGAGCTCATGGAGGACTATGGGAAAAAAAATCCCCAGGTAAAAATTAGAAAGAAGCTATCTGTGAAACTGCTTTTCAGTGATTTGTGGATACATCTCATAGAGTTAAAACTTTCTTTTGATTCAGCAGGATGTAAACACTCTTCAGAAAATCTGCAAAGGAATATTTTGCAGCCCATTGAGGCCTAGGGCAAAAAAAACGAATATATCCTGATAAACACTCCAAAGAAGCTAGCTGTGAAACTATTTTGTGATGTGTGGATTTAGCTCAGATAGCTAAACCATGCTTTTGAATCAGCAGGTTGGAAACACTTTTTGGAGTATCTACGAAGGGACATTTGGGAGCCCATTTTGGCCTATGGAAAAAAACCCGAATATCCCCAGATAAAATCTACAAAGAAACTATCTGTGAAACTGTTTTGTGTTGCATGCATTCATCTCACAGAGTTAAACGTTACTTTTGACTCAGCTAGTTGAAAACACTCCTTTTAGAGAATCTGTGAAAAAATATTTGGGAGCCCATTGAGGCCTATGTGGAAAAATAGAATATCCTAAGGTAGAAAATTGAAAGAAGCTATGTGTGAAACTGATGCGACGTGTGGATTCATTTCACAGAGTTAAGCCTTTCTTTTGGTTCAGCAGGTTGGAAACACTTTTTGGAAAATTTGTGAATGGACAATTGGCAACCCATTGAGGTCTATGGGACAAAACAAAGTATACCCAGATAAAAACTAGAAAGAAATTATCTGTGAAATTTCTTTGTGATGTGTGGATGCATCTTACAGTGTTAATCCCTTCTTTTCATTCAGCAGGTTTGAAACACGTCTTTTTGGAGAACATGCAAAGAAATATTTGGGAGCCCAATTAGGTCTATGGGACAAAACTGAATACTCCCAGAGAAAAACTAGAAAGAAGCTATCTGTGAAACTGCTTTTTGATGTGTGGATTCATCTCAGAGAGTTAAGACTTTTTTTTGATTCAGGAAGTTGAAAACACTGTTTTTGGAGAATCTGTGAATGGACATTTTGGACCCCTTTGTTGCCTATGTGGAAAAATACAATATGTGATGTTTGGATTCATGTCAGAGAATTAAATCTTCCTTTAGACTCAGTTGGTTGGGAACATTGTCTTTGCAAAATGTGTGAAGGAAAATTTTGGATCCCATTGAGGCCTATGGGGAAAAATGGAATATCCACAGATAAAAACTAGAAAGAACTATTTGTGAAACTGCTTTGTGAAGTTTGGGTTGATCTCTTTGAGATAAACATTTCTTTTGATTCAGCAGGTTGAAAACTCTTTTTGGAGAATCTGCAAATAGACATTTTGGAACACCTTGTAGCCTATGGGGAAAAACCAAATATCCTCATAAAAAAACTAGAAAGAGGCTAACTGTGAAACTACTTTATAATGTGTACATTCATCTCACAGAGTTAAAGCTTTTATTGATTCAGAAGGTTAGAAACATTCTTTTTGGAGAATCTGTTAAGGGACATTTAGGAGCCAATATAACCTACAGTGAAAAGCTGAATATTCCCAGATCACCATAGCTATCCGTGAAAGTGCTTTATGAGGTGTGGACTCATCTCTCAGAATTAAAACTTTCTTTTGATTCAGCAGGTTGGAAACACTGTTTTAGGAGAAACTGTGAAGGGACATTTGGGAGTTCATTTAGGCCCATGGGAAAAACTGAGTATCCCCAGATAAAAAGTAGAAAGAAACAATCTGTGGAACTCTTTTGTGATGTGTGGATTCATCTCACCAAGTTAAAATTTCCCTTTGATTCAACAGGTTGGAAACATATTTTTTTGAAGAATCTGAGAATAGATATTTGGGAGTTTATTTAGGCTTATGTGAAAAACCCAATATCACCAGGTACAAACAAGAAAGATGCCATCGGTGAAACTGCTTTGTGATGTGTGGATTCATCTCGCAGAGTTAAACATTTCTTTTGATACTGCAGGTTGGAAACAGTCTTTGTGGAAAATCTGTGATGGGACATTTAAGAGCCCTTTTAGGTCTATGGGGCAAAACGGAATATCCCCAGATAAAAACTAGGAAGAAGCTATTTGTGAAACTGCTTAGAGATATGTGGATTCATCTCACAGAATTTACCCTTTCTTTTGACTCAGGAGGTTAGAAACACATCTATTTGGAGAATCTGCAAAGGGACATTTGAAAATCCATTGAGGCCTATGGGGAAATACTGAAAATGTTTTGTGATATGTGGATTCATCTCACAGAGTTAAACCTTTCCTTTGATTCAGCAGGTTGGAGACACTTTTTTGAGAATATATGAAGGGATATTTGGGAGCCCATTTTAGCCTATGGAAGGAAAACGAATATGCCCAGAAAAAAAACTACAAAGAAGCTATCTGTGTAACTGCTTGGTGATCTGTGAATTTATCTCTCAGAGTTAAACCTTTCTTTTGATTCAACAGATTGGAAACATTCTTTTGGTAATATTTGTGAAGGAACATTTGGGAGCCCATTGAGGCCTATAAGGAGAAGCCGAATATTTTCAGATAAAAACTGGAAAGAAACCACCTTTAAAACTGCTTTGTGATGTGCGGATTCAGCTCACAGAATTAAAACTTTCTATTGATTCAGCAGGTTGGAAACACTTTATTCATAGAATCTGTGAAATGATATTTTTGAGTCTAATGAAGCCTAATGGAAAAAAAACTGAATTTTCTCAGATAAAAACTTGAAAGAAGCTATCTGTGAAACTACTTTGTGATGTGTGGATTCATCTCAGAGAGTTAAACCATTCTTTTGACTTAGCAGGTTGGAAACCCTTTTTGGAGAATATACGAAGGGATATTTTTGAACCCATTGTAACCTATGGAAAAAAAAAACAATTATCCCCAGATAAAAACTAGAAAGAATCTATCTGTGAAGCTGATTTATGATGTGTGGATTCATCTCACAGAGTTAAACCATTCTTTTGATTCAGCAGTTTGGAAATACTCTTTTTTGGAGAATCTGTGAGTGGACATTTGGAAGCCCACTGAGGCCTACTTGGAAAAACTGAATATCTCCAGATGAAAACTAGAAAGAAGCCATCTGCAAAACTTGTTTGTGATGTGTGGATTCGTCTCACAGAGCTAAACCTTGCTTTTGATTCAGCATGTTGGAAACACTCTTTGTGGAGAATCTACAAAGGGACATATGGGAGGACTTTGAGGACTATGGGGAAAATCAATATCCCCAGAAAAAAACTGAAAAGAAGCCATCTGTTAAACTGCTTTGTGATGTGTGGATTAACCTCACGGTATTAAATGTGTCTTTTTATTCTGCAGGTTTGAAACATGCTTCTTCTAGAATCTACAAAGTGACATATGGGAACTCATAGGGCCTATATCGAAAAAATGAATATCCTCAGATAAAAACAAGAAAGAAGGTCTCTGTGAAACTGCTTTATGATGTGTGGATTCTTTTCACAGACTTAAAATTTTCTTCTGTTCAGGAGGTTGTAGTAGCCCATTGAGGCCTATGTTGAAAAACAGAATATCCCCAGATAAAACTAGAAAGAAGACATCTGTGAATCTTCTTTGTGATGTGTGGATTCATCTTACAGAGTTAAACCTTTCTTTTGATTTAGCAGGTTGGAAACACTCTTTTTGGAGAATCTGAAAAGGTACAGTTGGGAACTCATAGTTGACTGCAAGGATAGATCAAATATCCTCAGATAAAAATTAGAAAGAAGCTATCTGTGAAATTGCTTGGTAATGTGTGGATTCATCTTGCAAAGTTAAATATTATTTTTAACTCAGCAGGTTGGAAAGACTCTTTTTGTAAAACATGCAAAGGAACATGAGGGAGCCCACTGAGGCTTAGAGGAAAAATAGAATACCCCCAGAGAAAACTAGAAGGAAGCTATCTGTGAAATTGGTTTGTGATGTCTGGATTCATCTCACAGAGTTAAAACTTTCTTTTGAATCAGCAGGTTGGAGACACTATTTTACTAGAATCTCAAAGGTACACTTGGAATCTCATTGAGGCCTATGGGGAAAAACAGAATATCCCCAGAGAAAAAGTAGAAAGAGATTATCTGAGAAACTGCTTTGTGATGTGTAGATGTATCACACAGAATTAAATATGTCATTTCATTCAACAAGTTGGAAAGGCTCTTTCTGGAGAATCTGAGAAGGGACATTTTGGAGCCCTTTGAGATCTATGGGGAAAAACTGAATATCCCCAGATATAAACTAGAAACAAGCTGTCTGTGAAACTTTCTTGTGATGTGTGGATTCATCTTACAGAATTAAACCTTTCTATGATTTAGCAGGTTAGAAACATTCTTGTTGGAACATCAGCAAAAGGACAGTTTGTAGCCCATTGAGGCCTATGAGGAAAAACCAAATATCCCCAGATAAACACTAGAACGAAGCTATCTGTGAAAGTGCTTTGTGATGTGTGGATTCATCTCACAGACTTAAGACGTTCTTTTGATTCAACAGTTTGGAAATACTCTTCGGAGAATATGCGAAGGGACAGTTAGGAGCCCATTGAGGTCTATGAGAAAAAAGCAAATATCCCTGGTAAAACCTATAAAGAAATTATCTGTGAAATGGCTTTGTGATGTGTGGATTCATCTAACAGAATTAAACTTTTCTTTTGATTCAGCAGGTTGGAAATACTGTTTTTGGAGAATCTGTGAAGGGACATTTGGGAGCCCATTGAGGCCTATGGGGAAAACTGAATATCTCCGGATAAAAACTAGAAAGAAGCTATCTTTGAAACTGGTTTGTCATGGGAGGATTCATCTCAGAGGGTTACCCTTTCTTTCGATTCAGCAGGTTGGATATGCTTTTTTAGAGAATCTGCAAAAGATGTTTTCAATCCCATTGAGGCCTGTTGGAAAAATCGAATACCCCTAGATGAAAACTAGAGAGTACCTATCTGTGCAACTCATTTGTGATGTGTGGATTCATCACACAGACGTAAAACTTTGTTTTGATTCAGGAGGTTGGAAACAGACATTTTGAAGAATCTGCAAGGAAACTTTTGGGAGTCATTGAGGCTTATGAGTAAAAAGTGAATATCCCTAGATAAAAAATAACAACAAACTACCAGTGAAACTGGTTTGTGTTGTTTGGATTCATCTCATAGATTTAAATCTTTCTTGTGATTCAGCTAGTTGGAAACACTTTTTTTTTTTTTTGGATAATTATTGAAGGGATATTTGGGAGCCCTTTGAGTCCCATGAGGTAAAACAGAATATCCCCAGGTAGAAACTAGAAAGCATCTATCTGGGAACTGCTCTGTGATGTGTGGATTTATCTCACAGAGTTCAAACTTTCTTTTCATCAAGCAGGTTGGAAACTCTTATTTTGCAGAATCTTCTAAGGGGTAATTTGGAGCCTGTCGTGGCCTATATGTAAAAACCGAATATTTCCAGATGAAAAATACAAAGGAACAATCTGAGAAACTGCTTTGTTATGTGTGGATTCATCTCACAGAGTTAAATCTTTCTTTTGATTCCTCAAGTTGAAAACTCTCTTTTTGGAGAATTTGCAAAGGGACACATGTGATCTCATTAAGGCTGATGGGTAAAAACCAAATATCACCAGATTAAAAAAAGAAAGAAGCTATCTGTGAAACTGCTTTGAGCTGTGTGGATTCATCTCTCATAATTAAACCTTTCTTTTGATTCAGCAGGTTGGAAACACTTTTTTGGAGAGTTTGCAAAAAGACATTTGGGAGATGATTAAATCCTATAAGTTAAAATCGAATATCCCCAGATGAAAACTAGAACAAAGGTATCTGTGAAACTTCTTTGAATGTGTGGATTCCTCTCAAAAGAGTTAAACCTTTGTTTTGATCCAGCAGATTGGAAACATAATTTTTGTAGAATCTGTGAAGGGACATTCGGGAGCCCATTGACATCTATAATTAAAAACAAA
This sequence comes from Homo sapiens, assembly GCF_000001405.40. NCBI lineage: Eukaryota > Metazoa > Chordata > Mammalia > Primates > Hominidae > Homo > Homo sapiens. Next base: position 39,080,233 of record NC_000010.11, read on the forward strand.
TATCCCCAGATAAAAACTAGAAAAAAGCTATCTGTGAAACTGCTTTCTGATGTGTTGATTCGTCTCACAGATTTAAATTTTCTTTTGATTCAGCAGGTTGGAATCACTCTTTTTGGAGAATCTGCGAAGGGACATTTGAGACTCCATTGAGGCCTATGGGGAAAAATCAAATATTTACAGGTAAAACCTAGAAAGAATCTGTCTGTGAAACTGCTTTGTGTGTAGCACTCATCAGACCCAACACCAGATTGTGGGCATGATGACGTCTGTCAGAGTGAATGGAATGAGAAAAAGACATGCAAGCCCTGCCTCAGCTCCTCCCAACACTTAGCTTTTCTCCCACCATGCCCCCCTTCGTTTTTGTAAAAACTACCAAAGCTGTCATTATTATTATCATAAGGTGTCCTTGTTTTTAAATTAATTGAGTAAGACAATTGCAGGCTGTCCAGCCCTTAATTGCCAGTTGATGATCCAGCTTCATTTTTCTTAGCCCTTATTCAAAATGGAGTCTCTGGTTTGAATGCTTCCTATATATCTCCCCTTTCCCTTTTACAAGAGGACCCTTAATCCTAGGGGTTGCAGGAGGATGAAGGTCCATCTTCTGTAACTTCTTCATGCTGAATAGGGGCATTGATACTCCTGCCTACATATTTGTGTCTCTTGTATTCAGGGTAGAGAGGAGTTCAGTAAGAAAGCATTGGTCTGTCAAGCGTCTGCAGGTAAAATCTTGCATTCCAGTGGTTTCTCAGCATGGCTCATACTGGGGAAACCCGGTCCATGGTTGGGATCCATGGGTCCTTCCAGTCTCCTGTTCCATGGTCATACACGTCTTGAGGGCATCTACATGGTTTGTTTATCTTCTGCAAAAACACAAGCATACCCTCACCCTCACGTTAGTAAATCTACTGAAACAAAAGCAAAAGCTTTGCTGGCTGTAGCCTGGAGGCATGCCATTGCTGAAGCATTTGTAACTCAGCTTCTGCCTCTTTGGTTAATTACTGCAGGGTAAGACTTACCATTGATAATGAGAAGCAGGCCCCTTCTAACAGAAGGCACAGAGAAACCAAATCAAGGCTTAAAAGCAATCATTAAACCTCCTATTTGCCCTGTACAGTTGGGTCCACTAGATGCTGTGGCTCCTGATAGATTTTCAGATGTTGGATGGGCACCCATACAGGCACCTGATTATCACCTGGAGAGACACAAACAAATCCTCTTCCTCATAAAATTATCTTTCCTTTTTCCCAGCTCTTCGTATATGCATAACTCCACCATATATCTTGTCCAGCCTTTTTATTTTCCTTTCATTCTGTCAGGTGTTGTTCAGCTGCAGTCATGGGTTGACCTTTTTGAAAATAAGAAAAAAATAATGTTAATAAAGCTAAATGCAATTGCATATGTGGTGTCTTATATTCCTGGTCCCCTCACTTTTGCTGTTGTATTTGAGTTTTTAAAGCAGTATTACTCTTTCCACTATTGCTTGTCCTTGTAAGTTATATAGAATACCTATAATATGGGTAATATTCCACTGTTGAAAAAATGTAGCCATGGTTTACTACAGTATCCTGGGCCATTATTGGTTTTGATTTTTTTCTGGGATTCCTATAACTGAAAAGCAAGATAAAAGGTGTCTTTTAACATGAGCTGTGGCTTTCCCTGTTTGACATGTGGCCCAAATAAAATGTGAATAGGTATCTACTGAAACGTGAACAAAGGACAATTTTCCAAAAGCAAGAATATGTGTACCATCCATCTGCCACATGGAATTTGGAGATAAACCTCTAGGGTTAACTCCTGTTCACTGATGTGGCAGATGCAGGACTTGGCAGGCAGAAAAGTGTTGCACAATTTCTTTAGCTAGTTTTCATGATAGATCATGTATTTTTCGAAGACATATATATGCAAAACAAACATATTGCTGTGGAAGACCTACAAATCCATCAGAAAAAAACAATAATGACCCCTTCAACAGGGGCTTTTTGAGTAATAGAAGGCAATATCCAGGATGTTTATTTTAGAAACTGGAAGATTTTACACTTAGGATAATGACTATGAAAAATGCCAACAAAACCAGCCAAATTAAGCAGACTTTCTTGGGAATTAATATAGGCTTGTTGAATTTTTTGTTTTGTTAATGGAACTATAATCTGATTTGGATCATATCTCATTAATTTTGTTAACTAATGGAGCAGTAAGTTTTTCAGCTAATTTATTTTCTCACCCATTAAGGGGAAAGAGAGCAAGTGGCCATTCAATTAATTCACTGGATGTAGCTGACAGGCTAGTAAAATAAGCTTTTTTTTTAGTTTGCCTTTCTTTTCTTTAATCTCCTCCAGTATCTGTTCCTCATGCTCAGAGCCTGAAGTCAGTTTTTTACACTCATCCTCCTCTTGCTCATTGGAATCTACCTCATCATCTGTTTGAAATGGCTCAAGAGCTGTTTTTATTAGTGCCCACATTGACCAAATGGAAACTGGAATTTCTGCTCCATCTTTATACGCTTCTTTAAAATATCTTACAATTCTCTCCCATTCATCCAACTCCATTTTCTCTTGTTCAGGAAACCATTGGCAAAACTGCTTTACTGTACTAAAGAGTGATAAAAAGTTCTGATTACTAACTTTCTCTCCTCCTCTTCGTAATAAATGTCTTAAGATATTTAAATAAGCAGAATGTCTGCTTTCACCTTCTCCCATTTATACCCAAATTCTTCCAAGTGCTCAGCTTACCACGGGGCTTCTGTTAGATGTCTTCAGGTGTCCTTTGAAGATGTGTCCTCTGCTTTCACACTCTCTAGCATTCCTTCATCGGGGTCTTTGTCACCCCACTTTTCTTAGGCAGGGATGCTGGGATGATCAGACCCAAAACCAGGCCATGGGGGTGGCGACGTCTGGCAGAGTCAAATAAATGAGAGAAAGACAGTTTGAGACACAAAGTGTGACAAGGGGGCTATTGTGAGTGCAAAGGCTGCAAAGGCCCCGAGCTCTGGGAGTCCAAACTATTGACTGGTGCACAAACAAACCAACAGGTTGTGAAGAAGTGGGGGTTGAAATGAAACAGCATATCATCTGAATGAGTAACATATTTCTGCTTGAGATAATGGGAGTGCAAAAGGCAAGGAGCAAGCAAGCCTAGGAGACATGCAAGGCCTGCCTCAGCTTCTCTCCCAACACTCAGCTTTTCTCCCAACATTGTGTTGTGTCGATTCCTCTCACAGAGGTAACCTATTCTTTTGATCCAGCATGTTGGAAACACTATTTTTGGAGAAACATTGAAGGAACATTTGAGAGCCCATCAAGGCCTATGGGTAAAAACAGGATATCCACAGATAAAAACTAGAAGGAAGCTATCTGTGAAACTACTATGTAATACGTGGATTCATCTCACAGAGTCAAATCTTTCTTTTGATTCAGCATATTGAAACCACTCTTTTTAGAGAATATGCAAATAAATACTAGGGAGATGTTTAACGCCTATGGCAAAAAACAAAATATCCTCACATAAAAACTAGGAAGAGCCATCTGTGAAACAGCTTTGTGATATATGGATTCATCTTACAGGATTAAAGCTTTTTTTTTTTTTTTTTTTATTCAGCAGGTTGCAAACACTCTTTTTGTAGAATTTGTGAAGGGACATTTTGGAGCCCATTGACGCCATTGGGAAAAAACAAATATACCCAGACAAAAACTAGAAAGAAACTATCTGTGAAACTTCTTTGTGATGTGTGGATTCATCTCAAAGAGGTAAATTTTTTGGATTCAGCAGTTTGGAAACACTCTTTTTTTTTTTTTTTTTTTTTGAGACAGAGTCTTGCTCTTTCTCCCAAGCCGGAGTTCAGTGGTGCTATCTTGGCTCACTGCAAGCTCCTCCTCCTGGGTTCACGCCATTCTCTGGCCTCAGCCTCCTGAGTAGCTGGGACTACAGTCACCCACCACTGCACCTGGCTATTTTTTTGTATTTTTAGTAGAGACGTGGTTTCACCATGTTAGCCAGGATGACCTCGATCTCCTGACCTCATGATCCACCCACCTTGGCCTCCTAAAGTGCTAGGATTACAGGCATGAGCCACCTCACCTGGCCTGTAAACACTCTTTTTGGAGAATCTGCAAAGAGAAATTTAAGAGCCTATTAAGAACTATAAGGATAAACTGAATATTCCCAGATAAAAACTTGAAAAAAACTATCTGTGAAACTGCTTGGTGATGTGTGGATGTATCTTACAGAGTTAAACCTTATTTTTGATTAAGCACTTTGGAAACACTCTTTTTTGGAGAATCTGCAGAGGGACATTAGGGAGCCCATTGAGGCACATGAGGATAAACTGAATAAACCCGGATAAAAACTACAAGGAAGCTATTGGTGAAAATGCTTTGTGATGTGTGAATTTATCCCACTGAGTTAAACCTTTCCTTATATTCATCAATTTGGAAACGATCTTTCTGGAGAATCTGAGAAGTGACATTTTGGTAGTCATAGAAGCCTCTGGGGAAAAACCTAATATTCCCAGTTAAAAACTAGAAAGATGCTATCTGTGAAACTGCTTTGTGTTGTGGAGATTCATCCTACAGGGTTAAAGCTTTCTTCTGATCCGACAGTAGGAAACACCCTTTTTGGAGAATCTGCAAAGGAACACTTAGGAGCCCATTGGGAAAAACTGAAGAACCCAAGATAAAACTTAGAGAGAATCTATCTGTGAAATCACTTTGGGATGTGTGGATTCATCTCACAGAAATAAGACTTTCTTTTGATTCAGCAGGTTGGAAACGCTCATTTTAGAGAATCTGCTAAGGGAAATTTTGGAGCCCATTGTGGCCAACGGATAAAAACTGAATATTTCCAGGTAAAAACTATAGAGAAGCTATCTGTGAAACTGCTTTGTGTTGTGTCAATTCATCTCACAGAGTTAAACGTTTCTTATGATTCAGCAGGTTGGAAAAACTTTTTTAGCAGAATCTGTGAAGGGACATTTGGGAGTAGTTTGAGACCTATGGTGAAAAATGGAATATCCCCAGATAATCACTAGAAAGGAGCTATCTGTGAAACTGCTTTGTGATGTGTGGATTTATCACAGAGAGTTAAACGTTTTTCTGATTCAGCAGGTTGGAAACACTCTTTTGTAGAATATGCAAACGAACTTTTGTGAAACCATTGATTGCTATGGGGAAAAACGGGATATACCCAAATAATAACCAAAAAGAAGCTATCAGAGAAACTGCTTTGCGATGTGTGCTTTCCTCTCCCGGAGATAAATTCTTTCCTGTTGATGCAGCAAGTTGGAAATACTATTTTTGAAGAATCTGCGAGGAGATATATGAGAGCCCATTGAAGCCAATGGGGAAACACATAATATCCCCAGATAAAAATTCAAAAGAAGCTATCTGTGACACTGCTTCAGGATGTGTGGATTCTTCTCACAGGATTAATTCTTCCTTTTCATTCACCAGGTTGGAAGCACTCCTTTTCCAGAATCTGTGAAAAAAAACTTAGGAGCCCATTGAGGGCTAAGGGGAAAAACTAAATATCCCCAGATAAAATTTTGAAACTGCTTTGTGATGTGTGGATTCATCTCACAGAGTTAAACCATTGTTATAATTCAACAGGTTGTAAACGCTCTTTTTGGAGAATTTGCAAGTGAACATTTTGCAACCTATTGTGGCCTATAAGGAAAAACTTATTATCCCCAGATAAAAACTAGAAAGAAGCTATCTGTGAAACTGCTTTGTGATGTGTGGATTTTTCTGACACAGTTAATACTTTTTTTTCATCTAGCAGGCTTGAAACAGTATTTTTGTAGAATCTGTGAAGGAAAATTTTTTGGCTCATTGAGCCCTAAGGGAAAAACCAATATACACAGACAAAAACTATAATGAAGTTTTCTGTGAAACTACCTTGGGATTTGTGGATTCATCTCACAGAGTTAAAACTTTCTTTTCATTCAGCAGCTTGGAAACCCTTGTTTTACAGAATCTGTGAAGGGACATTTGGAAGCCCATTGAGACCTAGGAAAAGAACAAATATCTTCAAGGAAAAACTAGTAAGAAGCTATCTATGAAACTTCTTTGTGATGTGTGAATTCCTCTCTGAGAGTTAAAGTTTTATTTTTAATCACTAGGTTGGAAACACTCTTTTTGGAGAATATGTGAAGGGACATTAGGGGGTCATTGAGGCCTAAGGGGAAAAACTGAATATCCCCAGATAAAAACTAGAATGAAATTGTCTGTGAAACTGCTTTGGGATGTGTGGAATCTTCTGACAGTGTTACACCTTTTTTGATTCAGCAGGTTGGAAACACTCTTTTTGGAGTCTCTGCTAAGTGATAAAAACTAGAAAGAAGCTATCTGTGAAACTGATTTTTGACATGTTGATTCATCTCACAGAGTTAAAACTTTATCTTGATTAAGCAGAAGATAAATACTTTTTTTGGAATATCTGTGAGGGGACATTTGGGAACCCAATGAGACCTATATGGAAAAACAAAATACACCAGATAAAACTAAAATGAAGCTATTTGTAAAATTGCCTGTGATGTGTGGATTTCACCTCACAGAGTTGAACCTTTCTTTTGATTCAGCAGGTTGGAAACACTGTTTTTGGAGAATCTTTGAATAAATATTTGGGAGTCCATGGGTGTGTAAAAGGCAAAACCAATATCCAAAGATAAAAAGTAGAAAGAAGCTATCTGTGAAACTCCTTTGTGATGTGTGGATTCATCTCACAGAGTTAAACCTTTGTTTTGATTCAGCGGGTTGGAAACACACTTTTGGAGAATCTGCAAAGGGACACTTGGCAGCTCATTGAGGTCCATGGGGAAAAACAGGATATCCCCAGATAGAAACTAGAAAGAAGCTATCTGTGAAACTCTTTTTTGATGTGTCGATTTATCTCAGAGTGTTAACACATTTTTGTGATTCAGCAGGTTGGAAACATCAGTTCTGTAAAACGGTGAAGGGAAATTTTGGACTCCATCGAGGTTTATGTTTAAAATTGCATATCCCCAGATAAAATCTAGAATGAAGTTATCAGTGAAACTGCTTTGTGATGTGTGGATTCATCTCACAGAGTTAAAACTTTATTTGATTCAGCAGGTTGGAAACACACTTTTTGGTGAATCTGCAAAGGTACATTTTAGAGCAGATTGAGGCCTATGCAGTACAACTGAATATCCCCAGGTAAAAACTGTAAAGAATGTATCTGTGAAATTGCTTTGTGATGTGTGGAATTATCCCACAGAGTTAAAACATTTTTTGAGTCAGTACGTTGGAAACACTCTTTTTGTAGTATTGTGAAGGGACCTTTGTGAGCCCATTGAGGCCTATGGGGAAAAACAGAATATCCCAGATAAAAACTAGAAAGAAGTTATCTGTAGAACTGTTTTTGATGTGTGCATTCATCTCACGGAGTTAAACCTTTCTTTTGACTCAGGAGGTTGGAAACACTTTTTTTTGGAGAATCTGGGACTAGACATTTTGGAGTCCATATTGGTATACTTGAAAAAAAATGAATATCCTCACACAAATCTAGACAGAGACTCTCAGTGCAATTTCTTTGTGATGTTTTAAGAAAAAAAAAAAACAAAAACAAAAATAAAGCTACCTGTTAAACTGTTTTGTTTTACTTGGATTAATCTCAAAGAGTTAAACCTTTCTTTTGATTCAGTGGGTTGGAAACATCTTATTAGAGAATCTGTGAAGGTACATTTGGGAGCATATTAAGTCCTGCAGGTTGGAAACCCTCTTTTTGGAGAATCTGTGGAAGGACACATGGGAGCCCATTGAGACCTATGGGGGAAAAAAAAATCTCCTGATAAAAACTAGAAAGAAGTTATCTGTGAAGGAGCTTTGTGATGTTTGGATTCATCTCATAGAGTTAAACCTTTCTTTAGATTCAGGACATTGGAAACACTCTTTCTGGAGAATCTGCAAAGGAACATTTGTGATCCCAGTGGGGCCTGTGGGGAAAAACTGAATATCCCCAGATAAAAACTGGAAAGAAGCCCTGTGTGAAACTGCTTTCTGATGTATGGATTCCTCTCACAGAGTTAAACCTTTCTTTTGATTCATCACGTGGCAAAAACTATTCTTGTAAAATGTGTGAATGAAAGTTTTGAAGCTTTTTGAGGCCTACAGGGAAAAACAGAATATTTGCAGATAAAAGCCAGAAATAACCTATTGGTGAAATTCTTTCATGAAGTTTGGATTCCTCACACAGAGCTAAATTTTTCTTTTTATTCATCAGCTTGGAAATTCTCTTTTTTGAGAATCAGCAGGGAGATATTTGGGAGCCCATTGAGGACTATGGGGAAAAACTGAATATCCCAAGATAAAAACTAGAAAAGAGCTATCTGTGCATCTGTTTTGTGATGTGTAGATTCTTCTCACAGGGTTAAACCTTACTTTTGAATCAGCAGGTTGGAAACCCTCTCTTTTTGTAGAATCTGCCATGGGGCAGTTTGGAACCTTTTGAATCTGATGAGGAAATATCGAATATCCCTAGATACAAACTAAAAAGAAGCTAACTGTAAAACTGCTTTGAAATGTGTGGATTAACCTCACAGAGTAAGAACTTTCTTTTGTTTCAGCAGGTTGGAAACACTCTTTTTGGAGAATCTGCGAAGGTACATTTTAAAGCCTTTAGAGGCCTAGACAAAAACAGAATATCCCCAGATGAAAACGAGAAAGAAGCTCTTTGTGGAACTGCTTTGGGATGTGTGGATTCAACTCACAGAGTTAAACATTTCTTTTGATTCAGAAGGTCAAAAAACTGTTTTTGGATAATCTGCAAAGGGACATTTGGAAGCCTAATGAGTCCTACAGTGCAAAACGGAATATCCCAAGATAAAACTAGAAAGAGGCTATCCATGAAATTGGTTTTTGATGTGTGGATTCACCTCACAGTGTTCAACCATTCTTTGGTTTACCAGGCTGGAAACAGTCTTTCTGGAGAATCTGCAAAGGGACAAATGGGAGCCAATTGAAGCCAACGGGGAAAAACCAAATATCCACACATTAAAACTAGAAAGAAGCTATCCATGAAACTGCTTTATGATGTGTGGATTCCTCTCACAAAGTAAACCATTCTCTTGATTCTGTAGCTTGGACACACTATTTTTGTAAAATCTGTGAAGGGAAATTTGGAAGCCAATTGAGGCCTATGGGTAAAAGTGAATATCCCCAGATAAAAACAAAGAAAATGTTATTTTTGAAACTGTTTTGTGATGTTTGGATTCATTGCAAAGTGGTAAATCTTTCTTTTCATTCACTACATTGGAAACTCTCTTTTTGGTGGTTCTGCGAGTGGACACTTGTGAGTCCATTGTGCCTTGTGGGGAAAATTTGAACATCCCAGATAAAAACTACTAAGAAGCTATCCATGAAACTTCTTTGTGATGTGTGGATTAATATCACAGAATTAAAACTTTCTTTTTATTCAACAGGTTGGACACACTGTTTTTGGAGAATTTGCAAAGGGACATTTGGGATCCTATTGAGGCCTATGAAGAAAAATGGAATATCCCCAGATAAGAACTAGGAAGAAGGTATCTGAGAAACTGCTTTGAGATGTGTGGATTCATCTCACAGGGTTAAATATTTCTTTTAATTCAGCAGAATCTCATTTTGCAGATTCTATGATGTGACATTTGAGAGCCCTTTGAGGCCTATGGAAAAAACAAAATAAACCACATAAAAACAAGAAAGAAGCTATTTGTGTAACTGCTTTGTGATGTGTGTTGGTCTCACAGGGTTAAATCTTTCTTTTGATTCAGCAGGTGTGATGTGTGCATTTATCATACAGAGATAAAACTTTCTTTTGATTCAGCCAGTTGGGATCACTCTTTTTGGAGAATCTGTGAAGGGACATTTGGGAGCCCATTGATGCCTATGGGGAAAAGCTGAGAATCCCCAGATAAAAACTAGAAAGAAGCTATCTGTGAAACTGTTTTGTGATGTGTGGATTCATCATGCAGAGATAAACCTTTCTTTTGATTCATCTGGTTGGCATCACTCTTTTTGGAGAAATCTGGGGGACATTTGGGAGCCCATTTTGGCCTGTGGGGAAAAAACAAATATTACCAGATAAAAATTAGAAAGAAGCAATCTGTGCAACTGCTTTTGATGCATGGATTTATTCTTTCAGCAGGTTAGAATCACTGTCTTGGTGAATCAGCAAAGGGACATTTGACAGCCCTGTTTAACCTATGGGGAAAAGGTGAGTATCCCCAGATAAAAAGTAGAAAGAAGCTCTCTGTTAAACTGCTTTGTGATCTGTGGATTCTGTTCACAGATTTAAACCTTTGTTTTCATTCATCAGGTTGTAAACACTCTTTTTGGAGAATCTGCATAGAGACATTGGGAGCCCATTGGGTCCTATGGGGAAAAACTGAATATCCCCAGATAAAAACTAGAAAGAAGTTATCTGTGAAACTGCTTAGTGAAGTGTGGATTCATCTCACAAAGTTAAACCTTTTTTTTTCTTTCAAAAGGTTATAAACACTTTTTTGAATTATGTGCAAAAAATTATGTGAGACAATTGAGGCATAAGGGGAAAAGATGAAAATTCCCAGATAAAAATTAGAAGGAGGCTTTTTGTAAAAGATTTGTGAAGTGCAGATTAATATAACAGATTTAAACCATTCTTTTGAAAGAGCTGGTTGGAAAAACTCTTTTTAAAGATTCTGTGAATGGACATTTAGAACCCCATTGAGTCCTATGGAGATAATCCAAATATCCCCAGATGAAAACTGGAAAGAAGCTATGTGTGAAACTGCTTTGTGATGTATGGATTCATCTTACAGATTTAAAACTTTTCTTTGATTCCACCGATTACAAACACTCTTTTTGTAGTGTCTGAAAAGGGACATTTTGGAGACTATAGAGGCATAGGGGAAAAAAATATCCCAAGATAAGAACTAGAAATAATTTATCTGTGAATCTACTTTTAGAAGTGTGCATTCATCTCACACAGTTAAACATTTCTTTTGATTCAGCAGGTTGGAAAAACTCTTTTTGCAGGATCTGCAAAAGGGCATTTGGGATCCCATTGAGGCCTATCAGGAAAAAACAGAATATCCCCAGATAAAGACTAAAAGGAAACTGTCTGTGAAACTGCTTTGTGATGTGTGAATTCATCTCACAGAGTTACACCATTCTTTTTATTCAGCAGGTTGGAAACACTGTTTTTGGAGCTTCTGCGAAGGGACATTTTGTAGCCCATTGAAGCTTATGGGAAAAATCTGAACATCCACAGATAAAAACTAGAAAGTATTAATCATTAAAGCTGCTATGAGATGTGTGGATTCATCTCACAGAGTTAAAGATTGCTTTTGGTCAAGCAGGTTGGAAACACTCTTTTTGAAGAATCTGTGATGGGACATTTGGGAGCCTGTTGAAGCCTATGAAGAATAACTGAATATGCCCAGATAAGAACTAGAAAGAAGCTCTCTTACAAACTGCTTTGGGATGTGTGGATTCATCTCAAAGAGTTAAATCCTTCTTTTAATTCAGCAGATTATACATACTCTTTTTATAGAATTTATGAAGGCATATTTCAGACCTCATTGAGGCCTAAGGGAAAAAAAGAAGTATACCCACATTAAAATTCTACTTTGTGATTCATGTATTCATCTCACAGAGTTGAACCCTACTTTTGATTCAGCAGGCTGGCAACACTGTGGAGAACATGCAAAGGGACATTTGGGAGCCACAATAGGCTTACAGGGAAAAATTCAAATATCTTCAGATATAAACTGGAAAGAATCTATCTGTGAAATGGCTTTGTGGTGTGTGGATTAATCTCACAGTTTTAAACCTTTCTTTTGGTTTAGCGTGTTGAAAACACTCTTTTTGTAGAATCTGTGAAGAGACATTTGGGAAACCATTGTGGCCAATGGGGGAAAAAAGGAATAGCCTAAATAAAAACTAGAAAGAATTTACCTTAAAACTACTTTGTAATGTGTAGATTCGTCTCACAGATTCAAACATTTCTTTTGATTCAGCTGGTTGGAAACATTGTTTTTGGAGAATCTGTGAAGGGACATTTTGGTGCCCATTAACACCTATGGGGAAAAACTGAATATACCCTAACAAAAACTAAAAAGAATTTCCCTATGAAACTGCTTAGCGTTGTGTGGACTCATCTCACAGACTGAATCCTTTCTTTTGATTCAGCCAGTTGAAAACACTCTTATTGTACACTCTGCGAAGAGACATTGAAGTGTAGCCCCCAAAAACTGAATATTCCCAGATAAAAACTAGAAAGAAGCTGTCTGTGAAACTGCTTTGTGATATTTGGATTCAGCTACAGAAATAAACATTTATTTTGATTCAACAGGTTGGAAATAGTCTTTTGGAGAATTTTCCAAGAAACATTTGGGAGCCCATTGATGTTTGTGGAAAAACCGAATATCCCCTGATAAAAACTAGAAAGAAGGTATCTATGAAAATGCTTTGTGATTTGTGGATTCATCTTATAAATTTAAACCTTTCCTTTGATTCAACAGATTGGAAACACACTTTTATAGAATCTGCAAAGGGAAATGTGGTAGGCATTTGAGACCTATTTGAAAAAATTGAATATCCCCAGATAAATATTGGAATGAAGCTGTCTGTGAAACTGCCTTGTGATGTGTGGATTCATCACACAGAATTAAAACTTTCTTTTATTTAGAGGATGGAAACACTCTTTTTCTAGCATCTGTGAAATGACATTTGGGAGCACATTGAGGCTTATGGGAGAAAACAGAATCTTCCCAATAAAAATTAGAAAGGAGATATTTGTGGAATGGCTTTGTGATTTGTGACATTTGGGACATTTGGGGACCCAGTGAGGCATATGAGGAAAAACTGCTTATCCCCAGATATAAACCAAAAAGAAGCTGCCTGTGAAAGTGTCTTGTTATGCGTGGATTCATATCACAGAGTTAAACCTTTCTTTTGATTCAGCAGGATGGAAACACTCTTTTTAGAGAATCCACCAAGGGACATTGCAACAATCATTGAAACCTATGGGGAAAAAAGTGAATATCCCCAGATAAAAATTAGAAAGAAGCTATTTGTGACTGTGCTTTGTGATGTTTGGATTTATCTCACAGTCTAAAATTTTCTTTTGATTTAGCAGGATGGACACACTATTTTTTGAGACTATGCAAAGGGACATTTGGGAACCCATTGAGGATTTCTGGGAAAAACTGAAAATCCCGATACAAACTAGAAAGAAGTGATCTGTGAAACTGCTTTGTAATGTGTGTATTCATCTCGCAATGTTAAAACTTTCTTCTGATTCAGCATGTTAAAAACGCTCTTTTTGGCGAATCTGTGAAGGGACATTTGATCACCCATTGAGGCTTATGGGGAAAAATTGAATAACCCCAGATAAACATATAAGAAGGTATCTGTGAAATGGCTTTGTGATGTTTGGATTCATCTTAGAGTGGATAATTTTCCTTTTGATTCATCAGATTCAGAAGACCTTTTTGCAGAATCTGTGAAGGGACATTTGGGAGCCCATTTATGCCTATGGAAAAAAAGAAAAAACAAATCTCCTCAAATAAAAACTAGAAGGAAGCTGTCTATGAAACTGCTTTTTGATGTGTGGATTCATCTCACTGAGCTATTTTTTTTCTTTTGATTCAGCAGAAGGTAAACACTCTTTTTGGAGAATCTGCAAAGACATATTTTGAAGCCCATTGAGGCTATCCAGTAAAAACTAAATATACCCAGATAAAAACTAAAAAGGCACTATCTGTAAAACTGCTTTGAGATGTATAGATTCATCTCACAGAGTTGAACCTTTCTTTGGATTCAGCAGGTTTGAAACACTCTTTTTGGAGAATCTGTGAAGAAATATTTGAGAGTACATGGATGGCTTTGGGGGTAATACAGAATGTCCACAGATAAAAATCACAAATAAGTTATCTGTGAAACTTCTTTGTGATGGGTGGATTCATCTCAAAAAGTTACAACGTTCTTTTGATTGAGCAGGTGGAGAACACTCTTTTGGAGGATAAGTGATGCTACATTTGGGAGCCCACTGAGGCCTATGAGGAAAAACTGAATATCCCCAGATAAAAACTTGAAATAAGCTATCTGTGAAGCTGCTTTGTGATGGGTAGATTCATCTCGCAGAATTAAAGGTTTTCTTTGATTCAACAGATTGCAAACACTCTTTTGGAGAATCTGTGAAGGGGCAATTTTTAACCCACTGAGGCCTAGGGGAAAAACTGGATATTCCCAGGTGAAAACTAAAAGGAAGCTAACTGTGAAACGTCTTTGTGATGTGTGAAGTTAAAACATACTTTTTATTCAGCAGGTTGGAGACTTTCTTTTTGGAGAATCTGTGAAGGGACATTTTTGGAGCCCATTGTGGCCTAAAAGGAACAACAGAATATCTTCAGGTAAAAACTAGAAAGAAGATATTTTTGAAACTGCTTTGTGATTTGTGGATTCATTTCACAGTGTTAACGTTTTCTTTTTATTCTTCGGGTTGGAAACACTTTTTATGTAGAATGTGTGAAGGGACGTTTGGGAGTTGTTTGAGGAATACAAGGAAAAACAGAGTATCTCCAGATAAAAAGTACAAGGAAGCTATCTCTGAAACTGCTTTGTGATGGGTGGATTCATCTCACAGTGATAAACTTTTATTTGATTCAGCATGATGGAAACACTCATTTTGAGAATCTACAAAGACACATTTGGGAGCACATTGACATCTAGGGAAAACAACAGAATATCCTAAGGTAAAAACAAGAAAGAAGCCATCTGTGAAACTGTTTCATGTTGTGAGGATTCATCTTACAGAGTTAAAGTTTTCTTCTTACTCAGCAGGTTGGAGACACTCTTTTTACAGAATTTGCAAATGGACTCTTGGGAGCCCATTGAGGCATATGGAAAAAAATGGAATATCCCCAGATAATTATTAGAAAGAAGTTATCTGTGAAACTGCTTTGAGGTGTGTGGACTTCTCTCACAGAGTTAAACATTTCTTATGATTTCACAGGTTAAAAACACTCTTTTTGGAAAATATGCAACAAGACATTTTGTAGCCCATTGAGGCCTATGGAAAAAAACAGAATAATCCCAGATAAATACTAGAAAGAAGCTGTCTGGGAAACTGCTATGTGATGTGTGGATTCATCTCACAGAGGAAAACTTTTTTTGATTCAGCAGGTTGGAAACACTCTTCCTGGAAAAATATGCCATGGGACATTTGGGAGCCCTTTGTGGCATATGGGGAAAAACAGAATATCCACAAATAAAAGTAGAAGTAAGCTGTCTGGGAAACTGCTTTGTGATGTGTGGATTTATTTCACAGTGTTAAAACATTCTTTTGATTCAGCAGGTTGGAAACACTCTTTTGGAGAATCTGCGAAGGGACAAATTGTAACCCGCTGAGGCCTCTGGGCAAAAACTGAATAGCCCCAGATAAAAACTAGAAGGAGGTTATCTGTGAAAAGGCTTTGTGACGTGTGGATTAATCTCACAGCATTAAATCTTTCTTATGATTCACAAAATTGCAAATGTTCTTTGAAGAATCTGTGAGGGGACATTTAGGAGCCCATTGAGTCCTACTGGGAAAACAGAATACCTCAAATAAAAACTAGAAAGAAGCTATCTATGAAACTACTTTGTGATCTGTGGATTCTTTGCACCAAGAAAAAACTTTCTTTTGAATCAGTAGTTTGAAAAAAACTCTTTTTGTAGAATCTGTGAAGGGACATTTAGGAGTCCTTTGAGGCCTATGGGGAAAAACTGAATATCACCAGATAAAAAATACTAAGAACCTATCGGTGAAACTGCTTTGTGATGTGTCTATTCATCTCACAGAGTTAAAAATTTCTTTTGATTCAGCAGGTTGGAAACACTCTTTTTGGAGAATCTGTGAGAAAACAATTGGGGGCCCTTTGAGGCCTATGGGGAAAACCAGAATTTTCCCCAGATAAAAATTAGAAACAAAATATGTGTGAAACTGATTTGTGATGTGTGATTCATCAATCATGGTTAAGTCTTTCTTTTGATTCAGCAGTTTAGTAATACCGTTTTTGGAGAATCTGAGAAAAGACTTTTGGGAACCCATTTTGGCCTACATGGGAAAAACAAATGTGCCCAGATAAAATCTACAAAGAAGCTAAGTATGAAACTGCTTTGTGATGTGAGGATTCATCTGAGAGGTAAACTTTTCCTTTGATCAGCATGTTGGAAATACTCTTTTTAAAGAATCTTCAAAGGGAGATTTGGAAGCCCTTTGAGGCCTATGGGGAAAAACAGAGTATCTCCAAATAAACACTGCAAAGAAACTATCTGTGAAACTACTTTGCAATGTGTGGATTCAGCTAACAGGATTAAACCTTTCTTTTCATTCAGCAGGCTGGAAACACAGTTTTTGGAGAATATGCAATGGAACATTTTGGAAAGCATTGAGGCCTATGGGGAAAAATGAAATACCCCAAGATAAAAACTAGAAAGAATCTATCCATAAAATGCTTTGTGATGTGTGGATTCATCTCACAGAGTGAAACCTTCTTTGTGATTCAGCAGGTTGGAAACACCGTTTTGGAGAAACTGCTAAAGGACAATTAATAACCCATTGAGGCCTATGGGGAAAAACAATAAATTCAGATAAAAAATAGAAAGGAGCTATTTGTGAAATGGCTTTGTGATATGCGGATTCGTCTGACAGAGTTAAACTCTTTTTTTTTTAATTCAGCAGGTTGGAAGTTTTCCTTCTGGAGAATCTGCCTGGGGACTTTTTCGTGCCCATTGAGGCCTAATGAGAAAAACTGAATATCTCCAGATAAAAACTAGAATGAAGTTATCTGTGAAATTGCTTTGTGATGTGTGGATTCATCTCACAGAGGTAAAACTTTCTTTTGATTCTACAGGTTAGAACATCTCTTTTGGTAAAATCTGTGAAGGGATATTTGGAAGCCCATTGAGGCCCACAGGAAAAAACTGAGTACCCCCTGATAAAAACTAGAAGGAAGATGTCTATGAAACTGTTTTGTGATGTGTGGATTCATCTCAGAGACTTTACCTTTTCTTTTGATTCAGCAAGGTGGAAAGACTCTTTTTGTGAATCTGTGAAGGGACATTTGGGAACCTATCCAGGATTATGGAAAAAAACAGAATATCCACAGGAAAAAAAAAACGGAAATAATCTATCTGTGTCACTGCTTTTTTTTAAGTGTGGATTTGAGTTACAGAGTTACACATGTCTTTTTATTCAGTAGCTTGGAAACACTCTTTTTGGAGAATCTGTGAAGAAATATTTGGGAACCTTTTGAGGACTATGAGGACACACAGACTCTCCCCAGATAAAAACTAGAAAGAAGCTATCTGTGAAAATGCTTTGTGATGTGTGGATTCATCTCACAGAGTTAAATGTTTCTTGTCATTCAGGAGGATGAAAACACTCCTTTTTGAAATCTGTGAATGAACATTTGGGAGCTCATTGAGGGCTATGGGGATAAACAGAATATCCCCAGATGAAAAGTACAAAGAAGTTATCTGTGAAGCTAATTTTTGATATGTGGATTCATCTCACAGATTGAAACTATTCTTTTGATTCAGGGGGTTAAAAACACTTTTTTGGAGAATTAACAAAGGGACATTCTGGAGCCCATTGAAGAATATTGCATGAAACTGAATATCCCCTGATAAAACCTAGAAAGAAGCTAACTGTGAAACTGCTTTGGATGTGTGCATTCATCTCACAGAGTTAAACTTTTCTTTTGATTCAGTAGGTTAGAAACATTCTTTTTGGATCATCTGTGAAGGGACATTTGGGAGCCCACTGAGGCTTGTGGGGAAAAACTGAATATCCCCAGATAAAAATGAGAAAGAAGTTATCTGTGAAATATTTTGTGATAGGTGGATTCATGTCACAGAGGTAAACCTTTTGATTCAGCAGGTTGGAAACACTCACTTTGGAGAATCTTTGAAGGGACATTTGTTAGCCCATTTTGTTCTATGGAGAAAAACTGAATATCCCCAGATAAAAACTAGAAAGAAGATATCGTGAAACTGCTTTGTTACGTGTCAAATCATCTCACAAACTTAAATCTTTATTTTGCTTCAGCAGGTTGGTGACACTCTTTTTGGAGAATCTGAGAAAGGCCATTTTGGAGCCCATTGAAGCCTAAGGGGAGAAACAGAATATTTCCAGAAAAAAACCAGAAAGAAGCTATCTGTGAAACTGCTTGTGTTGTGTAAATTCATCTCACAGGGTTAGAATTTTATTTTCATCCAGCAGGTTGGAAACACTCTTTTTGGAGAACCTGCAAAGGGACATTAGGAGCCCGTTGAGGCCTACGGTGCAAAACCAAATATCCCAAGATAAAAACTAGAAGAAAGCTATCTGTGGAACTTCTCTGTGATGTGTGCATTCACCTCACAGAGTTTAAACTGTCTTTTGATTCATCACTGGGGAAATACTCCTTTTGGAGAATCTGAGAACGGACACTTGGGGACCCATTGAGTTCTATGGGGAAAAACCAAGTATTGTCAGATAAAAATTAAAAAGAAGCTATCTGTGAAACTACTTTGTGATGTGTGTGTTCATGTCAGAGAGTTAAACCTTTCTTTTGATTTAGCAGATTGGAAACACTTCTCCTGTGGAATCTGCGAAGGGACACTTTGGAGCCCATTGATGACAAAGAAAAAGAGAATATCCACAAATAAAAACAAGAAAGAAGCTACCTGTTAACCTACTTTTAATGTGAAGATTCATCTCACAGAGTTAAACCTTTCTTTTGATTCAGCAGGTTGGAAACACTCTATTTGGAGAACATGCAAAGGGAAAATTGGGAGCCTATTGAGGACTGTGGAGAAAAGCAGAATATCCCCAACTAAAAACTAGAAAGACGATATCTGTGGAACTACTTTAGATGTGTGGATTCATCTCAGAAAATCAAACTTTCTTTTGATTCAGCAGGTTGGAAACACTCTTTTGGAGCATCAGCAAAGAGACATTTTGGCGCTCAAGGAAACTGATGTGGAATAACTAAATATTTGCAAATAAAATCTAGAAGAAGCTATCCATGAAACTGCTTTGTGATGCGTGGATTAATCTCACAGAGTTAACTTTTTCTTCTGATTCAGCAGGTTAGAAACACTCTCTTTGTAGAAACTGTGAATGAATATTCCAGAGCCCATTGAGGCTTATGGTGAGAAACCAAATATCCCCAGTTAAAAACATAGAAAGAAGCTATCTGTGAAACTGATTTGAGATGTGTGAATTTATCTCACAGGTTTAATTTTTCCTTTGATTCAGTAGTTTGGAAACACTCTTTTGGAGAATCTGTGATAGGACATTAGTGAGCACATTGTGGCCTATCAGGAAAAACAGAATATCCACCAATAAAACCTAGAAAAAAAGCTATCTGTGAAACTTCTTTGTGATTTGTGGATTCATCACACAAGAGTAAAACTTTCTTTTGATTCAGCAGGTTGGAAACACTATTTTTGGGAAAATCTGTGAGGGACATATGAGAGAACATCGAGGGCTATGGGGAAAAATTGAATATCCCTAGATAAAAACAAGAGGAAGCCATCTGTGAAACTGTTTTGTGATGTGTGGATTCATCTCACAGTGTTCAAGTTTTCTTTTGAATCGGTAGTTTGGAAACACTCTTTTTGGAGAATCTGTGAAGGGATATTTTGGAGCCATTGAGGCTTAATGGGGAAAACCGAATATCCCCAGATAAAAACTAGAATGAAGTAATCTGTTAAACTGCTTTTGGATGAGTGGATTCATCTCAAAGGGTTAAACCTTTCTTTTGACTCAACAGGTTGGAAACACTGTTTTTGGAGAATCTGCAAAGGAGCATTTGGGAGCCCATTGTGGCCAATGGGGAAAAACAAAATATCTCCAGATAAAAACTAGAAAGAAGCTTTTGGTGAAACTACCTTGTGATGTGTGGATTCCTCTTCCAGGGTTAAAGTTTTCTTTTGAATTGGTAGTTTGGAAACACTCTTTTTCGAGAATCTGTTAAGGGACATTTTGGGGTCATTGAGGCTTAAGGGGAAAAACTGAATATCCCCAGATAAAAACTAGAATGAAGTTATCTGTGAAACTGCTTTGGGATGTGTGGATTCATATCAAAGAATTAAACCTTTCTTTTGATTCAGCAGGTTGTAAACACTCTTTTTGGAGTATCTTCTAAGGGACATTTGGGAGCCCATTGTGGCCATGGGAAAAAAACAGAATATCTCCAGTTAAAAACTAGAAAGAACCTTTGTGTGAAACTTCTTTGTGATGTGTGGATTCATCTCACAAAGATAAACGTTTCTGTTGATTCAGCAGTTTGGGAAACTCTTTTTGTGTAATCTGCAAAGGGACATTTTGGAGCCCATTGAGACCTATGGGAAAAAATAAAATTTCCTTAGATAAAAACTAGAAAGAAACTTCTGTGAAAGTATTTGTGTTGTGTGGATTCATCTCATAGAGTTAAATTTTTCTTTTGATTCAGGAGTTTGAAAACACTTTCTTTGTAAAATCTGTGAGTGAATATTCGAGAGCCCATTGAGGCCTATGGGGATAAACTGAATATCCCCAGATAAAAACTAGAAAGAAGCTATCTGTGAAACTTTTTTGTGATGTGTGGATTTATCTCACAGATCTAATCTTTCTTCTGATTCTCGAGTTTGGAAACATTCTCTTCTACAATCTGTGATAGGACATTTGGGAGCACATTGTGGCCTAGGGGAAAAACAGAATATCCCCAGATAAAAACTTGAAAGAAACTATCTGTGAAACTTCTTTGTGATGTGTTGATTCATCTCAAAGAATTAAAAATTTCTTTTGATTCAGTAGGTTGGAAAAGCTCTTTTTTGAAAATCTGCAAAGGGACATTGGAGAGCCCATTGAGACCTATGGAAAAAAACTGAATGCCGCCAGACAAAAACAAGAAGTTATCTGTGAAACTTCTTTGTGATGTGTGGATTCGTGTCAGAGTTAAAGTTTCTTTTCAAGCAGTAGGTTGGAAACACTCTTTTTGGAGAATCTGTGAAGGAACATTTGGGGCCATAGAGGCCTAAGGGGAAAAACTGAATATCCCCAGATATAAACTAGAATGAAGGTATCTGTGAAACTGCTATTGGATGTGAGGATTCATCTCAGAGTTAAAACTTTCTTTTGATTCAGCAGCTTGGAAACAGTCGTTTTATGGAAACTGTGAAGGGACATTTGGAAGCACATCGAGACCTAAGGGAAAAACAAAATATCCTCTGAGAAAAAACTAGAAGGAAGCTATCTGTGAAGCTGCCTTTGTGATGTGTGGATTCTTCTCACAGAGCTACACTATTCCTTTGATTCAGCAGGATGGAAATACTCTTTTTGTACAATTTGTGAAGGGATATTTGGGAGCCCAGAGAGGTTTAGGGGGAAAACCAAATATCCCAGATATAAACTAGAAAGAAGCTATCTGTGAAACAGCTTTTCAATGTGTGGATTCATCCCAGAGAGTTCAAACTTTTTTTTGATTCAGCAGGTTTAAAACAATCTGTTTGTAGAATCTGTGAATGGAAATTTGGGTACTCAAACAGGCCTATGGGGAAAAACTGAATATCCCCAGAAAAAAATCTAGATAGAAGCTATCTAAGAAACTGCTTTGTGATCAATGGAATCATCTCACAGATTTAAACTTTTCTTTGGATTCAGCAGGTTGGAAACATTCTTTTTGCAGAATCTGCAAGGTGACATTTGGAAGTCCATTGAGGTGAATGGGAAAAAACGAAATATTCCCAGATAAAAGCTAGAAAGAAGCTTCCTGTAAAACTTCTGTGTCATGTGTCAATTCCTCCCACAGGGTTAAACCTTTCTTTTGATTAAGCAGGTGGGAAACACTATTTTTGGAAAATCTGTGAAGGGACATTAGGGAGCGCTTTTAGGCCTATTGGGAAAAACTGAATATTCCCAGATAAAGAGTAGAAAGAAGCTCTCTGTGAAAATGCTTTGTCATGTGTACATTCATCTCACAGAGTTGAATCTTTCTTTTTGATTCAGCAGGTTGGAAACACTCTTTTTGGAGCATCTTCAAATAAATATTTGGGAATTCGTAGATGTCTAAGGGGTAAAACCAAATATCCAAAGATAAAAACCAGAAAGAAGCTATCTGTGAAACTGCTTTGTGATGTGTGTATTCATCTCACAGAATTAAACCTTTGTTTTTATTCAGCAGTTGGAAACACACTTTTGGAGAATCTGCAAAGGGACATTTCAGTGTCCTTTGAGGTCCATGGAAAAAAAAGAATATCCCCATATAAAAACTAAAAAGAAGCTATCTGTGAAACTGCTTTGTGGTGTGTGGGTTCGTCTCACAGAATTAACACTTTTTTGTTATTCAGCACGTTGGAAACATTCATTTTGTAGAATCTGTGAAGGGAAATTTGGGAGCCCACTGAGACCCATGGATAAAAATTAAATATCCCCATTTAAAAACTAGAATGAAGGTATCTGTGAAATTGCTTTGTGATGTGTGGATTGATCTCACAGAGTTAAAACATTTTTTGATTAAGCAGGCTGAAAAACTCTTTTTGTGGCATCTACAAAGGGACATTTCGGAGCCCATTGAGGCCTATGAAGAAAAACCAAATATTCCCAGGTAAAAACAGCAAAGAAAGTATCTGTGGAATTGCTTTGTGATGGGTGGATTCATCTCACAGAGTGAAATCTTTCTTTTGATTCAGCAGGTTGGAAACACATTTTTTGTAGTACCCGGTGGGATATTTGGGAGCCCATTGAGGCCTAAGGGGATAAATAGAACATTCCCAGATAAAAACTAGAAAGAAGTTATCTGTGGAACAGTTTTGTGGTGCGTGCATTTTTCTCAGAGTTAACCCTTCTTTTGACACAAGAGGTTGGAAAGTCTCTTTGGAGTATCTGTGGATGGACAGTTGGGAGCCCACTTTGTTCTACTAGAAAAAACCGAGCATCTCCAGACAAAAACTAGACAGAAGCTCTCTGTGAAATTGCTTTGTAGCATTTCAATGAAAAAATGAAAATAAAGCTACCTGTGAAACTGCTTTGTGATGTGTTCCTTAATCTCATGGAGTTAAGCCTTTCCTTTGATTCAGCTGATTGGAGACATCTTTTTGGAGAATCTGTGAAGGGACATTTTGGAGATAATTTAGACCTATTGGAAAAAAAACGAATATCTTCAGATAAAAACTAGAAAGAATCTTTCTGTGAAACTGCTTGGTAATGTGTGGATTCATCCCACAGAGTTAAAACTTTCTTTTCATTCAGCAGGTTGGAAACATTATTTTTGTTGAATCAGTGAATGGACATTCCGGAGCTCATTGTGGACTACAGGGAAAAAACAAATATCTCCAGATAAAAACTAGAAAGAAGCTATTTGTGAAACCGCTTTGTGATGTGTGGATTCATCTCACAGAGTTACATTTTTCTTTTGATTCAGCAGGTTGGAAACACTCTTTTTGGCAAAATCTTCAAATGGACATTTGGGAGCCCAGAGAAGCCTATGGGGAAAAATGGAATATCCCCAGATGAAAACTAAAATGAAGTTATCTGTGAAAGTGCTTTGTGATATGTGGATTCATCTCACAGAGTTGAACAATTCTGTTGAATCAGCAGGTTGGAGAGACTCTTTTTGGAGAATCTTCTAATAAATATTTGGGAGTGCATGGATGCCTAAAGGGCAAAACCAAATATTCAAAGATAAAAACTAGAAAGAAACTATCTGTGAAACTGCTTTGAGATGTGTGGATTCCTTTCACAGAGTGAAACCTTTATTTTGATTCAGTAGGTTGGAAACACACTTTTGGAGAATCTGCAAAGGGACATTTGGGAGCTCTTTTAAGTGTGTGGGTTAAAACTGAATATCCCCAGTTAAAAACTAGAAAGAAGCCATCTGTGAAACTGTTTTGTGATGTGTGGATTCATCTCACAAAATTAACACTTTTTTTGTGGTTCAGCACACTGGAAACATTCATTTTGTAGAATCTGTGAAGGGAAATTTGGGAACCCATTCAGGCCTATTCTTAAAAATTGTATATCCCCAGATAAAAACTAGAATGAAGCTGTCTATGAAATTGAGTTGTGATGTGTGGATTGATCCTACAGAGTTAAACTTTTTTTGATTAAGCAGGTTGGAAACACTCATTTTGTGGAATCTGCGAAGGAATATTTGAGAGCCCATTGAAGCCTATGAAGTAAAACCGAATATTCCCAGGTAAAAACAGTAAAGAAGGTATCTGTGAAATTGCTTTGGGATGTGTGGATTCATCTCACAGAGTGAAAACTTTCTTTTGATTCATCAGGTTGAAAACACTGTTTTTGTAGTGTCTGTGAAGGGACATTTGGGAGCCCCTTGAGGCCTATGGGGAAAAAACAGAATATCCCCAGATAAAAATTAGAAAGAAGTTATCTGTGAAACTGTTTTGTGATGTGTGCATCCATCTCACAGAGTTAAACCTTTCTTTTGACTCAGGAGGTTGGAAACACTCTCTTTGGAGAATCTGTAAATGGACAGTTGGGAGCCCATTTATTTCTACTTGAAAAAACCGAATATCCCCAGACAAAAACTAGACAGAAGCTCTCTGTGAAATTGCTTTGTGATGATTTAAGGAAAAAACGAAAATAAAACTACCTGTGAAACTGCTTGGTGATGTGTGGATTAATCTCACGGAGTTAAACCTTTCCTTTGATTCAGCTGATTGGAAACATCTTTTTGAGGCATCTGTGAAGGGACATTTGGGAGCATATTAAGGCCTGCAGGTTGGAAACCTTCTTTTTGGAGAATCTTCAGAGGGACTTTTGGGAGCCTGTTGAGGCCTATAAGGAAAAACTGAATATCCCTAGATAAATACTAGAAAGAAGCTATCTGTGAAACAGCTTTGTGATATGTGGATTCATCTCACAGAGTTAACTTTTCTTTTGATTCATCAGGTTGGAAACAATCTTTTTGGAGAATCTGTGAAGGGATATTTTAGAGCCCATTAAGACCTATGAGGAAAAATTGAATATACCCAAATAAAAACTAGAAAGAATCTATTTGTGAAAATAATTAGTGATGTGTGGATTCATCTTAAAGAGTTAAACATTACTTTCGTTTCAGCAGTTTGGAAACACTCTTTTTGGAGAATCTGCAAAGGGAAAGTTGAGAGCTTATTATAACCTACAAAGAAAAACTGAATATCCCAAGAAAAAATGAAAATAATCCTGTCTGTGAAACAGCATTGTTCTTTATTAATTCATCTCAGTGAAGTAATCCTTTCTTTTGTTTCAGAAATTTGGAAACCCTTTTTAGAGAATCTGCAAAGGGACATTTGGGAGCCCATTGAAGCCTATAAAGATAAACTGAATATAAATACAAAAGAAAACTAGAAAAAAAGCTATCTGTGAAACTGCTTTGTGATGAGGGGATTCATCTCACAGCGTTAAGCCTTTCCTTTGATTCAGCAGGTTAGAAACCTTTTTTTTGTAAAATCTGTGAAGGGATATTTGGGAGCCCATTAAGGATTATGTGGAAAAACAGAATAGCTTCAGATTAAAAAGTAGAAAGGAGCTATCTATGAAACTGATATGTGATGTTTCAATTCATCTGACAGAGTTAAAACTTTCTTTAGATTCAGGAAGTTGGAAACATTCTTTTTGGAGATTCTATGAAGGGACATTTGGGAGCCCTTTGAGGCCTATGTGGAAAAACAACATATGCCCAGATAAAAACTAGAAAGAAGCCTCGTTTGAAACTGCTTTCAGACGTGTGGATTCATCTCAAAGAGACAACCTTTTCTTTTGATTCAGCCAGTTGCAAAACCTCTTTTTGTAGAATGTGGCCACGGATATTTGGGAGCTTGTTGAGACCTACAGTGAAAAACCAAATATCTCCAGATAAAAACTAGAAAGAAGGTATCTGTGAAACTTCTTTGTGATGTGTGGATATGTCTCACAGAGTTAAATATTTCGTTTTATTCAGTAGCTGGGAAACATTCTTTGTAGAAAATTTTCAAGGGGACATTTGTAAGCCCATTGAGGCTTATGGAAAAAACTGAATATCCCCTGATAAAAACCAGAAAGCCGCTAACTGTGAAACTGCTTTGTCATGTGTGAATTCACCTCACAGAGTTAAACCTTTCTTTTGATTCAGCATGCTGGAAGCCCTTTTTTTTGGAGAATCTGCAAACATACATTTGGGAGCCCATCGAGGCCTATGTGGAAAAACCAAGTATCGCCTAATAAAAATGGGAAAGAAGCTACCTGTGAAACTGCTTTGCAATGTTTGGATTCATCTCACAAGTTGAATTCAACTTGTTGATTCAACAAGTTGAATCAACTTGTTGAAGTTTTCTTTTCATTTAGCACGTTGGAAAAACTCTTTTAGGAGAATCTTTTAAGGGACATGTGGTCTCCCATTGTAGCCTAATGTGAAAAGTGAATATCCCCAGTAAAAAGTAGAATGAAGTTATCTGTGAAACTGCTTTGCTATGTGTGGATTCGTCTCACAGTATTAAACCTATCTTTTGATTCAGCAGGCTGGAAACACTCTTTTTGGAGAATCTGCCAAGGGACATTTGGGAGCCCATTGAGGTCTATGGTGAAAAACAAAATATCCCCAGGCAAAAACTAGAAAGAAGCTATCTATGAAATTGCTTCTTGGTTTGTGGATTCATCTCAAAGAGTTAAACCTTCCAATTTATTCAGCAGGTTGTAAACAATCTTTTTTGAGTATCTGCAAAAAGACATTTTGGAGCTCATTTAAGCCTATGGGGAAAAACAGAATATCCCCAGATAAAAACTAGAAATCAGCTATCTGTGAAACATTTTGTGAAATTAAAGTTTTGGAAAGAGTTGGAAAGGACTTTAAAAACACGTAGAAAAGGAAGAAAATTCCTTTGACTTTTTGGTAAGTTTGGACATTGGTGCATACAGCACTGGAAGCTTTTCAGATGAGGAGGCTGAGTCATAGGAGAAGGGATAGGAGTTTGATAATCAGAACTCTGAACGGCCTCTACCAAGTGCTAGCCAAAAGGATAGTTCACAGTTAATGTATGCCAAGCTCTGTGGTCTCCCTAAACCTGCTCTGAAAATTGTTCTGCTCATGGCTCCTTCAGAGCAGTGCCCAGAAAGGCCACCTCCTCTTCAGCTGAGTGAGTGCTGGGAAAGGGAGTCCAAGACTTGGCTCACTGAGACTCAGCTCACTGCACCCACTATTGCCCGACTTGCATTTCCTCACTGTGGAGGAGCAATTTCTCTTAAAATGGATAACACAGCACGCTGTCTGGGTTGAACAGTGGCCACTCCCTAAAGACAAGTTGTGGGTGCTTTGTGAAATAGAAAACTACCAGAAAAAGGACGTATTTCACCCAATTTGTCTCCTTTGAAATCCCCAGTATCTTTAATTTAAAAAAAAACATCTAGTACATGGTGCATGCTGACTGACTTGCAAGTGGTCATCACTGTAATTCAACTGATGGCAACCTTACAGCTAGGGCTCCCATCCCCCACTATGCTCCCTAAAGACTGGCCACTTGTTATTATAGATTCAAAAGACTGCCTTCTTACAATTCCTTTGGCAGAGGCAGATTTAAAAAAATTTGCCTTTACCATCCTTACTCTTAATAACAATGAACATGCAACCAGATGTCAGTGGAAGGTTTTACCCCAGGGTATGTTAAACAGCCCCACAATTTGTCAAACTTTTGTAGGCAAGGCTAACCAGACTGTTAGAGATCAATT
Source organism: Homo sapiens (assembly GCF_000001405.40). Lineage (NCBI taxonomy): Eukaryota > Metazoa > Chordata > Mammalia > Primates > Hominidae > Homo > Homo sapiens. The sequence goes on from NC_000010.11 coordinate 39,107,923, forward strand.
TACAGAGTGTTACATCATCCATTATATGGCTGACATAATATGTGCAGTAAAAAATATAGATCAACTTATTCAATATTATTCACTTTACAAAAGACAATTACAAATGCTGGATTGTTTATAGCACCTGACAAAATTCAAACAACCACTTCTTTTCAGTACTTGGTGATGCAAGTACAAGATAGAGCCTTTAAGCCTCAAAAGGTTCAAATTAGAAGAGATTCTTTAAAAAGCTTAAATGGTTTTCAAAATTGTTAGGAGATATATAAGGATTTGACCCACCTTAGAAATTCCTACTTACGCTATGTCTAATCTTTTCTCAATATTAAGGGGAAATTCCAACGTACATAGTAAAAGAGAACTAACACCCAAGTCCATTAAAGAGTTAAGAGTAATTGAAGAAAAAATTCAACAAACCCAAGACAGTAAAATTCGCTCAGACATGCTTTTACAATTCATTGTGTTCCTTACTTCACACTCCCCAACTGGGGTTATTGTCCAAAGTGAGGATTTAGGTAAATGGTCCTTTGTGCCACATAATACCATAAAAGCACTTATAGTATATTTAGATCAGGTGCCAATTCTAATTAGACCATCTCCTATATGAATTATTAAACTTTGTGACACTGAACCCAATAAGATTATAGTACCAATAAATGAAAATCAGGAAAAACAGGAATTTATTAACTCAGTTGCATGACAAGTTAATTTAGCAAAATTTTTTGGATGTATTGATAATCATTATCCTAAAAATAAAACTTTCCAGTTCTTAAAATTAACTACACAGGTTCTTCCAAAAATTATCCATGATGCCCTTTTGGAAGGAGCTGTGACTGTTTTTACTGATGGGTCTGGTGAAGAAACAAACAAAAAAACCTACAGTCTGGTGGAGACCACATAATCTAATCACTCTATCTCAATTCACTAGCATTCAGAGAGCTGAGGTTATTCTGTTTATTTATTAAGGAAGTTTTACAGCCTTAAGTTCACTCTGGAGCCCACACTGTGTGCTCTTTTTCTTCAACTTCAGCAATTGCTAGACCAAGGTACACATCCTATTTTTATTACACACTTTCAAGCCCACAGCTCTCTGCCTGGCCCATTGGCTTATTGCAATAATCAAGCAGAGCTTCAGGTTATGACATCGCTGCTTGACCAAGCCACCCAATCACATCAATTTTTTCACCAAAATTGGAGAAATGTATCTAAATAATTTCAACTTACACAGAGGCCTGCTAAGCAAATTACGCCTAAAATACCCAGATTACCAGCTCACAGGTACCAGCTCACACGCATCTCTCCTCTTTCAACAGGTGTTAACCCTGGAGGATTGCAACCTATTCAGTTGTGGCAAACAGATGTTAAACACATCCTTAAATTTTGGAAACTAAGATGTGTACATATATCCATTGTTACCAACACTCATCTAATTATTGCACATTAAAAATAAAAATAGAAAAAAGTAAGAAAAAGACTAGAAGAGACAAAAATTAAAGAAAGATACAAAAAGAAAGACTAAGGAAAAAATAAAGTAGGAAGAAAGGAAAGGAAATATTAAGAAAGTTAAAAGAATGTACCTTTAGTAAGGAAAGTTATGAAACAGAAAGTTAAGGCATGTTGAAGATTGTGAAAGTTATGAAAAATGTTATAAAAAGGAATTTATGCAAGGAAGATTTTAGAAGTTTTGTTTTGAGTGTCCAAGCAAGTTTTAAAATGATAATTGTAAAAAATTTTGTAGGTAAATATATTTGCTAAAGTTAAAAAAGGTATCATCCAATTTTTCTATAAACTAAACACTAAAATAAAACACAAATTTTTCTTAAAACACTAACGAGCTCTTAAAGATAGTAAAAAGTCTATGAACACAGGTACCACTCCTAGAATTTCCAGTACCAGCCTGAAGACTATGTGCTCATCAAAGGATGAAAAAAAGAAAAAATATTCAAGCCAGCCTAAAAAAGACCCTACAGGAACTACAGCCTCAACAACGCACCTTCCACAAGCAACACAGGCCCCAGACATTATGCTGAAGAGGCAGAACACTAAGCTAAATAATTTACTCATTTTTAATTCTCTCACTTTGCCTACTGCTTATACCTGCTAAACTTTGTTAAGCTCACATCTTAAATCCGCCTTTATTCTGCCCAGTTATTTTAACAAACACCCCCTTCTCAGCTTCTAATAACGTAACTGCTAGGCTAAAATAAATTAACGTACAAACAGTGGGATTCATTCAGTATGGAGGCTATGATTGCGGTAATTGCTATGGTGGTAAATCTCTCTTTGGCTACAGCAGACCAAAATTATACCTATTGGGCATACGTCCCATTCCCACCTTTAATTAAGCTTGTCACTTTGTTGGAACCCCCGGTTGTGGTTTATGTTAATGATAGTGTTTGGATGCCTAAGCCTAGAGATACTCTTGGGCCCTCTCACCTAGAGGAGAAAGAAATGACAATAAATGTGTCCATAGGTTATCTGTTCCCCCACTCTTTACACAGTGCTGGCTATCAGTTGCCTAAAAGGCTATCAAAAACATTGGCTATTTAAAATTCTAGGTAAATAACCAAAGACAAGTATCCTATCCTTTACTTTCTGGATGGAGCCTGGATCATTCACAGATCTCAGTTCAATTGCAGCAGTTTAAGCCCAGAAAAGAGAGGTGTCAACAATCTCAACAATAGTGAAAACATTTAAAAATATTAGTTTGGGAGGATTGCATCTCTGATCACACTGAGGTACTGCAAAATCATTCCTGTGGAATCATCTTTAATTGGTCCCATAAGGGGATCTTTGCAGTTAATTTTACCAATCAAAATGATAGATGCCAAACAAAACTAAAACAGGAACTATACTATCAAAGAGATGACACTACTTATAATAAAAAAGTGCCCATTTTCTCATAATTTGGACCAACTTTAGTATGGCCAGCCCACATCCAGAAGTGATTAATCCTATAATAGGCCTTGAACATCCCGAATTATGGAAGTTAATAATGGGCAAATCGCGTATTTGGGTTTGGAAAAAAAATTATCTTAAGACGAAAGGTGAGAGACTTCAGTTTGTGTATCAGTTTTCTTCCAACGGAACAGTACCCATTCAGAGTTGTGTCAAGCCTCCTTTTATGTTGATGATCAGAAATCTTAATATTCAATCTAATTCTCAAACTATTTCCTGTCAAAACTGTCAACTTTTCACCTGTATTGATTCCACGTTTGGTGTAAAAACATCTGTGTTGCTGGTGAGGGCTACAGAAGGTGTTTGGACACTAGTTTCCCTCAATAGACCTTGGGAAGCCTCTCCTTCCATTCATATCATCACAGAAATGTTAAAGGGAGTGTTTACCAGAGCAAAAAAAATTATTTTTAACCTTATAGCTGTCATTATGGGACTTAGTGCAGTCACAGCTGCTGCTGCAGCTGCTGGAATTGCTTTACACTCGTCTGTTCAAACTACAAAATAATTGGCAAAAGAATTCCTCAACATTGTGGAATTCTCAGACCTGGATAGACCAACAATTGACAAATCAAATAAATGATATTAGACAGACTGTTATTTGGAAGAGAGATCATATAATGAGCTTAGAACATCGATTGCACATACAATGTGATTGGATTACTTCTGATTTCTACATAACTCCCCATTCGTATAATGCTACTGAACATCATTGGAAAAAAGTTAGACGTCATGTGGAAGAAAGAAATGAAAATTTAGCATTGGATACAGCCAAATTAAAGGAACAGGTTTTTGAAGGGTCTCAGGCTCATTGAACTCTCCTGCCTGGGACTGACATTATCGCTGGAGCTGCTGATGGACTTTCAAATGTAAACCCTCTTAAATGAATTAAGACCACTGGAGGATGAACTATTGCAATCTTTGCTTTAATGTGTATCTGTTTATACTGTTTGCTTTTAGTCTGCAAATGTGGAATACGCCTCTGGAGAAAAACCAGACACAAAGAACAAGCCTTAATAGCAATGGCGGTTTTAAAAATGAAAAAATGGGGGCATGTTGGGAAAAAGGTTTATGGGCTGCCTGTAAAACCTGGCCAAAAATATGAGACAATAAGTTGTGGAAAGACAAGAAGACTCTGAGGAGGAAAGCCTCCTATTTGCCACCCTATTTCCATGCTGTGAGTGAGACTTGCTGCCTTATGTGTAAACACTGTGTTCAAAGAGAAAGACACTCTCTTGATGTAATGGAAAGTGGACAGATTTGCAGGCTCCTAGTTAAGCCTACTCCCACTAGCTACTCTCTGATAAGCTAAAGACATGCTCTTTGAGCACAAAGGAGATGCATTTAAACTGGTACTACTATAGATCACCCCTATGACACACTCACCATTTCACTGTTTTGCCCTGAACATCTGCTCTTATATCTAAGTGACTGTGCTAAATAAATAGTGTGGAGACCAGAACTCTGGGCCTTTTGCAACCTGCTACCATGCATTTGGCCCCCTGGCCCTCAACTTTACTCTTAACTTGTCTCTGGTCAATCCTTTGTCACCACTGGACTTTGGGTACAATACAGGTTGTGTTGAGGCTGGTCCCCAACACCAGATGAAAATTAGAAAGGTGATATCTGTGAATCTGCTTTGGACTGGGTGGATTTGTGATGTGAGATGTGTTGGAAACACCCTTTAATGAGAATCTGCCAAGGGTTATTCGGGAGCCCTTTGGGGCCTACGGGGAAAAACTGAATGTCCCCCAATAAAAATAACGAAGTTATCTGTGAAACGGCCTTGTGATGTGTGGATTCATCTCACAGAGTTAAACCTTTCTTTTGATTCATCATGTTGGGAATACTCTTTTTGTAGAATCTGCAAAGGGATATTTCGCAGCCCATTGAGGCCTGGGGGGAAATCCTGAATATCCCCAGATAAAAATTAGAAAGAAGATTTCTGTGAAACTGCTTTGTGATTTGTGGATTCTTCTCACAGAGATAAAACTTCCTTTTGATTCAGCATGTTGGAGAAACTCTTTTTCTATAATCTGTGAAGGGAAATTTGGGAGCCCTTTGAGGCCTATGGCAAAAAAGAGAATATCCACAGATAAAACAAGAAGGAAGCTATTGGTGAATCTGCTTTGTGCCGTGTGGATTCAACTTACAGAATTAAACCTTTCTTTTGATTCAGCAGGTTGGAAACACTCTTTCTGGAGAATCTGCAAAGGGACATTTGGGAGCCCATTGTGGCCTATGGGAAACACTGAATATCTCTAGATAAAAACAAGAAAGAAGAGGTCTGTGAAACTACTCTGTGATATGTGGATTCATCTCAGAGAAGTAAACCTTTCTTTTGATCCAGCAGTTTGGAAACACTCTTTCTGTAGAACTTGCAAAAGTACGTTTGGGAGCCTATAGAGGTTTAACAGAAAAACTGAATATCACCACAAAAAACTTGAAAGAACATATCTGTTAAATTTATTTGTGATGTGTGGATTAATCTCAGAGAGTTAAAACTTTATTTTTATTCACTAGGTTGCAAACATTCTTTTTGAAACATCTGAGAAGGGACATTAAGCTGCTCAAAGAGGCATATGGGGAAAACCGAACATCCCCTGGTAAAAACTAGAAAGAAGCTATCTGTGAAACTGATTTCTGATGCGTGGATTCATCTAACAGAGTAAAATATCACTTTAGATTCAGCTTGTTGGAAAAACTGTTTTTGGAGGATCTGTGAAGGAAGATTTGGGAGCCCACTCTGGCTTAAGAAAAAAAAAAAACAGAATATCCCCAGATTAAAACCGGAAAGAGGATTTCTGTGAAACTGCTTTGTGATGTGTGGATTGATCTCACAAAGTTAAACCTTTCCTTTGATTCAGAATGTTGGAAACAGACTTTTTTAGAATCTGTGAAGGCACATTTGGGAGCTCATTTAGGTCCATGGTGAAAAATCAAATATCCCCAGATAAAAACTAGAAAGAAGATATCTGTGAAACTGCATTGGGATGTCTGGATTCATCTCACAGGGTTAAAACATTCTTTTGATTAAGCAGTAGGAAACTCTATTTTTGTAGAATCTGTGAAGGGACATTTAAGAGCCCATTGAGGCCTAAAGGGAATAACTGAACATCCCCAGATAAAGACTAGAAAAAAGCTATCTGTGAAACTGTGTTGTGATGTGTGGATTCATCTAACAGTTAAATCTTTCTTTTTATTCAGCAGGTGTGAAACACTCTTTTTGGAGAATCTGCCAAAGGACATTTGAAAGCCTATTGAGGCCTAGGGGAAAAACAGAATATTCCCAGATAAAAACTAGAAAGAAGATGTCTGTGAAACTGCTTTGTGATGTGTGGATTTATCTCACAGAATAAAATGTCACTTTTGATTAAACAGGTTGGAAACCCTCTTTTTATTTTTTTGGTCTTTTTTTTCCTTTTTGAGGAGAACGGGGTCTTGCTATATTTCCCAGGCAGGTTTCAAACTCCTGGGCTCAAGCTATCCTCCCACCTCTTGCCTCCCTGCAATCTGGGATTACAGGCATGAGCCACCACACCCAGCCAAAGTGGAAAGAGCTTGGAAGCTCGGTTGAGGCACCACTGGGATTCGAACCCAGGATCTCCTGTAAACCCTCTTTTTGGAGAATCTGTGAAAGGACATTTTTCAGTCCATTGAGGTATACGGGAAAAAAATATCCCTAGATAAAAACTAGAAAGAAGCTATCTGTGAAACTGCTTTGTCATGTATGGATTCATCTTACAGAGTTAATGTTTTCTTTTGAATCAGCAGGTTGGAAACACTGTCTTTGGAGACTCTCCAAGGGATATTTAGGTGCCCATTAAGGCCAAGGGGAAAAAAATGAATATTCCCAGATGAAAACTAGAATGAAGTTATCCATGAGACTGCTTTGTGACGTGTGGATTCATGTCACAGAGTTAAATCTTTGTTTTCATTCAACAGCTTGGAAACACTTCTTTTGAAGAGTCTGTGAAGGGACATTTGGGAGCTCATGCAGACTTATGGGGAAAAACCTAGTATCCCCAGACGAAAACTAAAAAGAAGGATATATGAAACTGCTTTGTGATGTGTGGATTACATCACACACCACAAAGAGTTAAACCTTTCCCTTGATTCAGCAGGTTGGAAACACTCTTTTTGTAAAATCTACAAAGATACATTTGGGAGTCCAGAGTGGTTTACGGGAAAAACAAAATAACCCCAGAAAAAACTGGACAGTAGTTATCCGTGAAACTTCTTTGTGATGTGTGGATTCATCTCAGAGAGTTAAACCTTTCTTTTGTTACAGTTGTTCTTTTTTATTTTATTTATTTATTTATTTATTTATTGGAAACACACTTTTTGCAGAATCTGCAAAGGGACATTTAAGTGCTCAAAAAGGCCTATGGGGAAAAACAGAATATCTGGAGAAAAACTAGAAAGAAGATATCTGTGAAACTGCTTTGTGATATGTAGATTGATCTCACAGAGTTAAATGTTTCTTCTGATTCAGCAGGTTGGAAACACTTTTTGTAGGATCTGTGAAGGTACATTTGGGAGCCCATAGAGGTTTAAGGGAAAAAAAGGATTATCCCCCCAAAAAACTAGAAAGAAGCTATCCATGAAACTGCTTTGAGATGTGTCTATTAATCTCAGAGAGTTAAACCTTTCTTTTGACTCAGTGGGCTACCAAATATTGGAAACACTCTTTTTGGAGCACCTATGAAGAGACATTTAAGCACTCAAAGAGGCCCATGGGGAAAAAACAAATATCCCTAGACAAAAACTAGAAAAAATCTAACTGTGAAACTGCTTTGTGATGTATGGATTCTTCTCAAGAGCTAAATCCTTCTTTTGATTCAGCAGGTTGGAAACACTTTTTCTAGAATCTACAAAGGGAAATTTGGAAGCTCATTGAAGCTAAAAGGGAACAACTGAATAAACCCAGATAAAACTAGAAAGAAGCTATCTGTGAATCTGCTTTGTGATGTGTGGATTTGTCTTACAGAGTTAAACCTTTCTTTTGATTCAGCAGGTTGGATTCATTCTTTTCAGAGGATCTGCAAATGGACATATTAGTGCTCAAAGGGGTCTATGGGGAAAAATCGAATACACCCAGGTAAAAAATAAAAACTGCCTGTGAAACTGCTTTGTAATGTGTGGAGTCATCTCACAGTGTTAAATTTTTCTTCTTATTCAGCAGGTTGGAAACACTCTTATTGCAGAATCTGCTAAGGGACATTTGTGAGCCCTTTGAGGCCAATAAAAAATGAATATCTCCAGGTAGAAACTAGAAAGAAGCTATCTGTGCCACTGCTTTATGATGTGTGAATTCATTTCAGAGAGTTAACCCTTTCTTTTGATTCAGCAGGATGGAAACACTCTTTTTGTAGAATCTGCAAAGGTACTTTTGGGAGCCCATAGAGGTTTAAGGGAAAATCCAAATATCCCCCTGCCAAAAAAAAAAAAAAAAAAAAAAAACCGGAAAGAATGTATCTGTGAAAGTGCTTTGTGATGTGTGGATTTATCTCAAAGAGCTAAACCGTTCTTTGATTCACCAGGTTGGAAACACTTTTTTAGAGATTCTGTGAAGGGACATTTAAGCACAGGAAGAGGCCTGTGGGGAAGAAATAAATATCCCTAGATAAAAAGTAGAAATAAATTATCATCTGTGAAACTTCTTTGTGATGTCTAGATTATTCTCAAAGAGTTGAATTTTTTTTTATTTATTTAGTACGTTGAAAACACTTTTTTTATTTTTAGAATCTGTGAAGGAAAATTTGGAAGACCTTTGGGGACCTTTGGAGGAACCCAAAAAAACCTTAGATTAAATCTAAACATAAGCTTTCTGTGAAACTGCTTTGTGATGCATAGATTCATCACACAGAGTCAAACCTTTCTTTTGATACACCAGGTTGGAAACACTCTTTTGGCAGAATCTGAGAAAGGATATTTTTGGGCTCATTGAGGCCTATGGGAAAGAAGTGAATATCCCCAGATAAAAACCAGAAAGAAGCTATTTGTGAATTCACTTTGTGAAATGTGGATTCATCTCAGGGAGTTCAATATTTTTTTTGTATTCAGTACGTGTGAAACACTCTTAATGGAGAATATGTGAAAGGACATGTGGGAGTCCTGTAAGGTGTAGGGGAAAAACAAAATATCCCCAGATAAAAACTAGAAAGAAGCTGTCTGTGAAAATTCTTTGTTATGTGTGGATTCATCTAACAGAACTAAACCTCAATTTTGATTCAGCAGGTTTTACACATTCTTTTTGGAGACTGCCAATGGACATTTGGGAGCCCATAGAAGCATATGAAGAAAAACGGAATATCTCAAGATTAAAACCAGAAAGAAACAGTCTGTGAAGCTGGTTTGTGGTGTGTGGATTCATCTTGCAGAATTAATGTTTTCTTTTGAATCAGCAAATTGGAAACACTCTCTTTGGAGAATCTGTGAAAGGACATTTGAAAGCCCATTGACACCTTTGGGGGAAAACAGAATATCCCCACATAAAAACTGGAAAGAGTATCTGTGAAAGTGCTTTGTGATGTGTGGATTCATCTCACAGAGTTAAATGTGTCTCTTGATTCAGCAGGTTGGAAACACTCTTTTTGGAAAATCTGCAAAGGGACATTTAAGAGCTCATTGAGGCCTAAGGGGAATAACCAAATATTCCCAAATGAAAACTGTAAATAATATATCTGTGAAACTGCTTTGTGATGTGTGGATTCATCTCTCAGAGTTAAACCTTTCTTTGATTCAGCAGGTTGGAAACATTTTCTTTCTAGAATCTGCAAAGAAATATTTGGTAGCCTATTGAGGATTATAAAGAGAAACTGAATATTCCCAGGTGAAAACCAGAAAGAAGCTACCTGTGAAACTGCTTTGTTTTGTGTGGATTCATCTCACAGAGTTCAACCTTGGTTTTGATTCAGCAGGTTGGAAACACCCTTGTAGGAGAAATTGAGAAGGAACATTTGAGAGTCCATTGAGGCCTACTGGTTATAACCAAATATTCCCAGATAAAAACTAGAAAGAAGCTCTCTGTGAAACTGCTTTGTGATATGTGGATTCTTTTCACAGTGCTAACCATTTCTTTTGATTCACCAGGTTACAAACACTCTTTTTGTAGAATCTGCTACGTGATAAAAACTAAAAGGAAGCTATTTGTGAGACTAATTTCTGATGTGTTGATTCATATCACAGAGTTAAATCATTGTTTTGATTCAGAAGTAGGGAAATACTCTTTTTGGAAAATCTGTGAAGGGACGATTGGGAGCCCTTTGAGGCCTACGTGGAAAAACTGAATATTTCCAGATAAAAACTGAAATGAAGCTACCTGTGAACATGCTTTGTGACGTGTGGATTCATCTCACAGAGTTGAATCTTTCTTTTGATTCAGCAGGTTGGAAACACTGTTTTCGGAGAATCTGCAAAGAAATATTTTGGAGGCCATGGATGCTGAAGCAGCAAAACCAAATATCCAAAGATAAAAACTAGAAAGAAGTTATCTGTGAAACTGCTTTGTGATGTGTGGGTTCCTCTCACAGAGTTAAGCCTTTGTTTTGATTCACCAGGTTGAAAACACACTTTTTGAGGATCCACGAAGGGACATTTGGGAGCCAATTGAGGTCTGCAGGGAAAAACCGAATGTCCCTGGATAAAAACTGGAAATCAGCTGTCTGTGCAACTGTTTTGGGATGAGTGGGCTCATCTCACAGAGTTAACACTTTTCTGTGATTCAGCAGGATAGAAACACTCGTTTTCTAGTATCTGCGAAGGGAAATTTGGGACACCTTTGGGGTCTGTGGTTAAAAATTGAATATCCTCAGATAAAAGCTAGAAATAAGCTATCTGTGAAACTGCTTTATGATGTGTGAATTCATCTCACAGAGGTAAAACTATTTTTGATTCAGCAGATTGGAAACACTCTCTTTGTAGAATCTGTGAAGGGACATTTTGTAGCCTATTTAGGCCTACGGTGAAAAACCAAATATCCCCAGGTAAAAACTGCAGACAATATATCTGTGAAATTGCTTTGTGATGTGTGGATTCTTCTCACAGAGTTAAACCTTTCTTTTTATTCAGCAGGTTGGAAACACTCACTTTATAGAATCTGTGAAGGAATAATTGGGAGCCTATTGAGGCCTATGGGGAAAAACCAAATATCTCCAGATAAAAAACTAGAATGAAGCTATCTGTGAAACTGCTTTGTGATGTGTGGATTAATCTCATAGAGTTAAAACTTTTTCTGATTCAGCTGGCTAAAACAATCTTTTTGTAGTATCTGTGAAGGGACCTTTGGGTTCCCAGTGAGGCCTATTTGGAAAAACAGAATATCCCCAGTTAAAATCTAGAAAGAAGCTATCTGTGGAACTGTTTTGTGATGTGTGCATTCATCTCAGAGTTATAACTTTCTTTTGACTCAGGAGGTTGGAAACAGTCTTTTTGGAGAATCTGTGAAGGGTCATTCAGGAACCCATTGTGGCCTACTTGAAGAAACTGAATATCCCCAGACAAAAACTAGAAAGAAGCTCTGTGTGAAATTGCTTTGTGATGTTTTAAGTAAAAAAGGTAAACCTACCTGTGAAACTGCTTTGTGATGTGTGGATTAATCTCATGGATTTAAACCTTTCCTTTGAATCAGCAGATTGTAAACATTTTATTGGAGAAACTGCAAAGGGACAATTGGGAGCCTATTAAAGGCTGAAGGTTGGAAACCCTCTTCTTGGAAAATCTGCACAGGAATGTTTGGGAGCCCATTGTGACCTATGGGAAAAAAACCAAGTATCTTCAGATAAAAACTAGAAGTTTCCTTCTGTGAAAATGCTATGTGATATATGGATTCATCTTATAGAGTTAAAACTTTCTTTTTGTTCATTAGGTTGGAAACACTCTTTTTGAAGAATCTTTGGAAGGAGGTTAGGGAGCCCATTGAGGCCTATGGGGAAAAACTGAATATACCCAAATACAAACCAGAAAGAAGCTCTCTGTGAAACTGCTTTGTGATGTGTGGATTCATCCCACAAAATTAAACCTTTCTTTTGTTTCAGCAGCTTGGAAACACTGTTTTTGGAGAATCTGCAAAGGGACATTTTGGAGTCCATTTCAACCTATGGGGAAAAATAGAGTATCCCAAGAAAAAAACCAAAATAATGAAATATGTGAACCTCACTGTTCTGTGTTAATTCATCTCGGTTAGTTAAACCTTTCTTTTGATACAGCAGGCTGAAAAGTCTTTTTGGAGAATCTTCAAAGGGACATTTTGAGCCCATTGTTACCTTCGGGGAAAAAAAAAACAGAAAAAAAAAAACAAGCTATGTCTGAAACAAATACGTGATGTATGGACTCATCTTACAGAATTAAACCTTCCTTTGTTTCAGCAGGATGTAAGCACTTTTCTTGGAGAATCTCTGAAGGGACATTTGGGATCCCAGTGAGGCTTATTGGGCAAAACAAAATATCCCCAGATAAAAACCAGAAAGAAGCTTTCTGTGAAGCTGCTTTGTGATGTGTGGATTGGTTTTACAGAGTTAAACCCTTCAATTTTATTCAGTAGGTTGGAAACACTATTTTTGGAGGATCTGTGAAGGGACACTTGGGAGCCCTTTGAGGCCTAAAAGGAAAAATTGAATTTCCCCAGAAAAAAAAAAATTCAAAGAAGCTGTCAGTGAAACTGCTTTGTGATGTGTGCATTCGTCTCACAGAGTTTAGTTTTATTTTGATTGAGCAGGTTGGAAACACTCTTTTTGGAGAATCTGCAAGGGGATATTTGTGAGCCCATTGAGGCCTATGGTAAAGAAATGAATATCCCCAGTTAAAAACTACAAACGAGTTATCTGTGAAACAGCTTTGTGATATGTGGATTCATCTTTTAATTTTCATCTTTTATTTTGATTCAGCAGGTTGGAAAAAATTTTTTTGGAGAATATGTGAAGGGACATTTTGGAGCCCAATTAGTCCTATGGAGAAAAATCGAATATCCCAAATAAAAAGTAGAAATAAGCATCTATAAAACTGTTTTGTGAATGTGGATTCTTCTCATAGTGAAAACATTTCTTTTGAGTCATCACAGAAATACTATTTCCTTAGAATCTGCGAAGTGAAATTTGGGAGCCCATTGAGGCCTAAGAAGAAAACCTGAATATCCAAAGATAAAAATTAGAATGAAGTATCTATAAAGCTGCTTTGTGATGTGTGGATTTTACAAAAGAGTTAAACCTTTCTTTTGATTCAGGAGGTTGGAAACGCTGTTTTTGTAGAATCTGTGAAGGCACATTTGACAGCCCATTGAGGCCTAAGAAGAAAAACTGAATATTCACAGATAAAAACTGAAAGAATCTGTCTGTGAAACTGCTTTGTGACCTGTTGATTCATCTCACAAAATGAAACTTTTCTTTTAATTCAGCAGGCTGTAAACTGTCTTTTTGAAGAACTTGTGAAGGGACAATTGAGAGCCCATTGATACCTATGGAGAAAAAGCAAATATTCCCAGATAAAAACTGAAAGAACCTTTCTGTGAAACTGGTTTGTGTTGTGTTGATTCATCTCACAAAATTAAACCATTCTTTTAATTCAGCAGGCTCTAAACAGTCTTTTTGAAGAATCTGTGAAGGGACATTTTAGAGCCCATTGAAGACAATGGAGAAAACCTGAGTGTCTGCAGATAAAAACCAGAAAGAAGCTGTCTGTGAAACTTCTTTGTGAAGTCTGGATTCATCTCACTTTTGTAAACTTGTCTTTTGATTCCTCAGGTTGGAAATATTCTTTTTTGGCGAATCTGTGAAGAGTTATTTGGGAGCCCATTGAGGCCTATAACAAATAATCAAATGTCTCCAGATAAAAACTAGAAGGAACCTATCTGTGAAATGGCTTTGTGATGAGTGAATTTTTCTCACAGAGGTAAATTTTACTTTTTATTCATTGGGTTGGAAACACTCTTTTTGTAGAATTTGCAAAAGAACAATTAAGAGCCCACTGAAAACTAAGGGGAAAATTGAACATCAGAAGATAAAAGCTAAAATGAAGCTATGTGTGAAACTGTTTTGTGATGTGTGCATTCATTTCACAGAGATAAAACTTTCTTTTCATTCAGCAGCTTGGAAAAGCTCTTTTTAGAAAATCTGCAATGGGACATTTGGGAGCCTATTGAAGCCTGTGGGGAAAAACAGGATATCCCCAGATAAAAACTTGATAGAAGCTATCTGTGAAACTGCTTTGTAATGTGTGGATTCATCTCACATAGTTAAATCTTTCATTTGTTTCAGCAGGTTGGAAACACTTTATTTAGAGGATAAGTGAAGGGATATTTTAGATCCCATTGAGGCGTAAGGGGAAAAATAATATATCCCCAGGTAAAAACTAGAAACAAGCTGTCTGTGAAACAGCTTTGTGAGGTGTGGATTCTTCTCACAAAGTTAAGACTTCTTTTCAGTAAGCAGGTTGGGGACAGTCTTTTTAGAGAATGTACAAAAGGACATTTTGGAGCCCATTTAGGTCTATGAAAAAAAAAATCCCAAGATAAAAATTAGAAAAACACTATCTGTGAAACTGCATTGTGATGTGTGGATTCTTCTCACAAAGATAAATATTTATTTTGATTCAGCAGGTTGGAAACACTCACTTTGGAGAATCTTCAAAGGGACATTTGGAAGCCCTTTGAGGCATATGGGGAAAACTGTGTATCTCCAGATATAAACTACAAAGAAGCTACCTGTAAAATTGCTCTGTGATCTGTGGATTCACCTCACAGAATTAAACCTTTTTTTTCCAGCAGGTTGGAAACACTTATTTTGTAGAATCTGTGAAGGAACATTTTGGGGCCCATAGAGATCAATAATTAAAAATGAATATCCCCAGATAAAAACTAGAAAGAAAGTATCTGTGAAGCTGCTTTGCGATGTGTGGATTCATCTCACAGAAGTAATGCTTTCTTTTGATTAAGTAGCTTAAAAGCACTTTTTTTGGAGTATTTTCGAAGGGACATTTTGGGACCCATTTGTCCCTATATGATAAAACCGAATATCCACAGAAAAAAAAAACTAGAAAGGAGCTATCTGTGAAACTGCTTTGTGATGTGTGCTTTCACCTCACAGAGTTTTACCTTTATTTTGATTCAGCAGATTGGAAATACTGTTTTCAGAGAATCTGCAAGAGGACATTTTGGAGCTCATTGAGGACTATAAGTAAACACAGAATATCCCCAGATAAAAAGTAGAAAGAGGCTATCCGTGAAACTGTTTTGTTTTGTGTGTATTTGTCTCACATAGATAAACTTTTCTTTTGCTCCAGCAGGTTGGAAACACTCTTTTTCTAGAATCTGCTAAGGGACATTTGAAAAGCCATTCAGGCCTATGGGGAAAAATGAATATCCCTTGATAAAAAGTAGAAAGAAGCTCTCAGTGAAACTTCTTTGTGATGTGTGGATTCATCTCAGAGTGTTCAACTTTTGTTTTGATTCAGCAGGTGTGAAACACTCTTTTTGTAGAATCTGCAAAGAAACATTTTAGATCCTATTGAGGCCAATGGGGAAAAAACAAATATTCCCAGATAAAAAGTAGAAAAGGGCTATCTGTGAAACTTCTTTGTGATGTGTGGTTTCACTTCACAGTGTTAAATGCTTCTTTTGATTCAGCAGATTGGAAGCACTCTTTTTGTAGAATACGTGATAAAATATTTAGGAGCCCATTGAGGCCTATGGAGAAAAACAGAATATCCTGAGATAAAACTAGAAACTGCTTTGTGGTGTGTCCACTCATCTCACAGAGTTAAAACCTTCTTTTAATTCAGCAGCATAAAAATACTGTTTTTATAGAAACTGCAAAGGGACATTTGGGAGCCTGTAGAGGTTTAGGAAAAAAATGAATATCCCAGTTGAAAAGTAGAAAAAAGATCTCTGTGAAACTGCTTTCTGATGTGTAAATCATCTCAGAGAGTCAAATCTTTCTTTTGATTCCAGAGGTTGGACACACTCTTTTTGGACAATCTTCAAGGGGACATTTTGGCACTCAAAGAAACCTATGTGGAAAAACTAAATATCCACAGATGGAAACTAGAAAGAAACTATCTGTTAAATTGCTATGTAATGTGTCAATTCATCTCACAGAGTTAAAGCTTTCTTTTGCTTCAGCAGTTTGGAAACACTGTAATTGGACAACCTGCAAAAGGGACATTTTGGAGTTCCTTGAGGCCTATGGGGAAAATCTGAATATCCCCAGATTAAAACTTGAAAGAAGCTATTTATGAAACTGCTTTGTGATATGTGTATTCATCTCACAGATTTAAAGCTTTCTTTTCATTCAGCAGATTGGAAGCACTTTTTTTTAAGAATATGGGAAGGTACATTTTAGATCCCATTGATGTCCAAGGGGAAAAACAGAATATCTTAGATAAAAACTAAAAGAAACTAGCCATGATCCTTCTTTTTGATGTGGGATACATGTCACTGAATTAAACCTTTCTTTTTATTCTACAGGTTAAAAACACTATGTTGGAGGCTGGGTGTAGTGGCTCATGCCTGTAATCCCAGCACTTTGGGAGGCCAAGGCAGGCAGATCACGATATCAGGAGATTGACACCATCCTGGCTAGCAGAGTGAATCCCCATCTCTACAAAAAACCAAAACCAAAACCAAAACCCCCCAAAACAAAACAAAACAAAACAAAACACTATGCTGGAGAATATGCAAATGAGCATTTGGAAGCCCATTGATGCCTATTATTGAAATGCAAATATTCCCAGATAAAAACTAAAAAGATGCTATCTGTGAAAGTGTGTTTTGATGTGTAAATGCATCTCATAGAGTGAAACATTTATTTAGATTCCGCAGGTTGGAAATACTTCTTTCAGAAAATCTGCATAGGGATATTTGGGAGTCCATTGAGGCCAAAGGGGAAAAACCAAATATCTTAAGAAAAAAACTGGAAAGAAGCTACTTGTGGAACTGTTTTGTGATGTGTGGATTCATTTTTCAGAATTAACCTCTCTTTTGAATAAGCAAGTTGGAAACACTCTTTTTGTAAAATCTGTGAAGGGATATTTGGAAGCCCATTGAGGCCTATGGGGAAAAACTGAATATCCCCATATAAAAACTGGAAAGAAGATATCTGTGAACTGATTTTTGAAGCTTTGATTCAACTTACAGAGTAAAAGTAGTCTTTTGTTTCAGCAGTTTGAAAACTGTCTTTGTGGAGAATCTGAGAAGGGATATTTGGGAGCCCACTGTGGCCTATGGAGAGAAACAAAATATCTCCAGATAAAACCTAGAAAGAAGCTATCTGTGAAAATTCTTTGTGATGTGTGGATTCCTCTCACAGAGTTAAACCTTTCTTTTGATTCAGCAGCTTGGAAACACTCTTTTTGGAGGATCTGCAAAGGGACAATTTGGTGCTCAAAAAGGTCTATGGGGGAAAACTGAATACCCCCAGTTTAAAAAAATGGAAAGAACCGATCTGTGAAACTGTTCTGTGATGTGTGGACTCATCTCACAGAGTTAAAAGTCTCTTTTGTTTCAGCAGGTTGGAAACACACTTTTTGGAGAATCTACAAAAGGTCATTTAGGAACCCTTTGTGGCCAATGGGTAAACAGTACAAATATCCCTAGATAAAAACTAGAAATAAGTTATCTGTGAACTGCTTTGTGATGTGTAGATTCTTCTCACAGAGTTAAATCTTTTCATTCCACAGGTTAGAAACACTCTTTTTCTAGAATCTGCAAAGGGAAATTTGGGAGGGCATTGAGGCCTATTGGGAAAAAGTGATTATTGCCATATAAAACTAGAAAGAAGCTCCATGTGAAACTGCTTTGTGATGAGGGGATTCATCTCATAGTGTTAAACCTATCTTTTGATTCAGCAGGTTTGAAACATGGTTTTTGGAGACTGTGCAAAGAGACATTTAGGAGCCCATTAAGGCACATGGGAAAAAATAGAATATTCCCAGATAAAAACTAGAAAGAAGCTTTCTTTGAAACTACTTTGTGATTGGTGTGTTCATCTCATGGAGTTAATCCTTTCTTTTAATTTGGCTAGTTGAAACAGTCTTTTTGCAGAATTTGTGAAGGGACACTGGGGAGCATACATGAAGCATACGTGAAAAAACTGAATATTCCCAGATAAAAAGTACTAAGAAGCTATCTGTGAAACTCTTTTGTGATGTGTGGATTCATCTCACAGAGTTAAATCTTTCTTTTGATTCATCATGGTGAAAACACTCTTTTTGCAGAATCGGTGAATGGACGTTTGCGAAGTCCCTGAGGCCTACAGGAAAAAATCGAATATTTCCAAATTAAAAATTAGAAAGAAACTATCTGTGAAACTGCTTTATGATGCGTCTATTCATCTCAGTGAGCTATACCTTTCTTTTGATTCACCAGGTTGGAAACACTATTTTTGGAGAATTGGCACTAGGGAAATTGGGAGCCCGTTGATGGCTATGGAAAAAAACTGAAAACCCCAGATGAAAATTTGAAAGAAGCTATCTGTGAAACTACTTTGTGATATGTGGATTCATCTCAGAGAGTTAAACCTCTCCTTTGATTGAAAATGATGGAAACACTCTTTTTGTAGATTTTGTGAAAGGGCATATGGGAGCCCATATAGGTTTAGGAATAAAAAGAAATATCCCCAGATAAAAAGTAGAAAAAAAGCAATCAGTAAAACTTCTTTGTGATGTGTGGATTTGTCTCATAAGGGTAAACCTTTCTATCAATTCAGCAGGTTAGAAACACTATTTTCGTGTAATCAGTGAAGGGACATTTGGGAGCCCATTGAGGTCTATGGGGAAAAAACAAATATCTTCAGATAAAAATGGGAAAGAAGCTTTCTGTGAAACTGCTTTGTGATGTGTGGATTTATCTCACAGAGTTAAATCTTTTTTTGATACAGCAGATAGGAAACATTCTTTTTGGAAAATCTGTGAATGGATATTTGTGAGCCCAATGTGGCCTATGGGAAAAACCTAATATACCCCAATAAAAACTAGAAATAATGTGTCTGTGAAACTGCTTTGTGATGTGTGGATTCATCTCACAAAGTTAAAACTTTCTTTTGATTTAAAATTTGGTAAACACTCTTTTTGGAGAATCTGCCAAGGGATATTTGACAGCCCATTGAGGCCTATTAGGAAAAACTGAATATCCCCAAATATAAAGCACAAGGAAGCCATCTGTGAAAATGCTTTCTGATGTGTGGATTCATTTTGCAAAGTTAAACCTTTCTTTTGATTCAGCAGATTGGAAACACTCCTATTGGAAAATGTGAAAAGGGGCATTTTGGAGCTTATTTGGCTTATGGTGAAAAACTGAATATCCCCAGATAAAAACTAGAGGGAAACTATCTGTGAGACTGCTTTGTGATATGTGGATTCATCTCACAGAGTTAAGGTTTCCTTTTTATTCAGTAAATTTACAACACTCTTTTTGGAGAATCTTCGAAGGTACATTTTGGTGACTGTGAGGCCTAAGGGGAAAAATTGATTATCCCTGGATAAAAACTAGAAAGAAGCTATTTGAGAAACTGCTTTGTGATGTGTGGATTCACCTTACAGGGGTAAAACTTTCTTTTGATGCAGCAGTTTGGGACCACTCTTTTTGTAGAATCTATAAAGGAATATTTGGGAGTCCATTGAGCCCTATGGGGGAAAACTGAATATACCCAGATAAAAACTAGAAAGAAGCTATGTGTAAAATGTAGTTGTGCTGTTTGACTCATCTCACAGTCACAGTGTTAAACCTTTCTTTTGATTCAGCTCGTTTGAAACAGCCTTTTTGAAGAATCTGCAAAAGGACATTTGGGAGCCCATTGAGGCTTAAAGGTAAAAATAAAATATTTCCAGATAAAAACCAGGAAGAAGCTATCTGTGAAACTGCATTCTGATGTGCAGACTCATCTCACAGATTTAAATCTTTCTTTTGATTCAGAAGTTGTAAACACTCTTTTTGGAAAATCTGAGAAGGGACATTTGGGAGCACATTGAGGCCCAAAGGGATACACGAAATATCCCCAGAAAAAAACTAGAAAGAAGCCATCTGTGAAACTGCTTTTGACGTGTGGATTTATTTGGCAGCGATAAACTTTTCTTTTGATTCAGCAGTTTGGAGACAACCTTTTTGTAGAATATGTGCAGGGACATTTGGGAGCTTATTGAGGCCTGTAGGTAAAAACAGAATATCCCCAGATACAAAGTAGAAAGAAGCTATCTGTGAAACTGCTTTTTGATGTGTGGATTCAGCACATAGAGTTAAACATTCTTTTATTCAGCAGGATGGAAACACTCTTTTTGGAAAATCTGTGAATGGATATTTGGGAACCCTTTGAGGGGTATGGGAAAAAATCGAATATTGCAAGATTAAAACTAGAAAGAAGTTAACTGTGAAACTGCTTTGTGATGTGTGGATTTATCTCAGAGTTAAAACTTTATTTTGATTCTGCTGGTAGTAAACACTATTCTTGGAGGATCTGTAAAGGGACATTTGAGAGCCCATTGAGGCCTATGGGGAAAAACCACATATCCCCTAATATAAACTACAAAAAAGCTGTCTGTGAAAACCCTTTGTGATGTGCGAATCCATCTTGTATTGTTAAATCTTTCTTTTGATTTGGCAGATTGGAAACACTCTTTTTGGAGAAACTGCAAAGGCACATTTTGAAGCCCATTGACGTCCATGGGGAAAAACAAAATATCCTCAGATAAAAGCTAGAAAGAAGCTATCTGTGAAACTGCTTTGTAAAGTGTAGATTCATCTCTCAGGGTTAAAACTTTCTTTTGATTCAGTGGGTTGGAAACTCTCTTTTTGGAGGACCTGCAAAGAAACATTTGGGAGCTTATTGAAGCTTACAAAGAAAAACTGAATATCCCCAGATAAAAGGTAGAAAAAAGCTATCTGTTAAACTGCTTTTTGATGTCTGCATTCAACTTACATAGTTAAACCTTTCTTTTCTTCAGCAGGTTGGAAACATTCTTTCTGGAGTATCTGCAATTAGACATTTTGTAACCCTTTTTGGCCTATGAGATAAAAGTGAATATCCCCAGATTAAAACAAGAAAGAATCTATCTGTGAAAATGCTTTGAGATGTGTGGATTCATCTCACAGTGGTAAAGCTTTCTTTGGATTCAGCACGTAAGAACCAATGTTTTTGTAGACTTCGTGAAGGGACATTTGGGAGCTGATTGAGCCCTATGGAGAAAAACTGAATATCCCTAAATAACAACAATGAATAACCTACCTGTAAAATTGTTTTGTGATGTGGAGATTCATCTCACAGGGTTAAAACTTTCTTTTAATTCACCAGGTTGGAAATACTCTTTTTGTAAAATCTGTGAAGGGATATTAGGGATCCCATCAAAAACCTGAATATCCCCAGATAAAAACTAGAAAAAACTATGTGTGAAACTGCTTTGGGATATGTGAATTATTCTCAAAGAGTTTAATCTTCCTATTGATTCAACAGACTTGAAACACTCTTTTTCTAGAATTTGCAAAGGGATATTTGGGAGCCCATTGAAGCCTATGTTGAAAAATCAAATATCCTCAGAAAAAAATTAGAAAGAATCTACTTGTGAAATTGCTTTGTGATGTGTGGGCTCATCTCATGGAGTTAAACCTATCTTTTGATTAAGAGGTTGAAAACACTTTTTGAGAATCTGCAAAGGAACATATAAGAACTCAATGAGGCTTTTGTGAAAAACTGAATATTCCCAGATGAAAACTAAAAAGAAGCTTTCTGTGAAACTGCTTGGTGATTTATAGATTCATCTCATCGAGTTAAAACTTTCTTTTGATTCAGCAGGTTAAAAACACTCTTTTTCCAAAATCAGCTAACAGGTATTTGGGACTACCTTGAGGCCTTCAAAGAAAAACTGAATATTCCCAGATAAAAACTAGAAAGAACCTGTCTGTGAAAATGCTTTGTGATTTGTGGATTAAATTCACAGAGTTAAGCCTTTCTTTTGATTCAGCAGGTTGAAAACACTCTTTTTGGAGAATCGGCAAAAAAACATTTGGGAGCCCACTGAGGCCTGGGGGAAACACTGAATATTCTCAGATGAAAACTAGAAAGAGCTATCTGTGAAACTGCTTTGTTATGTGTGGATTCATCTCACAGAAAGAAACCTTTCTTTTGATTCAACAGGTTGGAAACGCTCTTTTTGTAGAACCTGCAAAGGGACAGTTGGGAACTCATTGAAGCCTATGGGGAAAAAAAATCCACAGATAAAATCAATAAAGAAGCTATCTGTGCAACTGCTTTGTGATGTGTGGATTCTTCTCACACAGGTAAAGTTTTCTTTTGATTCAACAGGTTGGAAATACTCTTTTTGGAGAATCTGTGAAAGGACATTTGGATGTCCATTTGGGCCTATTGGGAAACAATGAATATCCCCAGATAAAAACCAGAAAGAAGCTATCTGTGAAACTGCTTTGTGACATGTAAATTCATCTGACAGAGTTAAACCTTTCTTTTGATTCAGCAGGTAGTAAACGCTCTTCTTGGAGGATCTGCAAAGGGACATTTGAGAGCCCATTGAGGCCTAAGGGGAAGAACGGAATATCCTCAGGTATAAACTACAAAGAAGCTGTCTGTGAAAATGCTTTGTGACGTGTGGATTCGTCTCATAAAGTTAAACCTTTCTTTTGATTCAGCATGTTGGCAACACTCTTTTTTGAGAATCTGTGAATGGATATCTTGGAGCTTATTGAGGCTTATGGGGAAATAGAGCATATCCCCAGAAAAAAACGTAGAAAGAAGTACCTGTGAAACTGCTTTTTTATTTGTGGATTCAACTTAAATAATTAAAGTTTTCTTTTATTCAGCAGGTTGGAAACAGTTTTTTTTGGAGTATCTGCGAATGGACATTTGGGAACCCTTTGAGGCCTATGGGGAAAAAACAAATATCCACATATTAAAAGAAGAAAGAACTTATCTGTGAAACTGCTTTGTGATGTGTGGTTCATCTCACAGAATTAAAACTTTTGTTTGATTCAGCAGGTTGAAAAAGCTTCTTTTGGAGAATTTGTGAAGGGACATTTTTGAGCTGATTGAGGCTTATGGGGAAAAACCGAATATCCCCAAATAAAAACCACAAATAATCTATCTGTAAAACTGCTTTGTGATGCGTAGATTCATCTTACAGTGTTAAACCTTTCTTTTGATTCAACAGGTTGGAAATAATCTTTTTGTAGAATCCATGAAGGGACATTTGGGATCCCATTGAGGCCTATCAAGAAAAACCTAATATCTCCAGATAAAAACTAGAAAGAAGCTATCTGTGAATCTGCTTTATGATATGTGGATTCTTCTCACATAGTTACATCTTTCTATTCATTGAACAGATTTGAAACACTCTTTTTCTAGGATCTGGTAATGGATATTTCAGAGCCCATTGAGGTCTATGTTGAAAAAAATTATCCCTAGAAAAAACTAGAAAGAAGCTATCTGTGAAACTGCTTCATGATGTGTTGATTCATCTGACAGAGTTAAACTGATCTTTTTATTAAGCAGGTTGGAAACACTCTTTTCTGAGAATCTCTGAAGAGAAATAAAGGAGCCAATTGGGGGCCAGGTGTGGTGGCTCATGCCTGTAATCCCAGCAATTTGGGAGGCTGAGTCAGGGGGATCATGAGATCAGGAGATCAAGACCATCCTGGCTAATGTGGTGAAAACCTGTCTCTACTAAAAATACAAAAAAAATTAGCTGGGCATGTTGATGGGCCCCTATAGTCCCAGCTGCTTGGGAGGCTGAGGCAGGAGAATGGTGTGAACCTGGGAGGCAGAACTTGCAGTGAGCTGAGATCGCACCACTGCACTCCAGCCTGGGTGACAGAGCGAGACTCCATCTCAAAAAAAAAAAGAAAAAGGAGCCCATTGGGGCATATGTGGAAAAACCGAATATTCCCAGATAAAAACTACAAAGAAGCTTTTAGTTAAACTGTTTTGTGGTGCGTGGATTCATTTCATAGAATTAAACCTTTCTTTTAATTCAGCAGGTTAAAAACTCTTTCCAAAATCTGCCAACAGATATTTGGGATCCCCTTGGGTCCTAAAGGAAAAACTGAATATTACCAGATAAAAACTAGAAAGAACCTATCTATGAAACTGCTTTGTGATGTATGGGTGAAATACACAGAGTTAAACCTTTCTTTTGATTCAGCAGATTGAAAATAATCTTTTTGGAGAATCTCTGAAAAACAAATTTGAGAGCTCATTGAGGCCTGTGGGGAAAAACTGAATATCACCAGATTAAAACTGGAAATAAGCTATCTGTGAAACTTTGTGATGTGTGGATTCATCTCACAGAAAGAAACTTTCTTTTGATTCAGCGGTTTTGAAACACCCTTTTTTGAGAATCTGCAAAGGGACAGTTGGGAGCTGTTTGAGGTTTTATGGGGAAAAATTTAATATCTTCAGATATAATTAAAAAAGAAACTATCTGTGAAACTCCTTTGTGAGATGTGGACATTTGAGTGCCCTTTCAGGCCTATTGGGAAAAACTGAATAACCCCAGATAAAAACCAGAAAGAAGCCGTCTGTGAAACTGCTTTGCA
The DNA here is from genome assembly GCF_000001405.40 of Homo sapiens. Taxonomy (NCBI): domain Eukaryota; kingdom Metazoa; phylum Chordata; class Mammalia; order Primates; family Hominidae; genus Homo; species Homo sapiens. The sequence goes on from NC_000010.11 coordinate 39,132,401, forward strand.
ATGTGTGGATTCATCTCACAGAGTTAAAACTTTCTTTTGATTCACCATGTTGGCAACACTCTTTTTGTAGAATCTGCAAAGGGACATTTGGGAACACATTGAGTCCAATAGGGAAAAATTGAATACCCCATAAAAAAGTAGAAAAAAGCTATATGTGAATCTGCTTGGTGATGTGTAAATTCAACTCACAGAGGTAAACATTTCTTTTGTGTCAACAGGTTGGAAACACTCTTTTTGGAGAACCTGTGAAAAAATGTGAAAGCCCATTGAGGGCAATGGGGAAAAACTTAATATCTCCAGATAAAAATGAGAAAGAAACTATTTGTGCATCTGCTTTATGATATGTTGATTCATCTCACATAGGTAAACCTTTCTCTTCATTCAGCAGGTTGGAAACAATCTGATTGGAGAATCTGCAAAGGGACACATGGCAGCCCATTGAGGTCCACAGAGAAAAGCCAAATATCCCTATATAAAAACTAGAAAGAATCTATCTGTGAAAGTGCTTTGTGATGTGTGAACTCATTTACAGAGTTTAAAATTTCTTTTGATTCAGCGAGATGGAAACACTCTTTTTGTAGAATAAGAAAAAGGACACTTTGGAGTCCCTTAAGGAGTATGGGGAAAATGGAATATTCCCATATAAAAACCAGAAACATCTTTCCATGAAACTGCTTTGTGATGTTTTGATTCATCTCACAGAGTTAAACCTTCCTGTTGATTCAGCAGATTGGAAACACACTTTTTGGAGACTCTGCAAAGGGAAATTTTAGAGCCAATTGACGCCTAAGAAAGTTACCTGTGAAGGTGTTTTGTGAATGCTGGATACATATTAGAGAGTTAAACCCTTGTCTTGATTCAACAGGTTGGAAAAAACTCTGTTTGTAGAAGCTGCAAAGGGAAATTTGGGTGCTCAAATAGGCCTATGGGGAAATACCGAATATCACTAGGTAAAAATCACAAAGAAGCTATCTGTGAAACTGCTTTGTGATATGGGGATTTATCTCACAGAATTAAATCTTTCTTTTAGTCAGCATTGGAAACACTGTTTTTGGAGAATCTGCAAAGGGACACTTGTGAAACCTTTGAGGCCTATGGGGAATAACTGAATATCCCTAGATTAAAACTGGAAAGAAGTAATCTCTGAAGCAGCTTTGTGATGTGTGGATTCAGCTCACAGAGTTAAAACTTTCTTCTGATTCAGCGGGTTGTGAACACTCTTTCTGGAGATTCTGCAAAAAAAACATTTGGGAGCCCACTGAGGCATATGGGGAAAGACCAAATATTCCCAGATAGAAACTAGAATGAAGCTATCTGTGGAACTGATTTGTGATATGTGGATTCATCTCACAGTGTGAAACTTTTCTTCTTGTTCAACAGGTTGTAAACAATCTTTTTGTAGACTCTGTGAAGGGACATTTGGGAGCCCATTGAGACCTACGAGAGAAAAAAAAATCCACAGATAATGGGAAGAAAGAAGCTACCTCTAAAACTGCTTTGTGGTGTTTGGATTCAGCTCTCAGAGTTAAACTTTTCCTTTGAATCAGCAGGTTGGAAGCACTCTTTTTGGAGAATCTGCGAAGGGACATTTGAGAACCCATTGAGGCCTATGGAGAAAAACTGAACATCCCGAAATAAAAACTACAAAGAAGTTATCTGTGAAACTGCTTTGTGACTTGTAGATTCATCTCACGAAGTTAAACTTTTCTTTAGATACAGTAGTTTGGAAACACTCTTTTGGTAGAAACTGCAAACAGATATTTGGGAGCACATTGAGGCCTATGGGGAAAAATGGAATATCCCCAGATAAAAATTAGGAAGAAGCTATCTGTGAAACTCCTTTGTGATGTGTCGATTCATCTCACAGACTTAAAACTTTCTTTTCATTCAGCAGGATGGAAACACTCTTTTTGTAGAATCTGCGAAGGAACATTTGGGATCCCATTGAGTTTATGGAGAAAAACAGAGTATCCCAAGATAAAAACTATAAAGGAGATATCTGTAAAACTGCTTTGTGTTGTTGGACTCACCTGACAGTATTAAACCTTTCATTTGATTTAGTAGGTTTGAAGTGCTCTTTTTGGAGATACTGTGAAGGGACATTCGGGAGCCCATTGAGGTTTATGGGAAAAAAACAGAATATCCCCAGAAAAAAACTAGAAAGCAGGTTTCTGTGAAACTGCTTTGTGATGTGTGGATTCATCTCACTGAGTTAAACCTTCCTGTTAATTCAACAGATTGGAAACACACTTTTTGGAGACTCTGTGAAGGGACATTTTAGAGCCCACTGAGGCCTAAGAAAGAAAACTGAATATCCCTAGGTATAAACTAGAAAGAAGCTATCTGTGAAACTACCTCTTGAAGTGTGGATTCATCTCATAGAATTAAACCATTCTTTAGATTCAGCAGGTTGGAAACACCCTTTTTGGAGACTCTAAAAAGGGACATTTGTGAGCCTGTGGAGGCTTATTCAGAGAAACCGAATATTCAAAGGTAAAAACTAGAAAGAAGCTTTCTGTGAAACTGCTTTTTGATGTGTGCATTCATTTCACAGAGTTAGAACTTTTTTTGATTCAGCAGTTTGGAAGCACTCTTACTGTAGAATATGTGAAGGGAGATTTGAGAGCTCATTGAGGCCTATGGGGAAAAACTGAGTATGGCCAGATAAAAACTAGAAATAAGCTATTTGTGAAACTGCTTTGTGATGTGTGGATTCATCTCACAGAGGTTGGAAATTCTCTTTTTGTAGAACCTGTGAAGGGACATTTCATAGGCCATCAAGGCCTATGGGGAAAAACAGAATATCCCCAAATAAAAACTAGGAAGAAGCTATTTGTGAAACTGCCTTGTGACTTGTAGATTCCTCTAACATAGGTAAACTTTTTTTTTGATTCAGCGGATTGGAAACATTCTTTCTGGAGTATCTGCATAGGGACATTTGGGAGCTCATTGATGCCTAAGGGAAAAAACGAATATCCCCATACAAAAACTAGAAAAAACTATCTGTGAAACTGCCTTGTGATGTGTGGATTCATCTCAAAGAGTTAAATTTTTTTTTGATCAAGCAGGTTGGATACACTGTTTTTGTAGAATCTGCAAAGAGACATTTGGGAGCCTAATGAGGCTTACCTAAAAACCAAATATTGCCAGATAAAAACTAGAAAAAAACTATCTGTTAAACTGCTTTGTGTTGTGTGCATTCATCTCACAGAGATGAACCTTTCTTTTGACCCAGCAGGTTGGAAACACTGTTTTTGGATAAACTGAGAAGGTGCTTTTGGGAGCCCATTGAGGCCTATGGAGAAAAACTGAATATCTCCTCATAAAAACTAGAAAGAAGCTATCTGTGAAACTGCTTTGTGATTTGTAAATCCATCTCAGAGTTAAACCTTTCTTTTGTTTCAGCAGATTGGAAGCACTGTTTTTACAGAATTTATGAAGTGATATTTGGGATAACATTGAGGCCTATGGGGAAAAGCCAAATATCCCAAGATAAAAACAAGAAAGAAGCTATGTGTGAAATGGCTTTGTGACATGTGGATTCATCACACAGAATTAAAACATTCTTTTGATTGAGCAGGTTGGAAATGCTCTAACTGGAGAATCTGCAGACGAACATTTGGAAGCCCATTGAGGCCTAAGGGGAAAAATCAAATATCCCCAGAAAAAAAAACTAGAAAAAATCTATCTGAGAAACTGTTTCATGATGTGTGCATTCATCTCACAGAGTTAAACATGTTTTTTGATTCAGCAGATTGAAAATACGTTTTTTTGTAGAATCTGTGAAGGAAAATTTGGGAACCCATCAAGGCCTTTTGGGAAAGACTGAATATCCTCAAATAAACACTAGAAAGAAGTTATCTGTGAAACACCTTTGTCATGTATGGATTCATCTCACAGGGTCAAATCTTCCTTTTAACTGAGCAGCTTGGAAACATTCTTTTAGGAAATCAGTAAAGGGACATTTGGGAGCCCATTGATGCCTATGGGGCAAAACTGATTCTGCCCAGATGAAATCCAGAAATAAGCTATCTGTGAAAGAAATTTGTGGTGGGTGGATTCATCTTTTAAATTTTTCTTTTAATCTAGCAGGTTGGAAACAATCTTTTTGTAGAATCTGTGAAGGGACATTTGGGAGCCCATTGAGGTATATGGGGAAAAATCCAATATCCTAATATAGAAACTGGAAAGAAGATATCTGTGAAACTGCTTTGTGATGTGTGAATTCATCTCACAAAGTTAATCCTGCCTGTTGATTAAGTAGGTGGACAACACCCTTTTTGGAATATCTGGGAAGGGACAATTTTTAGAGCATTTGCATGTATGGGGAAAAAGAGAATAAAGAAGATAAAAACTAAAAAGATGCTATCTTTGAAATTGCTTTGTGATGTGCAGATTCATCTAACGGAGTTCAGTCTTTCTTTTGATTCAGCATGTGGGAAACACTCTTTTGTAGAATCTCCCAAGGGTCATTTGGGAGTTTATAGAGGCCTATGGGGAGAAACTGAATATCTCGAGATAAAAACTAGAAACAAGCTATCTGTGAAATTGCTTTTTGATGTGTGGATTCATCTCACAGAGTTAAACATTTTATTTGATCCAGCAGGTTGGAAACACTTTTGTTGAATCTGTGAAGTGACCTTTTGGAGCCCTTGAGGCCTACAGGGAAAAACAGATTATCACCAGATAAAAGCTAGAAAGAAGCTATCTGTGAATCAGCTTTGTGAAGTTTGGACACTTATCACAGAGTTAAACATTTCTTTTGATTCAGCTGGTTGGAAACACTCTTTGTGGAGATTCTGGGAAGGGACATTTGGGAGTCCATTGAGGCCTATGGGGATAAACAGAATATCCACAGAGAAAACTAGAAAGAAGTTATCCGTGAAATGCTTTGTGATATGTGGATTCATCTCACAGAGGTAAATTTTTCATTTGATTTAGCTTATTGGAAACACTCCTTTTGGAGGCTTTGCAAAGGGACATTTCTGAGCCATTGAGGCCTATGGGGAAAAATTGAATATCCTTGTATAAAAACTAGAAAGAAGCTATCTGTGAAACTGCTTTGTGATGTGTGGATTCATCTCACAGGGGTAAAACTTTCGTTTGACTCAGCAGATTGGAAGCACTCCTTTTGGAAACTCTGCAAAAGAACATTTGTGAGCCCATTGAAGCCTATGGGGAAAAATTGAATATCCACAGATTAAAAACTAGAAAGAAGCTATCTGGGAAACTGCTTTGCGTTGTGTGGATTCGTCCAAAAGAGTTAAGCCTTTCTTTTGATTCAGCAAGTTGGAAAAACTCTTTTTGGAGGAACTGGGAAGGGACATTTCAGAGCCCATTGTTACCTATCGGGGAAATGCCAATATCACCAGATTAAACTTAGAAAGAAGCTATCTGTGAAACTGCTTTGTGGTATGTGGGTGCATCCCACAGAGTTAAGCCTCTCTTTTGATTCAGCAAGTTAGAAAAACTCTTTGTGGAGAATCTGGGAAGGGACATTTGGGAGTCAATTGAGGCCTATGGGGAAAAACTAAATATCTACAGAGAAAAACTAGAAAGAAGTTATCTGTGAAACAGCTTTGTGATGTGTGGATTCATCTCACAGAGGTAAATCTTATTTTGATTCAGCATGTTGGAAACACTCCTTTTGGAGACTCTGCAAAGAGACATTTTTGAGCCCCTTGAGGCCTATGGGGAAAAATTGAGTATCCTTGTATAAAAACTAGAAAGAAGCTATATGTGAAACTGCTTTGTGATGTGTGGGTTCATCTCACAGACGTAACACTTTCGTTTGACTCAGCATACTGGAAGCACTGTTTTTGGAGACTCTGCAAAGGGACATTTTTTGAGCCCATTGAAGCCTATGGGGAAAAATTGAATATCCCCATATAAAAAATAGAGAGAAGGTATCTGTGAAACTGCTTTGTGATTTGAAATTCATCTCAAAGAGTTAAACATTTGTTTTGATTCAGCAAGTTGGAAACATTCTTTTTGTGGTATCGGTGAAGGGACAATTTGGAGCCCAATGAGGCCTATGGGGAAAAACCAAATATCCTCAGATGAAAACCAGAAAGAAATTATCTGTGAAACTGCTTTCAGTTGTGTGGATTCATCCAACAAAGTTAAACTTTTATTTTGATCTAGCAGGTTGGAAACACTCTTTTCATGGAATATGCAAAGGGACATTTGTGAGCTCATTGATGCCTATTGGGAAAATGACAATATCCCCAGATAAAAACTAGAAAGAAAGTATCTGTGAAACTGCTTTGTGATACATGAGGGCATCTCACAGAGTTAAGCATTTCTTTTGATTCAGCAAGTTGGAAAAACTCTTTCTGGAGAATCTGCAAAGGGACATTTTGGAGCCCATTAAAGCCTATGGGGAAAAAAAGGAATATCCCCAGATAAAAACTGGAAACAAGGAACCTGTGAAACTGCTTTGTGATGGGTGGATTCATTTCACCATGTTGAACCTTTCTCCTGATGCAGCATGTTGGAAACACTCTTATTGGAGAATATGCAAAGAGACATTTGGGAGCTCTTTCAGGCCTATTCAGAAAAACAGAATAACCCCAGATAAGAACGAGAAAGAAGCTATTTGTAAAACTGCTTTGTGATTTGTGGATTCATCTCACAGAGTTAAAACGTTTTTTGATTCATTGGATTTTAAACACTCTTTCTGTAGAACCTGTGAAGGGACATTTTGGAGCCTATTGAGGCCTATGGGGAAAAAAACAAATATCCACAGATAAAAACTAAAAATAAGCTATCTGTGAAACTACATTGTGATGTGTGGATTCATCTCAGAGAGTTAACTCTTTATTGTTATCCAGAAGAGTTGAAACACTCTTTTTGTAGAATCTGCAAAGGGACACTTTTAGGTCCCTTAAGTCCTATGAAGGAAAGAGAAAATCCACAGATAAAAACTGAAAAGAAGCTATCTGGTAAACTGCTTTGTGATGTGTGGATTCATCTAACAGAGTTAAACCTTTCATTTGATTCAGCTGGTTGGAAACACTCTAATTGCAGCATCTGTAAAATGACATCTGGGAGCCGAATGTGACCTATGGGGAAAACCCGAGTTTCCTCATAAAAACTAGAAAGAAGAAATCTATGAAACTTCTTTGTGATGTGTGGATTCATCTGAGAGAGACAAACCTCTCTTTTGATTCAGGAGGTTGGAAACACTGTTTTTGGAGGGACATTTGGGAGCCAATTGGAGAGAAACAGAATATCCCTACATAAAAATTAGAAAGTGTCAATCTGTAAAGCTGCTTTGTGCCATGCAGATTCATCTCATGGAATTAAAACTTTCTTTTGATTCAGCAGGTTAGAAATACTCTTTTTGTAGAATTTGTGAATGGACATTTGGGAGCCCATTTAGGTATGCAAATGAAAACTGAATATCTACAGATAAAAACTAGAAAGAAGCTCTCTGAGAAACTGCTTTGTGATGTGTGGACTCATCTCACAGAATTAAACCTTTCTTTTGACTCAGCAGGACGGAAACACTCTTTTTAGAGAATCTGAGAAGGGACACTTGGGAGCCCATTGTGGCCTATGGGTAAAAATAAATAATCCAAAATAAAAACTAGAAAGAAGCTATCTGTGCAACTGCTTTTCATTGTTTGGGTGCATCTCACAGAGTTAAACATGTCTTTTGATACAGAAGGTTGGAAACACTCTTTTTGAAGAATCTGAGAATGGACATTTTGGAACCCTTTGAGTCCTATGGGGAAGAACTAACTATCCCCAGATAAAAACTGGAAAGAAGCTGTCTGTGAAACTGCTTTGTGGTGTGTGGAGTGTTCAAACTTTCTTCTGATTCAGCAGGTTGAAAAAAATCTTTTAGGAGAATCTGTGTAGGGACAGTTGGGAGCATATTGGGGTTTATGGGGTAATACTGAATATCCAGAGATAAAAACTATAAGTAAGGTATCTGTGAAACTATTTTTTTGGGTGTATGGATTCACTTCACAGAGTTAAAGCTTTGTTTTGATTCAGCGGTTTGCAAACACTGTTTTTGCAGAATCTGCAAATGGACATTTGGGAGTCTATATAGGCCTAATGAGAAAAACTGAATATGCCCAGGAAAAAACGAGAAAGAAGCTATTTGTGAAACAGCTTTGTGATATGTGGATTCATCTCACAGAGTTAAACCTTTCTTTTGATTCAGCAGGCTGGAAACACTCGTTTCGGAAAATCTGAGAAGTGATATTTCAGAGCCCAATGAGACCTCTGGGGCAAAAAGATTATCCGCAGATAAAATCTAGAAAGACGCTATCTGTGAAAGTGCTTTGTGATGTGTCAGTTCATCTCACAAAATTAAAACATTCTTTTGTTTCAGCAGATTGGAAACATTCTTTTTGGAGAATCTACAAAAGAACATTTGGGATCTAATTGAGGCGTACGGGGAAAACTCGAATATTTCCAGAGAAAAACTAGAATGTGGCAATCTGTGAAACTGCTTTCTGATGTGTGGATTCATCTCACAGAGCTAATCCTTTCTTTTCATTCAGAATGTTTGAAACACTCTTTTTGTAGAGTCTGTAAAGTGACATTTGGGAGCCCTTTGAGGTCTATGGAGAAAAACCGAATGTCTCCAGAAAAAAAACTAGAGAAAAGCTATCTGTGAAACTGCTTTGTGATGTGTAGATTCATCTCACAGAGATAAACCTTTCTTTTGATCCAAAACGTTAGAAACTATTTGGAAAGTCTGTAAAAGGACATTTGGGAGCCCATTTAAGAATGCACACATCACAAAGCAGTTTCTCAGAAAGCTTCTTTCTTGTTTTTATCTGATGATATTTTCTTTTTCACCAGAGGCTTCAATGTGCTCCCAAACGTCCTTTCACGGATTCTACAAAAACCCTGTTTAAACACTGCTGAAAAAAAGAAAGGATTAACTCTGAGAGATAAATGCACACAAAAAGAAATGGGTTCTCAGATAGCTTCCTTCTAGTATTTTATTTTTTTTTTTTTGGTGGGGGAGATATTCGCTTTTTCACCACTGGCCACAATGAGCTCTGAAATATCCATTCACAGAACGTACATAAGCAGTGTTTCCAAACTGCTGAATCATAAGAAAGGATTAAATCTGTGAGAAGAATGCACACACCATGAAGCTGTTTCTCAGATATCTCCCTGTTTTGATCTTGGGATATTGGCTTTTTCATCATTAGCCTCAATGAGCTATGAATGTCCATTTGCAGAATGTGCAAAGGCAGTGTTTCCAAACTGCTGAATCAACAGAGACTTTTAAATCTGTGAGATGAATGCATACATCACAAAGCAGCCTCTCAGATAGCTTCCTTCTAGTTTTTCTCTTCAGATATTTGCTTTGTCATTGTTGCCCTCAATGAGCTATCAAATGTCCATTTGTAGAATGTCAAAGAACAGTGTTTCCAAAATACTGAGTTGAAAGAAAGGTTTAACTCTGTGAGGTGAATGCACACATCACAGAGCAGTTTCTCAGAAAGCTTCTTTCCAGTTTTTATCTGAATACATTTTCTTTTTCACCGTAGCCCTCAATACACTCCCAAATGTCCTTTTGCAAATTCTACAAAAACAGAGTTTTGAAACTTCTGAATCAAAAGAAAGGTTTATTCTGTGAGAAGAAGGCATATATCACAAAGTGGTTTTTCAGATAGCTTCCTTCTAGTTTTTATCTTGGGATATTCACTTTTTCACCTTTGGCCTCAATGAGGTACAAAATGGCAATTCAGAGATTGTACAAAAATATTGTTTCTAAACTGCTGAATCAAAAGAAAGTTTTACTTCTGTGAGGTGAATGCACACAAAACAAACTAGTTTCTCAGAAAGCCCCTTTATAGTTTACATTTGAAGGTATTTTCTTTTTTACCATAGGCCCAAATGCACTCCCAAATGTCCTTTCACAGATTACGCAAAAACAGTGTTTCCAAACTGCTGAAGCAAAAGAAAGTTTTAACTCTGTGAGAAGAATGCAAACAGCACAAAGCAGTTTCTGAGATAGCTTTCTTCTAGTTTTTATATTGGGATATTCATATTTTCACCATTGGCCTCGATGAACTCCTAAATGTCCATTCAAAGAATGGACAAAAACAGTGTTTCCAAACTGCTGAATCAACTTAAAGGTTTAAACCTGTGAGAGGAATGCACACAGAACAAGGCAGTTTCTCAGAAAGCTTCTTTCTAGTGTTTATCTTGGGATATTCACTTTTTAACTATTCGTCACAGTGAGCTCCGAAATATCCATTTGCAGAATGTACAGAATCAGTTTTTCCCAACTGCTGAATGAACAGAAATGTTTAACTCTGTGAGATGAATGCACACAGCACAAAGCAGTTTCTCAGATAGCTTCCTTCTAGGTTTTATTCTTGGATATTCACTTTTTTGCCTTTGGCCTCAATGAGTTCCCAATTGTCCATTAGCTTTGTGCATTAAAGGCAATGGAGAAATAGTGAATATCCCAGGATAAAAACTAGAAGGAAGCTATATGAGAAACTGCTTTGTGATATGCGCATTCATCTCACAGAGTTAAACCTTTCTTTTCATTCTCCAGTATTGAAACACTCCTTTTGCAGAATCTGCAAAGAGATATTTCAGAGAGCATTGAGGCCTATGGTGAAGTATGAAACATCGTCAGATAAAAACTAGAAAGAGGCTTTCTGAGAAACTGCTTTGTGATGTGTGCATTCATCTCACAGAGTTAAAACTTTCTTTAGATACAGCAGTTTGGAAACACTGTTTTTGACCATTCTGCGAAGAGACATTTGGGAGCTCATTGAGGCCAATGGCAAAAAAGGGAATTTACCAGGATAAAAATTAGAAGGAAGCTATCTGAGAAAACTCTTTGTGAGGTGTGCATTCATCACACAGAGTTAAACCTTTCTTTTCATTCAGCAGTTTGGAAACATTGTTTTTGTAGGATCTGCAAAGGGATAATTCAGAGAGCATTGAGGCCTATATTGAAAAAGGAATCATCTTCAGATAAAAACTAGAAAGAAGCTTTCTGAGAAACGACTTTGGGCTCTGTGCCTTCATCTCACAGAGTTAAAACTTTCTTTGGATTCAGCAGTTTGGAAACACTGTTTTTATAGAATATGCAAAGGGATATTTCGGAATGAATTGAGGCCTATGGTGAAAAAGGAAACACCTTCAGCTAAAAACTAGAATCTTTCTGAGAAACTGCTTTGTGATGTGTGCATTCGTCTCACAGACTTAAGCCTTTCTTTGGATTCAGCAGTTTGGAAACACTGCTTTTGTCCATTCTGCGAATGGACATTTCCCAGCTCATTGAGGCTAATGGCGAAAAAGTGAGTATCTCAGGATAAAAACTAGAAGGAAGCTATCTGAGAAACTGCTTTGTGATGTGTGCATTCGTCTCATGGAATCAGAGCTTTCTTTCTTTTCATTCAGCTGTTTGGAAACAGTGTTTTTGTAGGTTCTGCAACGGGATATTCTGGAGAGCATTGAGACCTAAGGTGAAAAAGGAAACATCTTCAGATAAAAATTAGAAGGAAGCTTTCTGAGAAACTGCTTTTTCATATGTGCATTTATCTCACAGAGTTCAACTTTTCTTTGGATTCCACAGTTTGGAAGCACTGTTTTTGTCCATTCTGTGAATGGACATTTTGGAGCTCACTGAGGCCAATGGCAAAAAAGCAAATATCCCAGTCTAAAAACTAGAATGACGCTATAAGAGAAACCACTTTGTGAGGTGTGCATTCATCTCACAGAGTTAAACTTTTCTGTTCATTCAGCAGTTTGGGAGCTCGGTTTTTGTAGAATCTGCATTTGGGAACTCAGTTTTTGTAGAATCTGCAAAAGGATATTTCTATGTGCATTGAGGCCTATGGTGAAAAAGGAAACATCTTCAGATAAAAACTAGACGGAGGCTTTGTGAGAAACTGCTCTGTGATTCTGTGATGTGTGCATTCAACTCAAAGATTCAAACCTTTCTTTGATTTCAGCTGTTTGGAACACTGTTTTTGTCCCTTTTGTGAATGGACATTTTGTAGCTCATTGGGGTCAATGGCAGAAAAGTGAATTACCCAACAATAAAAATGAGAAAGAGGTTATGTGAGGAACTGCATTGTAAGGTGTGCATTCATCTTTCAGAGATGAAAGTTTTTCATTCAGAAGTTTGAAAACGCTTTTTGTAGAATATTTAAAGGGATATTTCAGAGAGCATTGAGGCCTATGGTGGAAAAGGAAGCATCTTCAGGTAAAAACTACAAAGAAGCTTTCTGAGAAACTGCTATGTGATGCCTGCATTCATCTCACAATGTTTTCCTTGAATTCTGCACTTTAGAAATATTGTTTTTTTCCGTTCTGTGAATGGACATTAGGGAGCTCATCGGGGCCAAAGGCGAACAAGCAAATATCCCAGGATAAAACCTAGAAGGAAGCTATCTGAGAAAAGCCTTTAGTATGTGCGCATTCACCTCGCAGAGTTAAACCTTTCTTTTCATTCAGCAGTTTGTAAACACTATTTTTGAATAATCTGCAAAGGGATATTTTGGAGAGCATTGAGGCCTATCATGAAAAAAGAAACATCTTCAGATAAAAAATAGAAAGATTCTTTCTGAGAAACTGCTTTGTGATGTGTGCCTTCATCTCAGAGTATTAAACCTTTCTCTGGATTCAGAAGTTTGGAAACACTGTTTTTATCCATTCTGCGAATGGACATTTGGGAGCTCGTTGAGGCCAATGTTGAAAATGCAAATGTCCCAGGATAAAAGCTACAAGGGAGCAGTCTCAGAAACTGCTTTGTGATGTGTGCATTCATCCCTCATAGAAAAACGTTTCTTTTCATGCAGCTGTTTGTAAATATTGCTTTTGTAGACTCTCTGAAGGGAGATATTGGAGCACTTTGTGGCCTATATTGACAATGGAAACACCCTCAGATAAAAACTAGAAAGAAGCTTTCTGAGAAACTACTTTGTGATGTGTGCATTCATCTCACAGAGTTAAATCTTTCTTTTAATTCGGCTATATGGAAACACTCTTTTTGTCCATTGTGTGAATTGTCATTTGGTAGCTCAATGAGGGCAATGGAGAAAAAGCAAATTACCCTAGGGTAAAAACTAGAAGGAAGCTAAGTAGGAAACCACACAGCTATGTGTGCATTCATTTCTCAGAGTTAAACCTTTCTTTTCTTTCAGCAGTTAGGGAGGACTGTTTTTGTTGAATCTGCTAAGGCATATTTGGGAGAGCATTGAGTCTTGTGGTGTAAAAGGAAACATCTTCAGATAATAACTAGAAAGAAGCTTTCTGAGAAAGTGCTTTGTGAAATATGCATTCATCTCACAGAGTTAATTTTGGATTCAGCAGTTTGGAAACACTGTTATTGTCTATTCTGCAAACGGACATTTGGGAGATCATTTAGGCCAATTGCAGAACAGAAAATGTCTGAGGATGAAAACCAGAAGGAAGCTATCTGAGAAATCACTTTGCAACATGTGCATTCATCTCACAGAGCTAAAGTTTCCTTTTCACTCATCAGTTTGGAAACCCTGTTTGTTTAGAATCTGCAAAGGGATATTGTGGAGAGCATTGAGGCCTAAGGTGAAAAAGGAAACATCGTCACATAAAAATTAGAAAGAAGCTTTCTAAGAAACTGCTTTATGATGTGTGCAATCATCTTACAGAGTTAAACTTTTCTTTGGATTCAGCAGTTGGGAAACACTGTTTTTGTCCATTCTACAATTGCACATTTTGTAGCTCATTGAGGCCAATGGCAAAAAAGCAAGTGTCCAAGGATAAAAACTACAAGAAAGCTATCTCAGAAACAGCTTTGTGATATTTGCATTCATCCCTCAGAGATAAACCTTTCTTTTCATGGAGCTGTTTGTAAACACTGTTTTTGTAGAATCTTCAAAGTGATATTATAGTGTGCATTGAGGACTATGGTGAAAAAGGAAACATCTTCATATAAAAACTAGAAAGAAGTTTTCTGAGAAACTGCTTTGTGATGTGTACATTAATCTAAAAAAGTTAAACATTTCTTTGGATTCAGCCAGTTGGAAACTGTTTCTGTCCAATCTGCAAATGGACATTTGGGAGTTCTTTGAGGCCAATGGTGAAAAAGCAATTATCCCAGGATAAAAACTAGATGGAAGCTATCTGAGAAACTGCTTATTGATGTGTTCATTCATCTCACAGAGTTAAACCTTTCTTTTCATTCAGCAGTTTGGAAATACTCTGTTTTCAGACTCTGCAAAGGGATACTTCAGAAAGCATTTAGGCCTATGGTGAAAAATGAAACATCTGCAGATAAAAACAGGAAAGAAGGTTTCTGAGAAACTACTTTGTGATGCATGCATTCATCTCACAGAGTTATACCTTTGTTTGGATTCAGCAGTTTGGAAACACTGTTTTTGTCCATTCTGTGAAAGGACATTTCGGAGCTTGTTGAGACCAATGGAGAAGAAGTGAATATCCCAGGATACAAACTAGAAGGAAGCTATCTGAGAAACTAATTTGTGATGTGCACATTTACTCCCAGAGGTAAGTCTTTCTTTTCATTCAGCAGTTTGGAAATGATTTTTTTGGATAATCTGCAAAGAGATATTTTGGAGAGCATTGAGGTCTATGGTGAAAAAGGAAATATCTATAGATAAAAAATAGAAATAAGATTTCTGAGAAACTGCTTTGTGATGTGTTTGTTCATCTGACAGACTTAAAGCTTTCTTTGGATTCAGTAGTTTGCAATGAGTGTTTTTGTTCATTCTGTGAATTGACATTTTGGAGCTGATTGAGGCCAATGGTGAAAAAGCAAATATCCCAGGAAAGAACTAGGTGGAAGATATCTGAGAAACTGCTATGTGATGTTTGCATTCATCACGTAGAGTTAAAATTTTCTTTGGATTCAGCAGTTTGGAAACACTGTTTTTGTGCATTCTACAAATGGATATTTGGGAGGTAATTGAGGCAAAATGTGAAAAAGTGAATATCACTTTATAAACACTAGAAGGATGCTATCTGAGAAACTGCTGTGTGATGTGTGCATTCATCTGACTGAGTTAAAGCTTTCTTTTCACACAGCAGTTTGGAAACAGTGTTTTTGTAGAATCTGGAAAGGTATATTTCAGAGAGCATTGAGGCCTATGGTGAAAATGGAAACAGCTTCAGATAAAAACAGGAAAGAAGCTTTCTGAGAACCTCCTTTGTGATGTGTGCATTCATCTCACAGATTTTAACTGTTCTTTGGATTCAGTAGTTTGGATACACTGCTTTGTTCCATTCTGTGAATGGACTTGTGGGAGCTCATTGGGCCCAATGGCAAAAGAGTGAATATCCCAGGATAAAAACAAGAAGGACTCTATCTGAGAAACTGAGAAACTGCTTTATGATGCATGTGCGTGCATTCATCTCACTGAGTTATACCTTTCTTTTCTTTCAGCAGTTTGGAATCACTGTTTTTTTAGAATCTGTGAAGAGATATTTCAGAGAGATTTGAGATCTATGGTGAAAAAGGAAACATCAGCAGATAAAAACTAGAAAGAAGCTTTCTGAGAAATTGCTTTGTGATGTGTGCATTCATCTCACTGACTTAAAACTTTCTTCAGATTCAGTGGTTTGGAAACAATTTTTTTTCTATTCTGCAAATGGACATTTCGGAGCTCTTTGGGGCCAATGGCAAAAGAGGGAATATCCCAGGATAAAAACAAGATAGAAGCTAACAGAGAAACGGCTATGTGATCTCTCTATTCATCTCACAGAGTTAAACTTTTCTTTTCATTCAGCAGTTTGGAAACACTGTTTTTGTAGAATCTGCAAAGGGATATTTCAGAGAGCATTGAGGCTTATGGTGAAAATGGAAACACCCTCAGATAAAAACTAGAAGGACGCTTTCTGAGAAACTGCTTTGTGATGTGTGCATTCATCTCACAGAGTCAAACCTTTGTTTACATTCAGCTGTTTGGAAACACTGTTTTTGTAGAATCTACAAAGGGATATTTCAGAGAGCATTGAGGCCTATGGTGAAAAAGGAAACATCCTCAGATAAAAACCAGAAAGAAGCTTTCTGATAAACTGCTGTGTTATGTGTGCATTCATGTCACAGAGGTAAAACTTTCTTTCAATTCAGTAGTATGGAAACATTGTTTTTGTCCATTCTGAAAATTGACATTTGGGAGCTCATTGTGGCCAATGGTTAAAGAGCGAATATTCCAAGGTAAAAACTAGAAGGAAGCTATCTGAGAAACTGCTTTGTGATGTGTGTATTCATCTAACAGAATTAATCCTTTCTTCTCATTCAGCCGTTTAGTAACACGGATTTTTTTAAGAATTTACAAAGGGATATTTCGGAGAGCATTGAGGCATATGTGTAAAAGGAAACATCTTCAGAAAAACTTGAAAGAAGCATTCTGAGAAACCACCTTGTGATGTGGGCATTCCTCACACTGAGCTGAACCTTTCTGTTCTTTCAGCAGTTTGGAAACATGTTATTTTAAGAATCAACAAAGTTATATTTCAGAGAGAATTGAAGTCTATGGTGAAAAAGGAAACATCTTCAGAAAAAAACTAGAAAGCAGCATTCTGAGAAACTGCTTTGTGGTGTGTGCCTTCATCTAAAAGAGCTAAAACTTTCTTGGGATTCAGTAGTTTAGAAAGAGTGTTATGTCCATTCTGTGAATGGACATTTGGGAGCACATTGAGACCAATGGTGAAAAAGTGAATATCCCTGGATAAAAACGGATGGATGCTATCTGAGAAACTTCTAAATGATGTGTGCATTCATCTCACAGAGTTAAACCTTTCTTTGCATTCAGCAGTTTGGAACCATTGTTTTTGTAGAATGTGCAAATGGATATTTCAGAGAGAATTAAGGCCTAAGGTGAAAAAGAAATCATCTTCAGATAAAAACAAGAAATAAACATTCTGAGAAACTGCTTTGTAATGTGTGCATTCATCTCATAGAATTAAACGTTTGTTTGGATTCAGCAGTTTGGAAACTGTTTTTATAGGATCTGCAAAGGATATTCAGAGAGCATTGTGGCCTATGGTGAGAAAGGAAACACCTTCAGATAAAAACTAGCAAGGAGCTTTCTGAGAAACTGCTATGTGATGTGTGCATTCATCTCACATAGTTAAACCTTTCTTTGGATTCAGTAGTTTGGAAAGAGTTTTTTTTTTTTTTCCATTCTGTGAATGGATATTTGGGAGGTCATTGAGGTCATTGGCGAAAAAGCAAATGTTCCAGGATGAAAACTAGAAAGAAGCTTTCCAGGAAACTGCTATGTGATGTGTGCATTCATCTCACAGAGTTAAAACTTTCTTTTCTTTCAGCAGTTTTTAAACACTCTTTTTTTAGAATTCGCAAAGGGATATTTCAGAGAAGATTGAGGCCTGTGGTGAAAAAGGTAACATCTTCAGGTACAAACTATAAAGAAACATTGTGAGAAACTGCTTTGAGATGTGTGCATTCATCTCACAGAGTTAAACCTCTCTTTTCTTTCAGTAGTTTGGAAACACGGATATGTAGAATCTGAAAAAAGATATTTCGGTGAGCCTTGAGGCCTATGGTGAAAAAGAAAACATCTACACATAAAAACTACAAAGAAATTTTCTGAGAAACTGCTTTGTGATGTGTGCATTCATCTCACAGAGTAAAACCTTTCTTTGGATTCAGTAGTTTGGAAAGAGTGTTTTCGTAGAATCTTCAAAGGGATATTTTGGAGAGCATTGAGGACTAAGGTGAAATAAAATCATCTTCTGATAAAAACTATAAAGAAACTTTCTGAGAGACTGCTTTGTGATATGTACATTTATCTCAGAGAGTTAAACCTTTGTTTTTATTCAGCAGTTTAGAAACACTGTTTTTGTCCATTACATCCATGGACATTTTGGAGCTCATTAGGGACAATGGCAAAAAATAGAATATCCCAGGATGAAAACTAGAAGCGAGCTATCTGAGAAACTGTTATTTGATGTGTACATTCGTGTCACAGAGTTAAAACCTTCTATTCATTCAGCAGTTTGGAAACACTGTTTTTGTAGAATCTGCAAAGGGATATTTTGGAGAGCATTGATGCCTATTGTGAAAAAGGAAACATCTTCAGATAAAAACCATTAAGAGGTTTCTGAGAAACTTCTCTGTGATGTGTGTATTCATCCACAGAGTTAATCCTTTCTTTAGATTTAGCAGTTTGGAAACACTGTTTATGTCCATTCTGTGAATAGACATTTGGGAGTACTTGGAGGCCAAAGGTGAAAAAACTGAATATCCCAGAATAAAAACTAGAAGGAAGCTATCTGAGAAACTCCTAAGTGATATGTACATTCATCTTGCAGAATAAAATGACTCTTCATTCAGCAGTTTGGAAACACTGTTTTTACAGAATCTGCAAAGGGATATTTTGGAGATCATTGAGGTCTATGTTGAAATAGCAAACATCTTCTGATAAAAATTAGAAAGAAGCTTACTGAGAACCTTCTTTTTGATGGGTGCATTCATTGCACAGAGTTAAACCTTTATTTGGATTCAGCACTTTGGAAACACTATTTTTTGTCCATTCTGCAAATGGACATTTGGGAGTTCTTTGAGTCCAGTGATGAAAAAGCTAATATCCTGTGATAAAAACTAGAAAGAAGCTATCTGAGAAACCGCTTTGTGATGTGTCCATTCAACTCACAGAGTTAAAACTTTCTTTTCATTCAGCAGTTTGGAAGCACTGTTTTTGTGAAATCTGCAAAGGGATATTTCAGAGAGCGTGGAGATCTATGGTGAAAAAGGAAGCATCTTCAGATAAAAACTGGAAAGAACTTTCTGAGAAACTGCCTTGTGATATGTCCATTCATCACAAAGACTTAAAGTTTTCTTTGGATTCACTAGCTTAAAAACACCGTTTTTGCCCATTCTGTGAATGGACATTTTGGAGCTCATTGAGGCCAGTGGTAAAAAAGTGAACATCTGAGGATGGAAACTAGAGGGAAGCTCTCTGAGAAACCGTTTTGTGATGTGTGCATTCATCTCACAGAATTAAACCTTTCTTTCCATTCAGCAGTTTGGAAACACTGGTTGTAGAATCTTCAAAAGGATGGTTATAAGAGCACTGAGGCCTCTGGTGAAAAAGGAAACAACTTCAGATAAAAGCTAGAAAGAAGCCTTCTGAGAAACTGCTGTGTGATGTGTGCATTCATCTCACAGAGTTAAACACTTCTATGGATTCAGCAGTGTGGAAACACTGTTTTTCTCCATTCTACAAATGGACATTTGGGATTTGCTTGAAGCCAATGGTGAAAAACCGAATATCCCAGGATAAAAACTAGAAGGAATCTAACTTAGAAAGTGCTATGTGATGTGTCTATTCATCTCACAGAGTTAAATTTTTCTTTTCATTGTGTGGTTTAGAAACACTGTTTTTTAGAGTCTGCAGTGGGATATTTAAGAGAGCAATGAGGCCTATGGTTAAATAAGAAACGTCTACAAATAAAAACAAGAAAGAAGCTTTCTGAGAAACTTCTTTGTGATTTGGGCATTCATCTCTCAGAGATAAATCTTTCTTTGGATGCTGCAGTTTGGAAACACTGTTTTTTTTAGAATCTGCAAAGGGATATTTCAGAGACCACTGAGGAGTACTGTGAAGAAGGAAACATCTTCAGATAAAAACTAGGAAGGAACTTGTGTGCATTCATCTTGCAGAACTAAACCTTTCTTCTCATTCAGCGGTTTGGAGACACTCTTTTTGTAGAATTTGCAAAAAGATATCTTAGAGAGCTTCGTGGCCTATGGTGAAAAAGGAAACATCTTCAGATAAAAACTAGGAAGAAGCTTTCTGGGAAAGTGCATAGTCATGAGTGTATTCATATCACAGACTTAAAACTTTCTTTGGATTCAGTAGTTTGGAAACTGTTTTTGTTCATTCTGTGAATGGACATTTGTGAGCTCATTGAGAACACTTGAGGACACTGGCAAAAAAGTGAATATCCCAGTGTAAAATCGAGAAGGAAGTTATCAGAGAAACTGCTTTGTGATATGTGCTTTCATCTCACAGTGTTAAACTTTTCTTTAGGTTCAGCAGTTTGGAAACACTGTTTTAGTCCATTCTGCAAAAGACATTGGGGAGCTCTTTGAGGCCAATTGCAAGAAAAAGTGAATATTCTGGAAAGCTATTTGAGAAACTGCTATGTAAAGGGTGCATTAATCTTGCAGAGTTAAACCTTTCTTTTAACTGAGAAGTTTGGCAACACCATTTTTGTGGTATCTGCAAAGGGATATTTCAGAGAGAATTGAGGCCTATGGTGAAAAAGGAAACATCTTCAGATAAAGACAAGGAGAAGATTTCTGAGAAACTGCTTTGAGATGTGTGCATTCAACTCACAGAGTTATACTTATCTTTACATTCAGCTGTTTGGAAACACTGGTTTTGTAGAATCTGCAAACACATATTTCGAGAGCATTGAGGCCTAAGGTGAAAAAGGAAACATCTTCAGATAAAACTAGAAAGAATTTTCTGAGAGACTACTTTGTGATGTGTGCATTCATCTCACAGACTTAAACCTTTCTTTGGATTCAGTAGTTTGGAAACACTGTTTTAGTCCAAGATGTGAATGGACATATGGGAGCACACTGAGGACTCTGGCAAAAAAAAGCAAATACCCAAGAGTAAAAACTAGAAGGAAGGGATCTGAGAAACCTGCTTTGTGATGTATGCATTCATCTCACAGATTTAAACATTCCTTTTCATTCAGCAATTTGGAAACACTGTTTTTTTAGAATCTGCAAAGGGATATTTTGCAGAGCATGGAGGCCTATGGTTAAAAAGGAAACATTTTTGGCTAAAAACTAGAAGGAAGCTTTCAGAGAAACTGCTTTGTGATGTGTTAATTCACCTCACAGAGTTAAAACTTTCTTTGGATTCAGTAGGTTGGAAAGAGTGTTTTTGTCCATTCTGTGAGTGTGCATTTGGCAAAGAAGAAATTACCCCAGGATAAAAACTAGAAGGAAGCTATATGAGAAACTGCTTTCTGATGTGTGCATTCATCTAACAGAGGTAAAACTTTCTTGGGATTCAGTAGTTTGGAAAGAGTGTTAAGTCCATTCTCTGAGTGGACATTTGGGAGCTCATTGAGGCCAATGGTGAAAAAGAGAATATCCCAGGAAAAAAACAGACGAAATCTATTTGAGAAACTGCTGTGTGATGTGTGCATTCATCTTGGAGATTTAAACCTTTCTTCTCATTCAGCCGTTTTTAAACACTGTTTTTGTAGAATCTGCAAAGGAATATTTCAAAGACCATTGAGGCCTAAGGTGAAAAAGGAAACATCTTCAGATAAAAAACAGAAAAAAGCTTTCTGAGAAACTGCTTTGTGATGTGTGCATTCAACCCACAGACTTAAAACTTTCTTTGAATACAAAGTTTGGAAACACTGTTTTTCTTCATTCTGAGAATGGATATTTGGGATTTCATTGAGGCCAATACAGAAAAAGTGAATATCCCAGTATAAAATCTACAAGACTATCTAAACACTGTTTTTGTAGAATCTGCAAAGGGATATTTCAGAGATCATTGAGGCCTAAGGTGAAAAAGGAAACATCTTCAGATAAAAAATAGAATGAAGCTTTCTGAGAAACTGCTTTGTGATGTGTGCATTCAACTCACAGAGTTAAAACTTTCTTTGAATACAGAGTTTGGAAACAATATTTTTCTTCATTCTGTGAATGGACATTTGGGACTTAATCGAGGCCAATATAGAAAAAGTGAATATCCCAGGATAAAATCTGCAAGATTATCTACAGGATAGAATCTATCAGAGAAACTGCTTTGTGATGTGTGCTTTCATCTCACAGAGTTAAACCTTGCTTTTCATTCAGCAGTCTGGAAACACTGATTTGTAGAATCTGCTGAGGGATATTTTGGAGAGCTTTGAGATTTCTGTTGAAACAGAAAATATTTTCAGATTAAAAACTAGAAAGAAGCTCTCTGGGAAACCCCTTTCTGATGTGTGCTTTCATCTCAGAGAGTTAAATCATTCTTTGTATTCAGGAGTTTGGAAACAGTGTTTTTGTCCATTCTGCAAATGGATATTTTGGAGCTCATTTAGGCCAATGAGGAAAAAGCAAATGTCCCAGCATAAACACTAGAAGGAAGCTACCTGAGATGCGGCTTTGTCATGTGTGCATTCATCTCACAGAGTTTAACCTTTCTTTCTTTAGGCAGTTTGGAGACTCTGTTTTTCTAGAATCTTCAAAGGGATATTTTGGAGAGCATTGAGGCCTATTGTGAAAAAGGTAAAATCTTCAGGTAAAAACTAGAAGAAAAACTTTCTGAGAAACTGCCTTGTGATGTGTGTATTCATTTCACAGGGTTAAACTTTTCTTTGAATTCTGCAGTTTGGGAACAATGTTTTTCTCCATTCTGCAAATGGACATTTAAGACTTCATTGAACCCAATGGCAAAAAAGTGACTATCCCAGGAAGAAATCTAGAAGGAAGCCATGTGAAAAACCACTTTGTGATGTGTGCATTCATCTCACAGAGTTAAACATTTCTTTTTATTCAGCTGTTTGTAACCACTGTTACGTAGAATTTGCAAAGGTTTATTTTGGACAGCATTGAGGCCTTCGGTGAAATAGGAAACATCTTCAGATAAAAACTAGAAAGAAGCTTTCTGAGAAACTACTTAGTGATGTGTGCATTAATCTGACAGTGTTAAATCTTTCTTTGAATTTAGCAGTTTTGAAACACTTTTTTTGTCCATTCTGTGAATGGACGTTTCAGAGCTCATTCAGGCCAATGGTGAAAAAGCAAATATCCCAGGATAAAAAGTAGCAGGAATCTATCTGAGAAACTGCTATTTGATGTGTGCAGTCATCTCGCAGTGTTAAATCTTTCTTTTCATTCAACAGTTTGGAAACCCTTTTATTGGATTAAGTAGTTTGGAAAGAGTGTTTGTCCATTCTGCTAAAGGACATTTTGGAGCCCATTGAGGCCAATGGCAGAAAATCGAATATCCCAGGATAAAAAGGATGGAAGCTATCTGAGAAACTGCTACACCATGTGTGCATTCATCTCACAGATTAAACTTTTCTTTTCTTTCAGTAGTTTGGAAACACTTTTTTTTAGAATCCGCAAAGTCATATTTTGGAGAGTATTGTGGCCTGTGGTTAAAAAGGATACATCTTCAGTTAAAAACTAGAAAGAAGCTTTTGGAGAAACTGCTTTTTGATGTGCACATTAATCTTATGGATTTAATCCTTTCATTGCATTCAGCAATTAGGAAACACGGTTTTTCTCAATTCTGCAAAGGGACATTTGGGAGTTCATTAAAGGCCAATAGTGAAAGAGCAAATATCCCAGGATAAAATCTAGAAGGAAGCTATTTGAGAAACTGCTTTGTCATGTATGCATTAATCTTACACAGTTAAACCTTTCTTTTCATTCAGTAGTTTGGAAACACTTTTTTCTCCCTTCTGCAAATGGACATTTGGGACTTAATAGAGGCCAATGGTGAATAAGCAAATATCCCGAGAAAAAATCTTAAGAAATTTAACTGAGAAACCGTTTTTTGATGTGTGCATTAGTCTCAAAGAGTTAAATCTTTCTTTTCATTCAGCAGTTTGGAAACACAGTTTTTGTATAATCTGCGAGGGGATATTTTGGAGAGCATTGAGACCTATGGTGAAATAGGAAACATCTTCAGATAAAAACTACAAAGAAGCTTTCTGAAAAATTGCTTTGTTATGTGTTCATTCATTTCACAGAGATAAATCTTTATTTGGATTCAGCAGTTTGGAAAGAGTGTGTTTGTCCATTTTCCTCATGGGCATTTGGGAGCTCATATAGGCCAATGATGAAAATGTAAATATCCCAGGATAAAAACTAGAAAGAAGGTGCCTGAGAAACTGCTATGTTATGTGGGCATTCATCTCACAGACTTCAAACTTTCTTTGGATTCATTAGTTTGGAAACACTGCTTTTGGCCATTCTCTGAATGGACATTTCAGATCTCACTGAGGCAGAAAGCAGAAAAGTGAATATCCCAGGCTAAAAACAAGAAGGAAGGTATCTGAGAAACTGCCTTGTGATGTGTGCATTCATCTCACAGAGTTAAACTTTTCTTTTCATTCAGCAGTGTAGAAAGAGTTTTTTTAGAAACTGCAAGGGGATATTTCAGAGAGTATTGAGCCTATGGTGAAAAAGGAGACAACTTCAGATAAAAACTAGAAAGAACCTTTCTGAGAAACTGCTTTGTGATGTGTGCATTTATCTCACAGACTTAAACCATCCTTTGGATTCAGCAGTTTGGAATCACTGTTTTTGTCCTTTCTGCGAATTGACATTTGGGAGCTCATTGAGGCCAATGGCAGAACATTGAATATCCCAAGATAAAATCTATAAGGAAGCTATCTGAGAAACCCCTTGGGATGTGGGCATTCATTTCAAAGAGGTAAAGCTTTCTTTTCACACAGCAGTTTGGAACCAGTGATTCTGTGGATTCTTCAAGGGGATATTTCAGACAGTTTTTGGCTTATGGTGAAAATGAAAACATCTTCACATAAAAACTAGAAAGAAGCTTTCTTAGAAACTACTTTGTGATGTGTGCATTCATCTCATAGAGTTAAAAGTTTCTTTGAATTCAGTAATTTGGAAACACTGCTTTTGTCCATTCCACAAGTGGACATTGGGAAACTCATTAGGGCCAAAGGCAAAAAGTGAATATCCAAGGATAAAAAGTAGAAGGAAGCTATCTGAGGAATCGCTTTGTGATGTGTGCATACATCTCACAGAGTTAAACCTTTCTTTTCATTCAGCAGTTCAGAAACACGGTTTTAGAATAATCTAAAAATAGATATTTCAGAGTGCTTTGAGGCCTATAGTGAAAAAGGAAACATCTTCAGGTAAAAACTAGAAAGAAGCTTTCTGCGAAACTGCTTTGTGATGTGTGCATTCATCTCACAGTGGTAAACGTTTCTTTTCATTGAGCAGTTTGGAAACTCTGTTTTTCTAGAATCTGCAAAGGGATATTTGTGAGAGCTTTGAGGCCTGTGGTGGAAAAAGGAAATATCTTCCCATAAAAACTAGACAGAAGCTTTCTGAGAAACCTCTTTGTGATGTGTGCATTCATCTCACAGAGTTAATTTCATTCAGCAGTTTGGAACCACTTTTTTTATACGATCTGCAAAGTGATATTTCGGAGAGCATTGAGGTCTATGTTGAAAAAGGAAAAATCTTCAGATAAAAACAAGAAGGAAGGTTTCTCAGGAACTACTTTTTGATGTGTGCATTCATCTCACAGAGTTCAAATCTTTCTTTGAATTTAACAGTTTGGAAACCCTGTTTTTGTCCATTCTATGAAAGGACATTTGGGAGGTTATTGAGGCCAATGGCAAAAAAGCAAATATCCCAGGATGAAAACTAGAAGGAGGCTATCTGAGAAACTGCTTGTAAAGTGAAAATTCATCTCACAGAGTTAAACCATTCTTTTAATTCAGCAGTTTTGAAACACAGTTTTTGTAGAATCTGCAAAGGGTTATTTCAGAGAGTATAGAGTCCTGTCGTGAAATAGGAGACATCTTCAGATAAAAACTAGAAAGAAGCTTTCTGAGAAACTGCTTTGTGGTGTGTGCATTCATCTCACAGAGCTAAACGTTTCTTTGGATTCAACAATTTGAAAACACTGTTTTTCTCCATTCTGTGAGTGGACATTTGGAAGTTGATTGATGTCAATGGTGAAAAATAGAATACCCCAGGGTAAACACTAGATGGAAGCTATCAGAGAAACTGCTTTGTGTTGTATGTATTCACTGTTAGAGTTAAAGCTTTCTTTTCAAACAGCAGTTGGGAAAATGTTTTTGTAGAATCTGCAAATTGATATTTCAGAGAGCATTGAGGACTATGGTGAAAAACAAAACATCTTCAGATAAAAACGAGAAAGAAACTTTCTGAGAAACTGCGTTGTGATGTGTGCATTCATCTCACAGAGTTAAACCTTTCTTTGGATTCAGCAGTTTTGCAACACTGTTTTTGTCCACTCAGAAAGAGGACATTTGGGGGTTCTTTGAGGCCAATGGTGAAAATGGAAATAACCCAGGATAAAAACTAGAAGGCAGCTATCTTAGAAACTGCTTTGTGATGTGTGCATTCATCTTACAGGGTTAAGCCTTCCTTTTCATTCAGCACTTTGGAAACACTGCTGTCATGGAATCTGCAAAGGGATACTTAGGAGAGCATTGAGGTTTATGGTGAAGTAGGAAACATCTTTACATAAAAACTAGAATGAAGCTTTCTGAGAAACTGATTTGTAATTTGTGCATTCATCTCACAGAGTTAAACATTTCTTTGCATTCAGCAGCTTTGAAACATGGTGTTTGTGAACTCAGCGAATGGACATTTGGGGGCGCCTTGAGACCAAATGTGAAAATGGGAATATCGAAGGATTAAAAACTACAAGGAAGATATCTGAGAAACAGCTTTGTGATATGTTCATTCATCTCACAGAGTTAAATTATTTTCATTCAGCAATTTGGAAACACGTTTTTTGTATAATCTGCAAAGGGATATTTCAGAGAGCATTGAGGTCTATGATAAAAAAGGAATCATATTCAGAGAAAAAGTAGAAAGAAGCTTTCTAAGAAACTGCTTTGTGCCGTGTGCATTCATCTCACAGAGTTAAAGCATTCTTTGGATTCAGTAGTTTGGAAATACAGTTTTTGTCTATTCTGTGAATGGACACTTTGGAGCTCTTTGGGTCCAATGGTGAAAAAGTGAAAATCCCTGAATAAAAACTAGAAGTCTATCTGAGAAACCGCTTTGTCCTGAGAGCATACATCTCACAGAGTTAAAGCATGCATTTTATTCAGCTGTTTGTAGTAGTATTTTTGTAGAATCTGCAAAGGGATATTTTGGAGAGCATTGAGGCTTATGGTGAAAAAGGAAACATCTTCAGTTAAAACCTAGAAAGAAGCTTTCTGAGAATCTGCCTTGTGATGTGTCCATTCATGTAACAGAGTTAAAACTTTCTTTGGATTCAGCAGTGGGGAAAATCTGTTTTTGTTCATTCTGTGAATGGACATATGGGAGCTCATTGAGGCCAATGGCAAAAAAGGAGATATGCCAGGATTAAAACTACAATGTAGCTCCCTGAGAAACTGCTTTGTGATGTCAGCATGCATTTCACAGAATTAAAACTTTCTTTTCATGCAGCAGTTAGGAATCACCATTTTTTGTAGAATCTGCAAAGGGTTATTTCAGAGAATATTGAGGCATATGGTGAAATAGGAAACATCTTCAGATAAAAACGAGAAAGAAGTTCTCTGAGAAACTGCTTTGTGATGTCTGCATTCATCTCACAGACTTAAAGCTTTCTTTGGATTCAGGAGTTTGGATACACAGTTTTTGTCCGTTCTGAGAATGGACATTTCAGAGCTCTTTGGTCCCAAAGGCTAAAAAGCAAATATCCCTGAATAAAAACTATAAGGAATCTATCTGAGAAACCTCTTTGTGGTGTGAGCATTCACTTAACGGAGTTAAATCATTCTTTTCATTCAGCTGTTTGAAGCAGCGTTTTCATGGAATCTGCAAAGTGATATTTCAGAGAGCGTTCAGGCCAGTGTTGAAAAAGGAAACATCTTCAGTTAAAAACTAGAAAGAAGGTTTCTGAGAAACTGCTTTGTGATGTGTTCATTCATTTCACAGACTTACCACTTTTTTTGGATTCAGTAGTTTGGAAACAGAGTTTTTGCCCATTCTGTGAATGGACATTTTGGAGCTCTTTGGAGCCAATGGTGAAAAAGCGAATACCCCTGAATAAAAACCAGAAGAAATCTATCTGAGAAACAGCTGTGTCATGTGAGCATTCATTTCAAAGAGTTAAACCATTCCTTTCATTCAGCTGTTTGGAAGCAGTGTTTTTGAAGAATTTGCAAAGGGATATTTCGGAGAGCATTGAGGCCTATGGTGAAAAAGGAAATATCTTCAGTTAAAAACTAGAAAGAAACTTTCTGAGATACTGTTTTCCGATGTGTGCATTCATCTCACAGAGTTAAACAATTCTTTTCATTCGTCAGTTTGGAAACACTCTTTTTGTAGAATCTGCAAAGTGATATTTCATATAGCAATGTGGCCTGTGATGAAACAGGAAACGTCTTCAGATAAAAACTAGAAAGAAGATTTCTGAGAATCTGGTTGGTTATGTGTGCATTTATCTCACAGAATTAAATATGTCTTTGGATTCAGTAGTTTGGAAATACAGTTTTTGTCCACTCTGCGAATGGACATTTTGGTGCTCTATGAAGCCAATGGCAAAAGAGTGAATATCCCAGGATAAAAAGTAGATGGAAGCTATCTGAGAAACTGCTATGTGATGTCCACATTCGTCTTGCAGAATTGAAACTTACTTTTCATTCTGCAGTTTGGAAACACTTTTTTGTCAAATCTGCAAAGAGATATTTTGGAGATCATTGAGGTCTATGGTGCAAAAGGAAACATCTTCAGATAAAATTAGAAAGAAGCTTTCTGGGAAACTGCTTTGTGATGTGTGGATTCAACTCACAGAGTTAAACCATCGTTTTCATTCAGAGTTTGGAAAAAGTATTTTTGTCCATTCTGCAAATGGACGTTTGGGAGGTCATAGTTGGTAAAGTTGAAAAAGCGAATATCCCAGGAAAAAACAAGAAGGTAGCTATCTGAGAAACAGCTTTGTGATGTGTGCATTCATCTCAAAGAGATAATACTTTCTTTTCATTCAGCATTTTTGAAAACTGTTTCTGTAGAGTCTGCAAAGGGATATTTTGGAGAGTATTGAAGAATATGGTAAAAGAGGAAACATTTTCAGATAAAAACTAGAAAGAAGCTTTCTGAGAAACTGCTCTGTGAGGTGTGCATTCATCTGAGAGAGTTACCTTTCTTTGGATTCAGTAGTTTGGAAAGACTGTTTTTGTCCCTTCCCTGAATGGATATTTGGGAGTTCATTGACGCCAATGGCAAAAAAGTGAATATCCCAGGGTAAAAACTTAAAGGAAGCTCTCTGAGAAACTTCTGTCTGATGTGTGAATTCATCTCACAGAGTTAAACTTTTGTTTCATTCAGCAATTTGTAAACACTGACCTTTAGAATCTGCAAGGGGATATTTTAAAGAGCATTTAGTCCAACATTGAAAAAGGAAACATCTTCCTATAAAAAGTAGAAAGAAAATTTCTGAGAAACTGCTTTGTGATGTGTGCATTCATCTCACAATGTTAACCATTTCTTTGGGTTTAGCAGTTTGGAAACACTCTTTTTTGTAGAATCTGCAAAGGGATACTTTGGAGAGTATGGTGAAATAGGAAATATCTCCAGATAAAAACTAGAAAGAATTTTTCTGAGAAACTTCTTTGTTATGTGTGGATTCATCTCAGAGTTAAACCTTTCTTTGAATTCAGAAGTTTGGAAACACTTGTTTTGTAGAATCTGCAAAGGGATATTTCAGAGAGCATTGAGGCCTATGGTGAAAAAGCATACACCTTCAGATACAAACTAGAAAGAAGCTTTCTAAGAAACTGCTTTGTGATGTGTGCATTTATCTCACAGAGTTAAACATTTCTTTGGATTCAGCAGTTGGGAAACACTATTTTTCTCCATTCTCCAAATGGACATTTGGGACCTCATTTAGGCCAATGGTGAAAAAGGGAATATCCCAGGATTCAAACTAGATGGTAGTTTGCTGTGGGACTGCTATGTGACGTGTGTATTCATCTCGCAGAGTTAATTCTTTCTGTTCATTGAGCAGTTTGAAAACACTGTTTTTGTAGAATCTGCAAAGGGATATTTCAGAGAGCATTGAGGCCTAAGGTGTAAAAGGAAACATTATCAGATAAAAACTAGGAAGAAAGTTTCTGAGAAAATGCTTTCTGATGTATGCATTCACCTCACAGACTTAAAACTTTCTTTGGATTCAGTAGTTTAGAAGCACCATTTTTGTCCATTCTGTGAATGGACATTTGGGAGCTCATTGAGGCCACTGGCAAAAAAAGGGAATATCCCAGGATAAAAACTAGATGGAGGCTCTTTGAGAAACCTCTTTGTGATGTGTGCATTCATTTCACAGAGTTAAATTTTTCCTTTCATCCAGCGGTTTGTAAACACTGTTTTTATAGAATCTGCAAAGGGATATTTTGGAGAGCATTGAGGCCTAGTGTGAAAAAAGAAATATCTTCAGATAAAAGCTAGAAAGAAGATATCTGAGAAGCTGCTTTGTGATGTTTGCATTCCTCTCATAGAGTTAAACCTTTCTTTGGATTCAGCTGTTTGGAAACACTATTTTCGTCCGCTACATTTGGGAGTTCATTTAGGCCAATGGGAAAAAAGTGAATATCCGAGGATAAAAAACCGATGGAAACTATCTGAGTTCTGCTATGTGATGGTTGAATTCATCTTGCAGAGTTAAAACATAGTTTTCATTCAGCAGTTTTGAAACACTTTCTTGTATAATCTAGAAAGGGAAATTTCCAAGAGCATTGAGGCCTATGGTGTAAAAGGGAACAACTTCAGATAAAAACTAGAAAGAAGCTTTCTGAATAACTGCTTCGTGACGTGTGCATTCCTCTCACAGAGTTAAACTTTTCCTTGGATTTTGCAGTTTCTAAAGATTATTTTTGTCCATTCAGTGAATGGAAATTTGGAAGTTCATAGAGGCCAAGGAGAAAATGTGAATATGCCAGGACCAAAACTAGACAGAAGCTATCTTAGAAACTTCTTTGTGATGTAGGCATTCATCTAGCAGAGTTAAACCTTTCATTCAGAAGTTTGGAAACACTGTTTTTGTAGAAACTGCAAAGGGATATTTCCGAGAGCATTGAGGCCTATGGTGGAAGAGGAAACATATTCAGATGAAAATTAGAAAGAAGGTTTCTTAGAAACTGCTTTTTGAGGTGTGTTTTCATCTCACAGAGTTAAACTTTCTTTAGATTCAACAGTTTGGAAACACTGCTTTTGTCCATTGTGCGAATGAACATTTGGGAGCTCATGGTGGCCAGTGATGAAAAAACGTATATCCCCAGATAAAACCTAGAAGGAGGTTATCTGGGAAAATGTTTTGTGATGTGTGCATTCATCTCACAGTGTTAAACCATTCTTTTAATTCAGCAGTTTGGAAACACTGTTTCTGTAGAATCTGCAAAGATGTATTTTGGAGGACAGTGAGACCTATGGTGAGAAAAGAAACACATTCAGATAAAAACTAGAAAGAAGATTTCTTTGAAACTTCTTTGTTATGTGTGCACTCATCTCACAGAGTTAAATATTTCTTTGTTTTCAGTAGTTTCAAAAGAGTGTTTTTGTCCATTCTGCAAATGGACTTTTGGGAGCTCATTCAGGTCAATGTGAAGAAGTGAATATCCAAGGATAAAAACTGGATGAAAGCTATCTGAGAAACTGCTATGTGATGCGTGCTTCCCTCTCACAGAGTTAAACCTTACTTTACACTAAGCAGTTTGGAAACACTGTTTTTGCCAATGTGCAAACAGATATTTCAGAGAGCATTGAGGCCTACAGTGAAAAAGAATCATCTTCAGATAAAATCTAGAAAGAAACTTTCTAAGAAACTGCTTTGTGATGTGTGCATTCATCTGAAAGAGTTAAACTTTCTTTCAGTTCAGCAGTTTGCAAACACTGTATTTGTCCATTGTGCAAATGGAAAGTTGGGAGCTCATTGAGTCCAATGGCAAAAAAGAAAATATACCAGGAAAAAAACAGGAAGGAAGCTATCTGAGAAACTGCTTTGTGATGTTTTCATTCATCTCACAGAGTTAAAACTTTCTTTGGATTCAGCCGTTTGGAAACACTGCTTTTGTCCATTCTTCAATGTACATTTATGAGCTCTAAGAAGTCAATGGTGATAAAGTGAATATCAGAGGATAAAAACTAGAAAGAACACATCTGAGAAATCACTTTGTGATGGGTACATTCATCTCAAAGAATTAAAACTTTCTTCTTGCTTTTCTAGTTCTTTTAACTGTGATGTTAGGGTGTCAATTTTGGATCTTTCCTGCTTTCTCTTGTGGGCATTTAGTGCTATAAATTTCCCTCTGCACACTGCTTTAAATGCGTTCCAGAGATTCTGTATGTTGTGTCTTTGTTCTCATTGGTTTCAAAGAACATCTTTATTTCTGCCTTCATTTAGTTATGTACCCAGTAGTCATTCAGGAGCAGGTTGTTCATTTTCCATGTAGTTGAGAGGTTTTGAGTGAGATTCTTAATCCTGAGTTCTAGTTTGATTGCACTGTGTTCTGAGAGATAGTTTGTTATAATTTCTGTTATTTTACATTTGCTGAGGAGATCTTTACTTCCAAGTATGTGATCAATTTTGGAATAGGTGTGGTGTGGTGCTGAAAAAAATGTATAATCTCTTGATTTGGGGTGGAGAGTTCTGTAGATGTCTATTAGGTCCGCTTGTTGCAGAGCTGAGTTCAATTCCTGGGTATACTTGTTGACTTTCTGTCTTGTCAATCTGTCTAATGTTGACAGTGGTGTGTTAAAGTCTCTTTCAAAAGCTAGCAGAAGGCAAGAAATAACTAAAATCAGAGCAGAACTGAAGGAAATAGAGATACAAAAAAACCCTTAAAAAACGAATCCAGGAGCTGGTTTTTTTAAAGGATCAACAAAATTGACAGACTGCTAGCAAGACTAATAAAGAAAAAAAGAGAGAAGAAGCAATAGGTGCAATAAAAATGATAAAGGGGATATCACCACCAATCCCACAGAAATACAAACTACCATCAGAGAATACTACAAACACCTCTATGCAAATAAACTAGAAAATCTAGAAGAAATGGATAAATTACTCGACACATACACTTTCCCAAGACTAAACCAGGAAGAAGTTGAGTCTCTGAATAGACCAATAGCAGGAGCTGAAATTGTGGCAATAATCAATAGCTTACCACCGAAAAAGAGTCCAGGACCAGATGGATTCACAGCAGAATTCTACCGGAGGTACAAGGAGGAACTGGTACCATTCCTTCTGAAATTATTCCAATCAATAGAAAAAGAGGGAATCCTCCCTAACTCAGTTTATGAGGCCAGCATCATCCTGACACCAAAGGCTGGCAGAGACACAACAAAAAAAGAGAATTTTAGACCAATATCCTTGATGAACATTGATGCAAAAATCCTCAATAAAATACTGGCAAACTGAATCAAGCAGCACATCATAAAGCTTATCCACCATGGTCAAGTGGGCTTCATCCCTGGGATGCAAGGCTGGTTCAATATACACAAATCAGTAAATGTAATCCAGCATATAAACAGAACCAAAGACAAAAACCACATGATTATCTCAATAGATGCAGAAAAGGCCTCTGACAAAATTCAACAACGCTTCATGCTAAAAACTCTCAATAAATTAGGTATTGATGGGACATATCTGAAAATAATAAAAGCTATCTATGACAAGCCCACAGCCAATATCATACTGAATGGGCAAAAATTGGAAGCATTCCCTTTGAAAACTGCACAAGACAGGGATGCCTTCTTTCACCACTCCTATTCAACATAATGTTGGAAGTTCTGGCCAGGGCAATTAGGCAGGAGAAGGAAAGGAAGGCTATTCAATTAGGAAAAGAGGAAG
The DNA here is from genome assembly GCF_000001405.40 of Homo sapiens. NCBI lineage: Eukaryota > Metazoa > Chordata > Mammalia > Primates > Hominidae > Homo > Homo sapiens. The sequence goes on from NC_000010.11 coordinate 39,165,937, forward strand.
TCAAATTGTCCCTGCTTGCAAATGACATGATTGTATATCTAGAAAACCCCGTTGTCTCAGCGCAAAATCTCCTTAAGCTGATAAGCAACTCCAGCAAAGTCTCAGGATACAAAATCAATGTACAAAAATCACAAGCATTCTCATACACCAACAACAGACAAACAGAGAGCCAAATCATGAGTGAACTCCCATTCACAATTGCTTCAAAGAGAAAAAAATACCTAGGAATCCAACTTACAAGGGATGTGAAGGACCTCTTCAAGGAGAACTACAAACCACTGCTCAAGGAAATAAAAGAGGATACAAACAAATGGAAGAACATTCCAAGCTCATGGGTAGGAAGAATCAATATCGTGAAAATGGCCATACTGCCCAAGGTAATTTACAGATTCAGTGCCATCCCCATCAAGCTACCAATGCCTTTCTTCACAGAATTGGAAAAAAAACTACTTTAAAGTTCACATGGAACCAAAAAAGAGCCCACATCGTCAAGTCAATCCTGAGCCAAAAGAACAAAGCTGGAGGCATCACACTACCTGACTTCAAACTATACTACAAGGCTACAGCAACCAAAACAGCATGGTACTGGTACCAAAACAGAGATACAGATCAATGGAACAGAACACAACCCTCAGAAATAACGCCGCATATCTACAACTATCTGATGTTTGACAAACCTGAGAAAAACAAGCAATGGGGAAAGGATCCCTTATTTAATAAATGGTGCTGGGAAAACTGGCTAGCCATATGTAGAAAGCTGAAACTGGATCCCTGCCTTACACCTTATACAAAAAATAATTCAAGATGGATTAAAGACTTAAACATTAGACTGAAAGCCATAAAAACCCTAGAAGAAAACCTAGGCATTACCATTCAGGACACAGGCATGAGCAAGACTTCATGTTTAAAACACCAAAAGCAATGGCAACAAAAGCCAAAATTGACAAATGGGATCTAATTAAACTAAAGAGCTTCTGCACAGCAAAAGAAACTACCATCAGAATGAACAGGCAACCCACAAAGTGGGAGAAAATTTTCACAACCTACTCATCTGCCAAAGGGCTAATATCCAGAATCTACAATGATCTCAAACAAATTTACAAGATAAAACCAAACAACCCCATCAGAAAGTGGGTGAAGGACATGAACAGACACTTCTCAAAAGAAGACATTTATGCAGCCAAAAAAGACGTGAGAAAATGCTCACCATCACTGGCCATCAGAGAAATGCAAATCAAAACCACAATGAGATACCATCTCACACCAGTTAGAATGGCGATCATTAAAAAGTCAGGAAACAACAGGTGCTGGAGAGGATGTGGAGAAAAAGGAATACTTTTACACTGTTGGTGGGACAGTAAACTAGTCCAACCATTATGGAAGTCAGTGTGGCCATTCCTCAGGGATCTAGAACTAGAATTACCATTTGACCCAGCCATCCCATTACCGGGTATATACCCAAAGGTTTATAAATCATTCTGCTATAAAGGCACATGCACATGTATGTTTACTGTGGCACTATTCACAATAGCAAAGACTTGGAACCCACCCAAATGTCCAACAATGATAGACTGGATTAAGAATATGTGGCAATATACACCATGGAATACTATGCAGCCATAAAAAATGATGAGTTCATGTCCCTTGTAGGCACATGGATGAAACTGGAAATCACCATTCTCAGTAAACTATCACAAGAACAAAAAACCAAACACTGCATATTCTCACTCATAGGTGTGAATTCAACAATGAGAACACATGGACACAGGAAGGGGAACATCACACTCTGGGGACTGTTGTGGGGTGGGGGGAGGGGGGAGGGATAGCATTGGGAGATAAACCTAATGCTCGATGACGAGTTAGTGGGTGCAGCGCACCAGCATGGCACATGTATACGTATGTAACTAACCTGCACATTGTGCACATGTACCCTAAAACTTAAAGTATAATAATATTAAAAAGAACAAAAAAAAAACTTTCTTTAGATTCAGTTTGGAAAAACTGTTTTTATCCATTCTGTGAATGTATATTTGGGAGCTTATTGAGGCCAATGGCAAAAAAGCGAATGTCCCAGGATAAAAACTAGAAGGAAGCTATCTGAGAAACCGCTTTGTGATGTGTGCTTTCATCTCACAGAGTTAAAACTTTCTTTTCATTCAGAAGTTTGGAAACACTGTTTTTGTAGAATCGGCAAAGGGATATTTTGGACATCATTGAGACATATGTTGCAATAGGAAACAGCTTCAGACGAAAACTAGAGAGAAGCTTTCTGAGAAACTGCTTTGTGATGTGCGCATTCATATCACAGACTTAAACTTTTCTTTGGATTCAGTAGTTGGAAATACTTTTTCTGTCCATTCTGTAAATGGAAATTTGGGATCTCAATGCGGCCAATGTTGAAAAAGCTGATATGCCAGGATAAATACTAGAAGGAAGCTATCTGAGAAATTGCTACATGATGTATGCATTCATCTCACAGAGTTAAAGCAAGCTTTTCACACAGCAGTTTGGAAACACTCTTTTTGTTGAATCTGCAAGGGACTTTACAGAGAGCATTGAGCCCTGTGGTGAAATTGGAACCACCTTCAGGTGAAAACAGGAAGGGAGCTTTCAGAGAAACTATTTTATGTTGTGTGCATTCACATCACAGAGTTAAACCTTTCCTTAGATTCAGTAGTTTGCAAAGAGTGCTTTCGTTGATTATTTAAGTGGGCATTTGGGAGCTCATTGAGGCCAATGGCGAAAAACTGAATATCCCAGGATAAAAACTAGGTGGAAGCTAGCTGAGAAACTGCAATAGTTGGGTGCATTCATCTCACAGAGTTAAACCTTTCTTTTCATTCAGCAGTTTGGAAACACTATTTTTGTAGTATCAGCAAAGAATATTTTGGAAAACATTGAGGCCTATGGTGAAATAGGAAACATCTTCATATAAAAACTGGAAAGAAGCTTTCTTACAAACTGCTTTGTGGTGTCTCCATTCATCTCACAGAGTTAATACTTTCTTTGGATTCAACTATTTGGAGACACTGTTTTTGCAGAATGTGCAAAGTGATATATCAGAGAGTATTGAGGCCTATGTCATAAAAGGAAACATCTTTAGAGAAACACTAGAAAGGAGCTTTCTGAGAAACTGTTTTGTGGTGTGTGCATTAATCTCAAAGGCTTTATCCTTTCTTTGGGTTCCGTAGTTTGGAAACGTTGTTTTTTTCCATTCACGGAGTCATCATTTCAGAGCACCTTGAGGCCAAAGTTGAAAAAGTGAATATCCCAGGATAAAAACCAGAAGGAAGCTATCTGAGAAACCGCATTGTGATGTGTGCATTCATCTCACAGAGTTATAGTTTTCTTTCCATCCAGCAATTTGGAAACACTTTTTTTGTCCATTCTGTGAATGGACATTTTGTAGCTCCTTGAGGCCAATGGCAAAAAAGCAAATATCCCAGGATAAAAACTAAACAGAAGCTTTCTGAGAAACTGCGATGTGATGTGTGTATTCATCTTGCAGAGTTCAACCCCTTTTTTCTTTCATCAAGTTTGAAACATTGTTTTTGTAGAATCTGTATAGGGATATTTTGGGGAGAACTGAGGCCTATTTTCAAAAAGGAAAATATCTTCAAATAAAAATTAGAAAGAAGCTTTCTGAGAAACTGCTTTGTGATGTGTGCATTCATCTCACATAGTTAAACCTTTCTTTGGATTTAGCCATTTGAAAACACTGTTTTTGTTCATTCTGGGAATGGACATTTTGGAGCTCATTGAGGCCAATGGTGAAAAAGCAAATATCAAAGGATAAAAACAGGAAGGAAGCTATCTCAGAAGCCACATTTTTATGTGTGCATTCATCTCACAGAGTTAAAACTTTCTTTTCATTCAGCAGTTTGTAAACACTGTTTTTGTAGAATCCACAAAGGGATATTTTGGATAACATTGAGGGCTATGGTGAACTAGGAAACATCTTCAGATAAAAACTAGAAGGAAGCTTTCTGAGAAACTGCTTTGTGATGTGTGGATTCATCTCACAGAGTTAAACCATTCTTTGGATTCAGAAGTTTGGAAACTGTTTTTGCCCATTCTGTGAATGTATATTTGGGAGCTCATTGAGGCCAATGGCGATAAAGTGAATATCCCAGTTTAAAAACGAGAAGGAAGCATCTGAGAAACTGCTATATGATGTGTGCATTTTCCTATCAGAGTTAAACTTATCTTTCATTCAGAAGTTTGGAAACACTGTGTTCATAGAATGTGCAAAGGGATATTTCAGAGAGCATTGGGGAATATGGTGAAAAATTCAAACATCTTCAGATAAAAACTAGAAAGAAGCTTTCTGAGAAACTGCTTCATGATTTCTGCATTCATTCATCTCACTGCGAAAAAACTTTGTTTGGATTCAGCAGTTTGGAAACACTTTTTTTGCCCATTCTGCAAAAGGATACTTGGGAGCTCATTGAGGCCAATGGTGGAAAAGCAGATATCCCAGGATAAAAATTTGAAGGAAGCTATCTGAGATACTGCTTTGGGATGTGTGCATTCATCTCAACGTGTTAAAACTGTGTTTTCCTTCAGCAGTTTGGAAACACTGTTTTTGTCCATTGTGCAAATGGATATTAAGATGCTCATTGAGGCCAAAGGGGAAAAAGCTAGTATCCCGGGATAAAAATTAGACAGAAGCTATCTGAGAAGTTGGTATGCGATGAGGGCATTCATCTAGCAGAGTTAAACCTTTCTTTTCATTCAGCAGTTTGGAGGCACTGTTTTTGTAGAATCTGCAAAGGGCTATTTGAGAGAGCATTGAGGCCTATGGTGAATAAGGAAACATCTTCAGATGAAAATTAGAAAGAAGCTTTCTGAGAAATGGCTTTATGATGTGTGCTTTCATCTCAGACAGGTAAAACTTTCTTTGGATTCAGCAGTTTGGAGGCATTATTTTTGGAGAATCTGCAAAATGATATTTCAGAGAACCTTGAGGCCTATGGTGAAAAAGGAAACATCTTCAGAAGAAAACTAGAAAGAAGCTTTCTGAGAAATGGCTTTGTGATGTTTGCATTCATCTCACAAAATTAAAACCTTCTTTGGATTCTGTAGTTTTAAAACACTGTTTTTATCCATTCTGCGAATGAACATGTGGGAGCTCATTGAGGTCAGTGGCGAAAAAGTTGAATATCTCAGGAGGTAAACGAGAAGTAAGCTATCTGAGAAACTGCTACGTGATGTGTGCATTCATATTGCAGAGTTAAAACTTTCTTTTCATTCAGCAGTTTGGAAACACTGCTTTTGTGGAATCTAAAAAGTGATATTTTGGAGAGCATTGAGACCTTTGGTGAAAAAGGATACATCTTCAGACAAAAACTAGAAAAATCTTTCTGAGAAACTGCTTTGTGATGTTAGCATTCATCCCACAGAGTTAAACCTTTCTTTGGATTCAGCAGTTTGGAAACACTGTTTTTGTCTATTCTGCAAATGGACATTAGGGAATTCATAGAGGCCAATGGCGAAAAAGGAAATATCCAAGGATAAAAATTAGATGGAAGCAATCTGAGAAACAGTTACATGATGTGTGCATTCATCTCATAGAGATAAACCTCCCTTTTCATTCGGCAGTTTGGAAACACTGTTTTTGTAGAATCTGCAGAGGATATTTTGGAGACCATTGAGGCCTATGATGAAAAAGGAAACATATTCAGATAAAAACCAAAAAGAAATATTCTGAGACACTGCTTTGTGATTTGTGCATACATGTCACTGACTTGTACCTTTCTTTGGATTCAGTAGTTGGGAAAGAGTGTTTTTGTCCATTCTGCAAATGGACATTTGGGAGTTCATTTTGGGAAATGGTGAAAAAGCGAATATCCCAGGATAAAAACTAGACAGAAGCTATCTGAGAAATTGCTATGTGAAGTGTGCATTCATCTCTCAGAATTAAACCTTCCTGTTATTCAGCAGTTTGGAAACCCTGTTTTTGTAGAATCTGCAGGGGGATTTTTCAGAGATCCTTGAGGCCTATGGTGAAAAAGGAAACATATTCAGCTAAATACTAGAAAGAAGCTTTCTGAAAAATTGCTTTTTGATTTGTTCATACATCTCATAGGGTTAAACTATTCTTTGGATTCAGCAGTTTGGAAAAACTGTTTTTGTCCATTCTTCAAATGGACATTTGGGAGCTCCTTGAGGCCAATTGTGAAAAAGCAAATAACCTAGGACAAAAAGTTGATGGAAACTATCTCAGAAATGGATTTGAGATGTGTGCATTCATCTCACAGGGTTAAACCTTTCTTTTCATTCAGCAGTTTTGAAACACTGTTTTTGTAGGATCTCGGAAGGGTATTTCAGGGAGCATTGAGGCTTATAGTGAAAAAGGATGCATATTCAGATTAAAACTAGAAAGAAGCTTTCTGAAAAATGGCTTTGTGATATGTGCATTCATCTCACAGTGGTAAAACTTTCTTTAGATTCAGTAGTTTGGAAACATTGTTTTTGTAGAATCTGCAAAGGGATATTTTGGAGATCATTGAAGCCTATGATGAAAAAGCAAACATCTTCAGAAAAATACTAGAAAGAAGCTTATGTGGAAAGTGCTTTGTGATGTGTGCGTTCATATCCAGACTTAAACATTTCTTTGGATTCAGTAGTTTGGCAACACTGTTTTTGTCCATTCTGTGAATGGATATTTGGGAGCTCATTGAGGCCAATGGCGAAAAAGGAAATATCCCAAGATAAAAACTAGAAAGAAATTATCTGAGAAATTGCTTTGTGATGTGTTCATTCATCTCACAGAGTTAAACCTTTGTTTTCATTCAACAGTTTCAAAACTCTGATTTAGTGGAATCTGTGAAGGGCTCTTTGGGATCGTGTTGAGGCCTATGGTGAAAAAGGAAACATTTTCAGATAAAAACAAGAAAGAAGCATTTTGAGAAACTGTTTTGTGATATTTGCATTCATCCCACAGTGTTAAACTTTTTTTTTTTCTTTGAGCAGTTTGGAAATACTGTTTTTGTAGGATCTGCTAAGGGGTAAATTTGAGTGCCCTAAGGCAAATGGTGAAAAAGGAATTTTCTTCCGATAAAAATTAAACAGAAGGTTTCAGAGAAACTGCTTTGTGATGTGTACATTCATTTACTGAGTTAAACATTTCTTTGGAATCAGCCATTTGGAAATACGGTTTTGTCCATTCTGCAAATGGACGTTTGGGAGCTCATTGATTCCAATGTCAAGAAATCTGCAAAGGGATATTTCACACAGCATTGAGGCCTATGGTGAAAAAGGAAACATATTCAGTTAAAAACTACAAAGAAGTTTTCAGAGAAACTGCTTTGTTATGTGTGCATTCATCTCACAGAGTTAAAACTTTCTTTGGATTCAGAAGTTTGGAAAGAGTATTCTGAAGAATCTTCAAAGGGGTATTTTAGAGAGCAGTCAGGCCTACAGTGGAAACAGAAACACCTTCATTTAAAAAGTAGAAAGAAGCTTTCTGAGAACTTGCTTTGGGATATATGCATTCATCTCCCAGACTTAAACATTTATTTGGATTCCTCAGTTTGGAAACACTATTTTTGTCCATTCTACAAATGGACCTTTTGTGGCTCTTTGAGGCCAATGGCAAAAAAATAGAATATCCTAGGATAAAAACTAGAAGGAAACTATCTGAGAAACTTCTTGGTGATGTGTGCATTCATCTCACAGAGTTAAACCTTTCTTTGGACTCAACAGTTTGCAACGAGTGTTTTTTTTCCATTCTACAAATGGACATTTTGGAGCTTATTGAGTACAATGGTGAAAAAGCGAATATCCCAGGATAAAATCTAGGCAGACATTATCTAAGAAACTATTACGTGATGTGTACATTCATCTCACAGAGTTAAAACTTTCTTTACTTTCTACAGTTTTGAAACACGTTTTTGTAGAATCTGCAAAGGGATATTTCCTAGTGCATTGAGACATATGGTGAAAAAGGAAACATCTTCAGATAAAAACTAGAAAGAAGCTTTCTGAGAAACTGCTTTGTGATGTGAGCATTCATCTCACAGAGTTAGAATTTTCTTTGGATTCAGTAGTTTGGAAAGAGTGTTTTTGTTCATTCTGCAAATGGATATTGGAGTCCTCATTGAGGCCAATGGGGAAAAAGTGAAAATCCCAGGTAAAATCTAGACGGAAACTATATGAGAAACTGCTATGGATGTGTGCATTCACCTCAGACAGTGAAGCCATTCTTTTCATTCAGCAGTTTGGAAACACAGTTTTTGTAGAATCTGCAAAGGGATATTTCAGAGAGCATTTAGGCCTATGCTGAAAAAGGAAAAATGTTCAGTAAAAATCAGAAAGAAGATTTCTGAGAAACTGTTTTGGATGTTTGCGTTCATCTCACAGAGTTAAACATTTCTTTGGATTCAGTAGTTTGGAAAAAGTGTTTTTGTCCATTCTATGAATGGACATTTGAAAGCTCATTGAGGCCAAAGGCAAAAAAGTGAGCATCCCGTGATAACCACTAGATGGAAGCTATCTGTGAAAGTGCTATGTAATGTGTTCATTCATCTTGCACAGTTAAACCTTTCTTTTCATTCCTCATTTTGGAAACACTGCTTTTGTAGAATCTGCAAAGGGATATTTCAGAGATCAATGAGGCCTATGGTGAAAATGGAAACATCTTCAGGTAAATACTAGAAAGAAGCATTCTGAGAAACTGCTTTGTGATGTGTGCATTCATCTTACAGAGTTGAACCTTTCTTTGGATTCAGCAGTTTGGAAACACTGTTTTTGTCCATTCTGTGAATGGACATTTTGAGCACATTGAAGCCAACGGGGAAAAAGTGAATATTCCAGGATACAAAGCAGATGGAATCTATCTGATAAACTACTACATGATGTGGGCATTCATCTCACTGAGTTAAACCATTGATTTAATTTAACAGTTTGGAAACACGGTTTTTGTAGAATCTGTAAGGGGACATTTCAAAGCGCCTTGAGGCCTATAGTGAAAAAGGAAACATCTTCAGATAAAAAATAGAAATAAGTTTTCTGAGAAGCTGCTTTGTGTTGAGAGCATTCATCTTACAGAATTCAACCTTCCTTTGGATTCAGCAGTTTCAAAACTCTGTTTTTGTAGAATCTGAAAGGGTATATTTTGGAGAGCACTGATGCCTATGGTGAAAAAGGAAGTATCTTCAGAAAAAAAACTAGGAAGATTTCTGAGAAAATGCTTTGTGATGTGTGCATACATCTCACAGACTTAAAAAACTTTCTTTGGATTCAGTAGTTCAGAAAGAGTGTTTTTGTCCATTCTGCCAATGGACATTTGGAAGCTCATTGAGGTCAATGGCAAAAAAGAGAATATCCCAGGTTAAAATCTAGAAGGAAGATACCTGAGAAACTGCTATGTGATGTGTGAATTCATCTCACAGAGTTAAACCATCCTTTTCATTCACCAGTGTGGGAACACTGCTTTTGTAGAATATGCAAAGGGAAACTTCAGAGAGCATGGAGGCATATGGTGAAAAAAAGGAAACGTGTTCAGTAAAAATTAGTAAGAGGATTTAGGAGAAGCTGCTGTGGAAGTTTGCATTCGTCTTACAGAATTAAACAGTTATTTGAATTCACTAGTTAAGAAACAGTGTTTTTTTCCATTCTGTGAATGCTCATTTTGGGGCTCATTGAGGCCAATGGCAAAAAAGTGAATATCCCAGGATAAAAATTAGACTGAAGGTATCTGAGAAAGTACTTTGTGATGTGTGAATTCATCACACAGATTTAAACCTGTCTTCAGGTTCAATAGTTTGGAAACACATTTTTGTCCATTCTGCAAATGGACATTTTGGAGCTCATTAGGCCAATGGTGAAAAAGTTAATATCCCAGGATAAAAACTATAAGGAAGCTATCTGAGAAACCAATTTGTGATGTGTGCATTCATCTCACAGAGTTAAACCTTTATTTTCATTCAGCAATTTGGCAAGTCTGTTTTTTTAGAAACTGCATAGGGATATTTCGCAGATCATTGAAGCCTAAGGTAAAAAAGGAAACACCTTCAGATGAAAACAAGAAAGAAGCTTTCTGAGAAACTGCTTTGTGATGTGCACATTCATCCCACAGAGATGACTTTGGATTCAGGAATTTGGATAGAGTGTTTTGTCCATTCTGCGAATGGACATTTTGGACCTCATTGTGGCCAATAATGGAATACTGAATATCCCAGGATAAAAACTAGACAGAAGCTATCTGAGAAACTACTATGCGATGTGTGCATTTATCCCACAGAGTTAAACTTTTTTTCATTCAGACATTTAGAAACACTGTTTTTGTAGAATCTGCAAAGTGATATTTGGAGAGCATTGAGGCCTACGGTGTAAAAGGTTACATCTTGAGAAAAAAACTAGAAAGAAATTTTCTTAGAAACTTATTTGTGATGTGTGCATTTGTCTCACAGACTTAAAACTTTCTTTGCATTCAGTAGTTTGGAAAGACTGTTTTTTCCATTCCGTGAATGGACATGTGGGAGCTTTTTGAGACCAATGTGGAAAATCAAATATCCCATGATAAAAACCAGATGGAAGCTATCTGAGAAACCGCTATGTGATGTATGCATTCCTCTCACAGAGTTAAACCTTTCCTTTCATTGAGCAGTTTTTAAACACAGTTTTGGTAGAATCTGTAAAGGGATATTTTGGAGAGAATTGAGGCTCATGGTGAAAAAGGAAACATCTTCAGGTAAACACTTGAAAGAAGCTTTCAGAGAAACTGCTTTGTGATGTGTGCATTCATCTCACAGAGTTTAACCTTTCTTTGCATTCAGCAGTTTGGAAATGCTGTTTTTGTAGAATCTGAAGAGGGATATTTCCAAAATCACTGAGGCCTATGGTGAAAAAGGAAACATCTTCAGACAAAAACCAGAAAGCAGCTATCAGAGAAAATGCTTAGTGATGTGCGCATTCATCTCACAGAGGTAAAACTTTCTTTGGATTCAGCAGTTTGGAAACACTGCTTTGTAGAATCTGAAAAGGGATATTTCAAAGAGCATTAAGGCCCATGGTGGAAAAGGAAACTTCTTCAGATAAAAACTAGAAAGAAGCTTTTGGAGAAACCGCTTTCTGAAGTGTGCATTCATCTCACAGACTTAAATATTCCTTTCCATTCAGCAGTGTGTAAACACTTTTTTTTAACAATATTATTGCAATTTTAAAATACTGCAAAGCAATATTTCAGAGAGCATTGAGGCCTATGGTAAAAAAGGAAACATCTTCAGATAAAAACTAGAAAGAAGCTTTCTGAGAAACTGCTTTGTGATGCATGCATTCATCTCACAGAGTCAAACCTTTCTTTGGATTCCAGAGTTTCGAAATGGGGTTTTTGTCCATACTGAGAATGGACATTTGCGAGCTCATTAAGGCCAATGGTGAAAAAGTGAACATCCCAGGATAAAAACTAGAAGGAAGCTAACTGAGAAACAGCTTTTGATGTGTGCATTCATCTCAATTTATACATTTCTTTTCATTCAGCAGTTTGGAACCACTGTTTTTATGTAATCTGTAAAGGGATATTTTGGAGAACATTGTGAACTATGGTATAAAAAAGAAATATTATCAGATAAAAACTAAAAAGCAGCTTTCTCAGAAACTACTTTGTGATGTGTGCATTCATCTCACAGACACAAACCATTCTTTGGATTTAGCAATTTGGAAACTGTTTTTATGCAGAGTTTGCAAAGGGATATTTCAGAGACCCTTGAGACCTATGGTAAAAAGGAAACATCCTAAGATAAAAACTAGAAGTAAGCTTTCTGAGAAACTGCGTTGTGATGTGTGCATTTATCTCACAGAGCAAATTTTTCTTTGGATTCTGAGAATGGACATTTTTTAGCTCATTGAGGTCAATGGCAAAAAAGCAAATATCACAGCAGAATAACTAGAAAGAAGCTATGTGAGAAACTGCTGTGTGATGTGGGCATTCATCTTGAAGAGTTAAACCTTTCTCTTCATTCAGCAATTTAAAAACTCTATTTTTGTAGAATCTGCAAAAGGATATTTTGGAGAGCATTGAGGCCTTCAGTGAAATAGGAAACATCTTAAAATGAAAACCAGAAAAAAACTTTCTGAGAACCTGCTTTGTTATGTGTGCATTCTTCTCAGAGATTTAAAAACATCCTTTGCATTAAGTAGTTTGGAAAGAGTGTTTTTGTCCATTCTGTGAATGGACACTTGGGAGTTCATGGGGCCAATGATGAAAAAGCAAATATCCCAGGATAAAAACCAGAAGGAGGCTATCTGAGAAGCCAGTTTTTGATGTGTGTATTCATCTCACAGAGTTAAACCTTTCTTTTCATTCCGAACTTTGGAAACACTGTTTTTGTAGAATATGCAAAGGGATATTTAGGAGAGCATTGAGCCCTATGGTGAAATAGGAATCACGTTCAGATATAAACTGGAAAGAAGCTGTGAGAAACTGCTTTGTGGTGTTGGCATTCATCTCACAGAGTTAAACCTTTCTTTATATTCAGTAGTTGGGAAAGAGTGTTTTTGTCCATTCTACGAATGGACATGTGGGAGCTCATTGGGAACAGTGGTGAAAAAGAGAATATCCCAGGATAAAAGCAGAGTGAAGATCTCTGAGAAACTGTTATATGATGTTTGCATTCATCTCACAGAGTTAAACCATTCTTTTCATTCAGCAGCTTGAAAACACTGTTTTTGTAGAATCAGTAAATTGATGTATGGGAGAGCATTCAGGCCTAAGGTGAAGAAGGAAACATCTTCAGATAAAAACTAGAAAGAAATTTTCTGAAAACTGCTTTGTAATGTGCGCATTCACCTCACAGAGTTAAAGCTTTCTTTGGATTCAGCAGTTTGGAAACAGTTTTTGTCCATTCTGCAAATGGATATTTGGGAGCTCATTGAAGCCAATGGCAAAAAAGTGAATTACCCTACGATAAAAACTAGAAGTAAGGTATCTGATAAACTGCTTTGTGATTTTGTGCGTTCATCTCACAGAGATAAGCCTTTCTTTTCATTCAACAGTTTGGAATTACTGTTTCTGTAGAATCTGCGAAGGGATATTTGGGAGTGCATTGAGACCTATGGTGAAAAAGGAAACATCTTTAGAATAAAAGTAGAAAGAATCTTTCTGAGAAACTGCTTTGTGATGTGTGCATTTATCTCACAGTTAAACTGTTCTGTGGGTTCAGCAGTTTTGCAGCACTGTTTTTATAGAATCTGCAATGGGATATTTCAGAGAGCATTGAGGCCAATGGTGAAAAAGAAAACATCTTCAGATAAAAACTAGAAAGAAGCTTTCTGAGAAATTTTTGTGATGTCTGCCTTCAGCTTACACAAGTAAACCTTTCTTTGGATTCAGCAGTTTTGAAATACTGTGTTTGTCGATTCTGCCAGTGGACATTTCAGAGCTCATTGAGGCCAATGACCAGAAAGCAAATATCCCAGGATAAAAACTAGAAGGAAGTTATCTGAGAAACAGTTATGTGATGGGTGCATACATCTTGTAGAGTTAAACCTTTCTTTTCATTCAGCAGTTTGGAAGCACTGTTTTTGTACAATATGCAAAGGGATACTTTGGAGAGCATTGAGGTCTATGGTAAAAAATTAAACATCTTCAGAAAAAAACTATCAAGAAACTTTCTGAGAAACTGCTTTGTGATGTGTGATTTCATCTCACAGACTCAAAACTTTCTTTGAATTTAGTAGTTTGGAAACACTGTTTTTCTTCATTCTGTGGAAGGACTTTTGGGACCTCATTGAGGCCAATGGTGAAAAATTGAATAGACCAGGTGAAAAACTGGAAGGAAGCTATCTGAGAAACAGTTGTGTGATGTGTGCATTCATCTCACAGAGTTAAACCTTTCTTTTCATTCAGCAGTTTGCAAACACTGTTTTTATAGAATCTGGAAAGGGATATTTCGGAGATCATTGAGGCCTACGTTGAAATAGGAAACATCTTCAGATAAAATTTAGAAATAAGTCTTTTGAAAAACTGCTTTGTGACGTGTGTGTTCATCTCACAGGGTTAAAACTTTGTTTGAATTCAGCAGTTTGGAGACACTCTTTTACTCCATTCTGCAAAAGTACACTTTTCTCATTTAGCCAATGGTGAAAAAGTGAATTACCCTAGGATAAAAACTAAAAGTTAGCTATCTGAGAAATGTCTTTGCGATTTGTGCATTCATCTAGCAGAATTAATCCATTCTTTTCCTTCAGCCATTTGGAGACAGTGTTTTTGCAGGATCTGCGAAGGGGTATCTGGGAGTGCATTGAGACCTATGGAGAAAAAGGAAACGTCTTCATATAAAAACTAAAAAGAAGCCTTCTGAGAAACGGATTTGTGATGAGTTCATTCATCTTACAGAACTAAACCTTACTTATCATTCAGCAGTTTTGAAACACTGTTTTTTTGTAAAAACTGCAAAGGGATATTTTGGAGACTATTGTGGCCTATACTGAAAAAGGCTTAAGTTAAAAAAGGAATCATCTTCAGATAAAAACTAGAAAGAAACTTTCAGAGAAACTGCTTTGTGATGTGTGCATTCATCTCACAGAGATAAACTATTCATTGGATTCAGCAATTTTGAAACAAAGGTTTTGTCTATTCTGGGAATGGGCATTTGGGAGCTAATTTATGCCAATGGTGAGAAAGCAAATATCCTAGGACAAAACTAGAAGGAAGCCATCTGAGAAACAGCTATGTGATGTGTGCATTCATCTCACAGAGGTAAAACTTTCTTTTCATTCAGCTCTTTGGAAATTCTGTTTTTGTAGAATCTGTGAAGGGACATTTCAGAGAGCATTGAGACCTATGGTGAAAAAGGAAACATCTTCAGATAAAAACTAGAAAGAAACTTGCTAAGAAACTACTTTTTGATGTGTGCATTCATCTCACACAAATAAACCTTCCTTTGGATTCAGTGGTTTGGCAAAATTTTTTGTCGATTTTGTGAATGGACATTTGGGAGCTCTTTAAGGCCAATGGCTAAAATTTGAATATCCAGGGATAAAGCTAGAAGGAAGCGATCTGAGAAACAGCTTTGCAATGTAGGCATTCATTTCACAGAGTTAAACCTTTCCTTTCACTGAGCAGTTTGGAAACACTGTTTTTGTAGAATCTGAAAAGGGATGTTTCAGAGAGAATTGAGGCCTAGGGTGAAAAAGGAATCCTATTCAGAAAGAAACTAGAAAGAAATTTTATGAGAAACTGCTTTGTGATGTGTGCATCCACCTCGCAGATTTAAACCTTGCTTTGGATTCAGCAATTTGGAAACACTTTTTTTAATTATTATACTTTAAGTTTTAGGGTACATGTGCACAACATGCAGGTTTTTTACATATGTATACATGTGCCATGCTGTTGTACGGCACCCATTAACTCGTCATTTAACATTAGGTATATCTTCTAAAGCTATCTCCTCTCACCAAACCCTGCAACAGGCCCTGGTGTGTGATGTTCCCCTTACTGTGTCCATGTGTTCCCATTGTTCAATTCCTACCTATGAGTGAGAACATGCAGTGTTTGGTTTTTTGTTCTTGTGATAGTTTGCTGAGAATGAAGGTTTCCAGCTTCACCCATGTCCCTACAAAGAAATGAACTCATCATTTTTATGGCTGCATAGTATTCCATGGTGCATATGTGCCACATTTTCTTAATCCAGTCTGTCATTGTTGGACATTTGGGTTAGTTCCAAGTCTTTGCTCTTGTGAATAGTGCCACAGTAAACATATGTGTGCCTGTTACTTTATAGTAGCATGATTTATATAGTTCGTTTTACATTCTGGATATAGTCCTTTTTCAGATGAGGAGATTGCAATAATTTTCTCCCATTCTGTAGGTTGCCTGTTCACGCTGATGGTAGATTCTTTTGCTGTGCAGAAGCTCTTTAGTTTAATTAGATCCCATTTGTCAATTTTAGCTTTTGTTGTCATTGCTTTTGGTGTTTTAGACATGAAGTCCTTGCCCATGCCTATGTACTGAAGGGCATTGCCTGGCTTTTCTTCTAGGGTTTTTATGGCTTTAGCTCCAACATTTAAGTCTTTAATTCATCTTGCATTAATTTTTGTGTGAGGTATAAGGAAGGGATCCAGTTTCAGCTTCCTACATATGGCTAGCCAGTTTTGCCAGCACCATTTATTAAATAGGGAATTTTTTCCCCATTTCTTCTTTTGGTCAGATGTGTTAAAGATCAGATAGTTGTAGATACGTGATATTATTTCTGAGGGCTCTTTTCTGTTCCATTGATCTATATCTATCTCTGTTTTAGTCCCAGTACCATGCTGTTTTGGTTACTGTAGCCTTGTAGTATAGTTTGAAGTCAGGTAACATGATGCCTCCAGATTTTTTCTTTTGGCTTAGGATTGACTTAACAATGCAGAATCTTTTTTGGTTCCATATGAACTTTAAAGTAGTTTTTTCCAATTCTGTGAAGAAAGTCATTGGTAGCTTGATGGAGAAGGCATTGAATCTATAAATTACCTTGGGCAGTATGTCCATTTTCAAGACATTGATTCTTCTCATCCATGATCATGGAATGTTCTTCCATTGAATGACTACTGGGTACATAATGAAATGAAGACAGAAATAAAGATGTTCTTTGAAGCCAACGAGATCAAAGACACAACATACCAGAACCTCTGGGACACATTCAAAGCAGTGTGTAGAGGGAAACTTATAGCACTGAATGCCCAGAAGAGAAAGTAGCAAATATCTAAAATTGACACCCTAACATTGCAATAAAAAGAACTAGAGAAGCAAGAGCAAACACATTCAAAAGCTAGCAGAAAGCAAGAAATAACTAAGATCAGAGCAGAACTGAAGGAAATAGAGACACAAAAAACCCTTCAAAAAATCAATGAATCCAGGAGCTTGTTTTTTGAGAAGATCAACAATATTGATAGACTGCTAGCAAGACTTATAAAGAAAAAAAGAGAGAAGAATCAAATAGACACAATAAAAAATGATAAAGGGGTATCACCACTGATCCCACAGAAATACAAACTACCATCAGAGAATACTATAAACATCTCTAAACAGATAAACTGGAAAATCTAGAAGACATGGATAAATTCCTCGACACATACACCAACCCAAGACTAAACCAGGAAGAAGTTGAATCTCTTAACAGACTAATAACATGCTCTGAAATTGAGACAATAATTAACAGCTTACCACAAAAAAAGTCCAGGAGCAGCTGGATTCACTGCCGAATTCTACCAGAGGTACAAGGAGAGCCGGTACCATTCCTTCTGAAAGTATTCCAATCAATAGAAAAAGAGGGAATCCGGCCGGGCGCGGTGGCTCATGCCTGTAATCCCAGCACTTTGGGAGGCCGAGACGGGCGGATCACGAGGTCAGGAGATCGAGACCATCCTGGCTAACACGGTGAAACCCCGTCTCTACTAAAAATACAAAAATTAGCCGGGCATGGTGGCGCGTGCCTGTAGTCCCAGCTACACGGGAGGCTGAGGCAGGAGAATGGCGTGAACCCGGGAGGCGGAGCTTGCAGTGAGTCGAGATCGCGCCACTGCACTCCAGCCTGGGCGACAGAGCGAAACTCCGTCTCAAAAAAAAAAAAAAAAAAAAAAAAAAAAAAAAAAAAGAAAAAGAGGGAATCCTCCCTAACTGATTTTATGAGGTCAGCGTCACCCTGATACCAAAGTCTGGCAGAGACACAATAAAAAAAAGAGAATTTTAGACCAATATCCTTGATGAATATTGATGCAAAAATCCTCAATAAAATACTGGCAAACCAAATTGAGCAGCACAGCAACAAGTTTATCCACCATGATCAAGTGGGCTTCATCCCTGGGATGCAAGGCTGGTTCAACATATGCAAATCAATAAAGGTAATCCAGCATATAAACAGAACCGATGACAAAAACCAAATGATTATCTCAATTGATGCAGAAAAGGCCTTTGACAAAATTCAACAGCACTTCATGCTAAAAACTCTCAATAAATTAGGTGTTGATGGGACGTATCTCAAAATAATAAGAGCTATTTATGACAAGTCCACCGCCAATATCACACTGAATGGGCAAAAACTGGAAGCATTCCCTTTGAAAACTGGCAAAAGACAGGGATGCCCTCTCTCACCACTTCCACATAGTGTTGGAATTTCTGGCCAGGGCAATCAGGCAGGAGAAGGGAATAAATGGTATTCAGTTAGGAAAAGAGGAAGTCCAATTGTCCCCGTTTGCAGATGACATAATTGTATATCTAGAAAAGCCCATCATCTCAGCCCAAAATCTCCTCAAGCTCATAAGCAACTTCAGCTAAGTCTCAGGATACAAAATTAATGTGCAAAAATCATAAGCATTTGGATACACCAATAACAGACAAACAGAGAGCCAAATCATGAGTGAACTCCCATTCACAATTGCTTCAAAGAGAATAAAATACCTAGGAATCCAACTTACAAAGACATGAAGGACCTCTTCAAGGACAACTAAAACCAGTGCTCAATGAAATAAAAGCGGTTTCTCAGACAGCTTCCTTCTAGTTTTTATCCTCGGATATTCTCATTTTTGCCATTGGCCTCAATGAGCTCCCAGATATCCATTCTCAGAATGGACAGAAATAGTGTTTTCAAACTGTTGAAGCCAAAGAAAGGTTGAACTCTGTGACATGAATGGACACATCACAAAGCAGTTTCTCAGAAAGTTTGTTTCCTGTTTTTAAGTAAAGTTGTTTCCTTTTTCATCATAGGCCTCAATTTGCTAGGAAATATCCCTTTGTAGATTCATCAAAAACTGTTTTTCCAAACTGCTGAATGAAAAGAAGGTTTTAACTCCACGAGATGAAAGCACACATCACAAAGCGGTTTCTCAGACAGCTTCCTTCTAGTTTTCATCCTGGGACACTGTTTTTTCACCATTGGCCTCTAAGAGCTCTAAAATGTCCTTCATAGAAAAGGCAAAACAGTGCTTTCAAACTTCTGAATCCAAAGAAAGGATTACCAATGTCAGATGAAAGCACTCATCTCAAACCAGTTTCTTAGAAAGCTTATTTCTAATTTTCATTTGAAGATATTTCTTTTTTCACCACAAGCCTCAGTGCACTTCCAAATAGCCCTTCACAGATTCTACAAAAAACACGTTTCAAAAACTGCTGAATGAAAAGAATGGTTTAACTTTGTGAGATGAATGCACACATCACAAAGCATTTTCTCAGAGCTATTTCTCCTAGTTTTTATCCTCGCATATTCACTTTTTCACCATTGTCCTCAATGAGATCCCAAATGTCCACTCGCAGAATGGACAAAAAAAGTGTTTCCAAACTGCTGAATCCAAAGAAAACTTTAACTCTGTGAGATGAATGCACACATCAAAAAGCACTTCCCCAGAAACCTTCCTTCTAGTGTCAATCTGAAGATGTTTCTTTTTTCACCATAGGCCTCAAAGCTCTCAGAAATGTCCCTTTGCAGGTTCTACAAAAACACAGTTTCCAAACTACTCTATGAAAATAAAGCGTTAACTCTGCAAGTTGAATGCATGCATCACAAAGCAGTTTCTAAGATAGCTTCCTTCTAGTTTTATCCTGGGATAGTCCATTTTTCGCCATTAGCCTGAAGGAGCTCCCAAATATCCATTTGCAGAGAGGACAAAACCGTGTTTCCAAACTGCTGAATGAAAAGAAAGATTTCACTCTGTGAGATGAATGCACACATCACAAAGCAGTTCATTATAAAGCTTCTTTCTACTTTTTATCTGAAGATGTTTCCTTTTTCACCATGGGCCTCAAAATGCTCCCAAAAATCCCCTCACAGATTCTTCCAAAACAGTGTTTCCCAACTGCTGAAATAAAAGAAAGGTTTTACTCTCTGTGATGAAAGCACACATCCCAAAGCGGTTTCTCAGATAGCTTCCTTCTAGTTTTTATCCTTGGATATATGCTTTTTCACAATTTTCCTCATTGAGCTCCCATATGTCCATTCGCAGAATAGACAAAAACAGTGATTCAGGACTGCTGAATCAAAAGCTAGTTATAAGTCTCTGTGATGAATGCACATATCACAAAGCAGTTTCTCATAAATCTTCTTCCTAGTTTTTATCTGAAGATGTTTCCTTTTACACCATAGGCCTGAATGCACTCCAAAATATCCCTTCACAGATAATACAAAAACATTGTTTCAAAACTGCTGAGTGAAAAAAAAGATTTCACTTTGCGAGATGAATGCACACATCAAAAATCAATTTCTCAGATAGCTTCCTTCTAGTATTTATGACGTGATATTCCCATTTTTGCCATTAGCCTCAATGAGCACCCAAATGTCCATTTGCATATTGGACATCAACAGTGTTTCCAAGCTGCTGAATCCAAATAAAGTTTTCATTCTGTGGGATGAATGCACACATCATAAAGCAGTTTCACAGAAAACTTCTTTTAGTTTTTATTGGAAGATGTTTCTTTTTCACCATAGGCCTCCATGCGCTCCCAAATATCTGTTCACACATTCTTCAAAAACAGTGTTTCCAAACTGCTGAATGAAAAGAAACGTGAGTTGAACACACATCACAAGGGGTTTCTCAGATAGCTTCCTTCTAGTTTTTATCCTGGGATATTCACTTTTTTGTGATTGGCCTCAATGAGCTTAAAAATGACTACTTGCAGAATGGACAAAAACAGTGTTTCCAAGCTGCTGAATGAAAATAAAGGTTGAAGTCTACGAGATGAATGCACAGATCACAAAGCAGTTTCTCAGATAGCTTCCTTCTAGTTTTTATCCTGGGATATATGCTGTTTCACCATTTTCCTCATTGAGTTCCAAAATGTCCATGCGCAGAATAGACAAAAGCAGTGTTTCCAAACTGCTGAATCAAAAGAAAGTTAAAACTCTGTGAGATGAATGCACACATCACAAAGCAGTTTCTCAGAGAGCATCCTTCTAGTTTTTATCCTGGAATATGCACTTTTTCACCATTGGCCTCAATGAGCTCCCAAATGTCCATTTGTTGAATGGACAAAACCAGTGTTTCCGAACTGTTGTATTGAAGGAAATCTTTAACTCTTTGAGATGAATGCAAACATAGCAAAGCAGTTACTCAGAAAGTTTCTTTCTAGTTTTTATCTGAATTTGTTTCCTTTTTTACCATAGACGTCAATGTGCTCTCAAATATCCATTCGCAGATATTACAAAGTCAGTGTTTCCAAAATGCTGCATGAAAACAAAATTTTAACTCTGTAATGCGAATGCACACATCACAAAGCTCTTTCTCTGATAGCATTCTTCTGGTTGTTCTCTAGGATATTTGCTTTTTCACTGTTGGCCTCAGTGAGCTCCTAAGGGTCCTTTTGCAGAATAGACAAAAACAGTGTTTCCAAACTGCTGAATCCAAAGAAACATTTAACTGTGAGATAAATGCACACATCACAAAGCAGTTTCTCAGAAAACTTCTTTCAGTTTTTATCTGAAGTTGTTTCTTTTTCACCATAGGCCTCAATGTGCTCTCAAATATCACTTTCCAGATTCTACAAAAACAGTGTTTCCCAACTGCTGAATGAAAATAAATTTTAACTTTACGAGGTGAATGCAAACATCACTAAGCCGTTTCTCAGAGAGCTTCTTTCTAGTTTTTATCCTGGGATATTTGCTTTTTTGCCATTGGCCTCAATGAGCTCCCAAGGTTCCATTCGCAGAATGGACAAAAACAGTGTTTCCAAACTGCCGAATCCAAAAAAACATTTAAGTGTCAGATGAATGCACACCTCACAATGCAATTTCTCAGACAGATTCTTTCTAGTTTTTATCTGAAGATGTTTTCTTTTTCACCATAGGCCTCAATGAACTCCCAAGTATCCCTTTGCAGATTCTAAAAAATCAGGGTTTCCAAACTGTTGAATGAAAAGGAAGTTTAACCCTGCAAGATAAATGCACATACCACAAAACAGTTTCTCAGATAACTTCCTTCTAGTTGTTATCCTGGGATATTTGCATTTTCACCTTGGCCTCAATGAGCTCCCAAATGTCCATTAATAGACAACAACAATGTTTCCAAACTGCTGAATGCAAAGATATGTTTAACTGTGAGATGAATGCAAACATCACAAAACAGTTTCTCAGAAAGTTATTTTGTAGTTTTCATCCAAAGATGTTTCCTTTCTCACCATAGGCCTCAGTGAGCCCTAAAATATCCCGTTGCAGATTCTACAAAAACGGTGTTTCCAAACTGCTGAATGAAAAGACAGCTTTAACTCCATGAGACAAATGCACACATCACAAAGCAGTTTCTCAGATAGCTTCCTTCTTGTGTTCATTCTGGGATATTCAGTTTATTGCCATTGGCCTCAATGAACGCCAAAATGTCCATTCACAGAATGGACAAAAACAGTGTTTCCAAAACTGCTGAATGCAAAGAAAGTTTTACCTCTTTGAGATGAAAGCACACATCACAAAGCAGGTTCTTAGAAAGCTTCTTTCTAGTTTTTAACTGGAAGATATATCCTTTTTCACCACTGGCATCAATGCACTGCTAAATATCCCTTAGCAGATACTACAAAAACAGTGTTTCCAAGCTGCTTAATTAAAAGAAAGGTTTAACTATGTGAGATGAATGCACACATCACAAAGCGGTTTCTCAGATATCTTCCTTCTATTTTTATCCTGGGATATTCACTCTTTCACCAGTGGCCTCAAAGAGCTCCCAAATGTCCATTTGCAGAATGGACAAAAACAGTGTTTCCTAACTGCTGAGTCCAAACAATGCTTTAACTCTGATAGATGAATGCATACATCACAAAGCAGTTTTTCAGAAAGCTTCTTTCTTGTTTTTATCTGAAGATGTTTCCTTTTTAACCATACGCTTCAATAGGCTCCCAAATATCCCTTCACAGATTCTACAAAAACAGTGTGTCCAAACTGCTGAATGAAAAGAAATGTGGAACTCTGAGAGACGAATGCACACATCAGAAAGCAGTTTCTTGGAAAGCTTCTTTCTTGTTTTTATATGAAGATGTTTTCTTCTTAACCATAGGCTTCAATTGGCTCCCAAATATCCCTTTGCAGATTCTACAAAAAACAGCATTCCCAAACTGCTGAATAAAAATAAAGGTTTTACTCTGTGAGATGAATAAACACATTCCAAAGCGGTTTTCACGTGGCATCCTTCTAGTTTTTATCCTGGGATATTTGCTTATTCACCCATGGCCTCAATGAACTCACAAATGTCCATTTGCAGAAAGGACAAAAAGTGTTTGCAAACTGGTGAATCCAAAGAAAGGTTTAAAACTGTGAGATGAATGTGTACATCACAAAGCAGTTTCTCAGAAAGCCTCTTTCTAGTTTTTACTGAAGATTTTTCCATTTTTACCATAGACATCAATTTACTCACAAATATCCCTTCAGAGATTCTACAAAATCAGTTTTTTCAAATTGCTGATTGAAAAGAAAGGTTTAACTCTGCGACGTGATGGACCCATAAAAAAAGCAGTTTCTCTAATAACTTCGTTCCAGTTTTTACCCTAGGATATTCACTTTTTTGCCTTTTGCCTTAATGAGCTCCCAAGTGTCCATTCATGGAATGGACAAAAAGTGTTTCCAAGCTGCTGAATCCAAAGAAAGCTTTAACACTCTGAGATGACTGCACACATCAGAAAGGGGTTTCTTAGAAAGCTTCTTTCTGGTTTTTAGCTGAAGATGTTTCCTTTTTCACCATAGGCCTCAAAGTGTTCCCAAATATTCCTTCCAGATTCCTCAAAAAGCCTTTTACAAACTGCTGAGTGAAAAGAGAGGTTTAACTCTGTGAGATGAATGCCCATATCAAAAAGCAGTTTCTCAGATAACTTCCTTCTAATTGTTATCCTGGGATATTTGCATTTTTCCATCAGCCTCAAGAAGCTCCCAAATGTCCATTAATGAACAAAAACAATCTTTACAAACTGCTGAATCCAAAGAAAGGTTTAACTGTTAGGAGAATACAGACATCACAAAGCAGTTTCTCAGAAAGCTTCTTTCTAGTTTTTACCTGAAGATGTTTCCTTTTTCACCATTGGCCTCAATGTGCTCCCAAATAACCCTTCGTGATTCTACAAAAATGGTATTTTCAAACTGCTGAATGAAAAGACTGCTTTAACTCCGTGAGATGAATGCACACATCACAAAGCAGTTTCTCAGATAGCTTCCTTCTTGTGTTCATTCTTGGATATTCACTTTTTTGCCTTTGGTCTCCATGACCTCCAAAATGTCCATTCACAGAATGGACAAAAACAGCATTTCCAAATTGCTGAATGCAAAGAAAGGTTTAACTCTGTGACATGAATGCACACATCACAAAGCAGGTTCTCATAAAGCTTCTTTCTAGTTTTTATCTAAAGATGTTTACTATTTCACCATACGTATCAATGCGCTCCTAAATATCCCTTCGCAGATACCACAAAAATAATGTTCCCAAACTGCTGAATGAAAATAAATCTTTAACACTGCAATGTGAATGCACACATAAAAAAGTGGATTCTCAGATAGCTTCCTTCTAGTTTTTATCCTGGGATATTTGCTTTTTTGCCATTGGCTTCAAAGTACTCCCAAATGTCCATTTGAAGAATGGACAAAAACAGTGTTTCTGAACTGCTGAATAAAAAAGAAAGTTTTAAATCTGTGGATAAATGCGCACATCAAAAAGCAGTTTCTCTGAAAGATTTTTTTCTAGTTTTTATCTGAAGATGTTTCCTTTTTCACCAAAGGCCTCATAGTGCATCCAAATATTCCTTCAGAGATTCTGCAAAAAAAGGGTTTTCAAGGTGCTGAATGAAAAGAAAGGTTAAACTCTGCTAGTTGAATGCACAAATCGCAAAGCACTTTCACAGATAGCTTCCTTTGAGTTTTTATTCCGGGATACTCGCTTTTCCACCATTGGCCTCAAGGAGCTCCAAAATGTCCAGTTGCAGAATGGACAAAAAATTGTTTCCAAAGTGCTGAATGAAAAGAAATGTTAAACTCTGCGAGGTGAATGCATGCATCACAAATCAGCTTCTCACATAGCTTGCTTCTAGTTTTTATCCTGGGATATTCGTTTTTTTGCAATTGGCCTCAATGAGCTGCCAAATTTCCATTAATTGACAAAAAAAAGTGTTTCCACACATCTGAATACAAAGCAATGTTTAACTCTGTGAGATGAATGCACTCATCACCAAACAGTTCCTCAGAAACCTTCTTTCTAGATTATATCTGAGGATGTTTCCTTTTTTACCATACTACCCTAGGCACTCCCAAATATACCTTCACAGATTATACAAAATCAGGGTTTCCAAACTGCTGAATGAAAGAAAAGTTTATCTCTGCGAGGTGAATGCACACATCACAAAGCAGTTTCTCATATAGCTTCCTTCTTGTTTTTTTTTTTCTTCCTGGGATATTCGCTTTTTGTAATTGGGGTCAATGAGCTCTGAAATGTCCATTCACGGAATGGACAAAATCAGTGTTTCCAAACTGCTGAATCCAAAGAAAGGTTTAACTCTGTGAGATGAATTCACACATCACAAAATAGTTTCTCAGAAAGCTTCTTTCTCTGATTTATCTGAAGATGTTTCCTTTTTCAACATAGGTCTCAATTCACTCCCAAATATCCTTTCAGAGATTCTAAAAAATCAGTGTTTCCAAACTTCTGAATGAAAAGAAAGTTTTAACTCTGTGATGTGAATGCACACATCACAAAGTGGTTTCTCTGGTAGCTTCCTTCAAGTTTTTATCCTAGGATATTTGCTTTTTCGCCATAGGCCTCAATGAGTTCCCAAGTGTCCATTTGCAGAATGGACAAAAGCAGGATTTCCAAGCTGTTGAATCCAAAGAAACTTTTAAGTGTGAAATGAATGCTCACATCACAAATCAATTTTTTGGAAATCTTCTTTCAGGTTTTTATCTGAAGGTGTTTCCTTTTTCACCCTAGGCCTCAATGCACCCCCAATTTTTCCTTCGCAGATTCTACAAAAACAGGGCTTCCAAACTGTTGAATGAAAATAAAGGTTTACCTCTGTGAAATGAATGCACACATGACAAAACGGATTCTCATATTCCTTTCTTCTAGTATTTACCTGGGATATTCACTTTTTTGCCTTAGGCCTCAAATACCTCCAAATTGTCCATTTGCAGAGTGGACAAAAACAGTGTTTTCAGACTGTTAAATGGAAAGAAATGTTTAACTCTGTGAGATGAATGAACACATCACAAAGCAGTATCTCTTAAAGCTTCTTTCTAATTATTATCTGATGATATTTCCTTTTTCACCATAGGCATCAATGTACTCCTAAATATCCCTTCACAGATACTGCAAAACAGTCTTTCTAAACTGCTGAATGAAAAGAAAGTTTTAACTATGTGAGATGAATGCACACATCACAAAGTGGTTTCTAAGAGAGCTTCCTTCTAGTTTTTATTCTGGTATATTAGCTTTTTCGCCATTAGCCTCTATGAGCTCCCAAATATCCATTTGCAGAATGGACAAAAATAGTGTTTCTGAATGGCTGAATGAAAACAAATGTTTAAGTCTGCGAGATTACTGCACACATCACATATGGTTTCTCTGATAGCTTCCTACTAGTTTTTATTTTGGGATATTGTATTTTTTTGCCATTGGCATCCATGAGCTCCCAAATGTCCATTGGCAGTATGGACAAAACCGTGTTTCCAAACTTCTAAATCCAAAGAACAGTTTAACTTTGTGAGATGAATGCACACTTCACAATGCAGTTTCTCAGAAATCTTTTTTCTAGTTTTTATCTGAAGATGTTCCCTTTTCACCATAGGCATAAATGCACTCCAAAATATCTCTTCACAATTCTACAAAAACAGTGTTTCCAAACTGCTGAATGAAAAAAAAAAGGTTTAACTTTGCCAGATGAATGCACACACCCAAAGCAGTTTCCCGGAGATCTTCTTTATAGTTTTAATCCAGGTATATTCCTGTTTTTGCCATTGGTCTCAATGGGCTCCCAAATATCCATCCGTGGAATTTATACAAAGAGTTTTTCCCAAATGCTGAATCAAAAGAAAGGTTTAACTCTGTGAGATGAATGCACACATCACAAAGCCGTTTCTCAGAATGCTTCTTTCTAGTTTTTATCTGAAGATGTTTACTTTTTCACCACAGGACTCAAAGCTGTACCAAATATCCTTTTTCAGATTCTACAAAAACATTGTTTCCAAACTGCTTAATGAGAAGAAAGGTTTACCTCTGTGACATGAACACACACATCACAAAGAGTTTTCTCAGAACATTTCCTTCTAGTTTTTATCCTGAGATTTTCGCTTTTTCACCATTGGCCTCAATGAGCTCCCAAACCTCCATTCGCTGAATGGACCAAAAAACCCTGTCCAAACTGCTGAATCCAAAGAAAGTTTGAACTCTGTGAGCTGAATGAACACATAACAAAGCAGTTTCTCTGAAGTATTATTTCTAGTTTTTATCTGAATATATTTCCTTTTTCACCATAGGCCTCAATGTGCTCCCAATATCCCTTTGCAGATTCTCAAAAAACTGTTTCCATACTGGTGAATGAATAGAAGGATTAAACTCTGCGAGGTGAATACACTCATCAGATAGTGGTTTCTTAGGTAGCTTCCTTCTGGTTTTTATCATGGGGCATGCTCTTTTTTGCCATTGTCCTCAAAGACCTCCCAATTGTCCATTTGCTGAATGGACCAAAAAAGTGTTTACAAACTGCTGAATGAAAATAAAATTTTAGCTCTGCAAAATGAATGCACATATCTGAAAGCAGTTTCTTAAAAATCTTCTTTCCATTTTTTGTCATAAGATTTTTTTTCAACATAGACCTCAAAGTCCTCCAAAATATCCCTTCACAGATTCCGCAAAAACAGTTTCCAAACTTATGAATTAAAAGAATGGTTTAATTCTGTTAGATGAATGCTGACATCACAAAGAGGTTTCTCAGAGACCTTCTTTCTAGTTTTTACTTGAATATATTTCTTTTTATCAACAGATACCTCAATGTGCTCGCAATATCCATTTGCACATTCTACAAAAACAGTGCTTCCAAACCTCAGAATGAAGAGAAAATTTTAACTCTCTGAGATCAATGCACACATCACAAAGCGGATTCTCAGAAAGCTTCCTTTTAATTTTTATCCTGGGATATTTGCTTTTTTGAATTGGCCTCAATGAGCTCCCAAATTTCCATTTGCAGAATGGAAAAAACAGTATTTCCAAACTGCTGAATCCAAAGAAAGTTTTAATGCTGTGAGATGAATGCACGCTTCACAATGCAGTTTCTCAGAAATCTTCTTTCTAGTTTTTATCTAAGGATGTTTTCTTTTTCTCCATAGGACTCAGTGTGTTCCCAAATATCCCTTTTTGTATTCTACAAAAAGAGCATTTTCAAAGTGCTGAATGAAAAGAAAAATTTAACTCCTCAAGATAAATGCATACATCACAAAATGTCTTCTCAGATAGTTTCCTTGTAGTTTTTGTGGTGGGATATACACTTTTTTGCCATTGGCCTCAAAGATTTCACAAATGTCCATTCACAGAATGGACAAAAAGAGTGGTTCCAAACTGCTGAAACAAAAGAAAAGTTTAACTCTGTGACATGCATGCACACATCTTAAACCAGTTTCTTAGAAAGCTTCTTTCCAGTTTTTATCTTAATATGTTTCCTTCTTCACAAGTGGCCCCAATTCACTCCCAAATATCCCTTCACAGATTTTACAAAAACCGTGTTTCCAAACTGCTGAATGAAAAGAAAGGTGGAACTTTGTGAGATAAATGCACACATCACAAAGCAGTTTCCCAGAAACCTTCTTTCTCGTTTTAAATCCTGTGATATACGCGTTTTTGCCATTGGCCTCCATGGGCTCCCAAATGTCCATGCTCAGAATGGAGAAAAACAGTGTTTACAAACTGCTGAATCAAAGGAAAGGTTTTATTCTCTGAGATGGATGCACACTTCTCAAAGCACGTTCTCAGAAAGCTTCTTTCTCCTTTTTATCTGAAGCTACTTCCTTTTCACCAGAGGCCTCAATATGCTCCCAAATATCCCTTCGCAGATTGTACAAAAACAGTGTTTCCAAACTGCTGAATAAATGCAAAAGTTTAATTCTGCAAGTTCAATGCACACACCACAAAGCCATTTCTCAGATAGCTTCCTTCTAGTTTTTATCTTGGAATTTTCACTTCTTCACCACTGACCTCAATGATTTCCCAAATATCCCTTCACAGATTCTACAATAACAGTGTTTCCAAACTGCTGAATGAATAGGAAGGTTTAACTCTGAGAGATCAATGCATATATCAGAAAGCCGTTTCTCAGATACCTTCCTTCTAGTTTTAATCCTGGGATATTCCCTTTGTCACCAATGGCCTCAAGGAGCTCCAAAATATCAATTTGAAGATTCTACAAAAACAGTGTTACCAAACTGCTGAAATAAAAAAACGTTTAAATGTGCAAGTTGAATGCACACATTACAAAGCAGTTTTTTGGAAAGCTTTTTTCTAGTTTTTATATGAAGATATTTCCTTTTTCACCATAGGCCTCCATGTGCTCCAAAATATCCCTCCGCAGACTCTACA
Source organism: Homo sapiens (assembly GCF_000001405.40). NCBI lineage: Eukaryota > Metazoa > Chordata > Mammalia > Primates > Hominidae > Homo > Homo sapiens. Next base: position 39,195,433 of record NC_000010.11, read on the forward strand.
AAACAGTGTTTCCAAACTGCTGAAAGAAAAGAAAGGTTAACTCTGCTACATAAATTCACAGATCTAAAAGCGGTTTGTCAGGTAGGTTCCCTCTAGTTTTTATCCTGGGATATTAGCTTTTTTGCCACTGGCCACAATGAGGTCTGAAAAGTACATTCACAGAATGGACAAAAACGTTGTTTCCAAACTGCTGAATCAAAAGAAACGTTTAACTTTGGAGATTAAAGCACACATCACAAAGCAGTTTCTCAGAAAGAGTCATTCTAATTTTTATCTGAAGATATTTCCTTTTTCAACATAGGCCTCAAAGTGCTCCCAAATAGCCCTTCAAAGATTCTACAAAAATCGTGTTTCCAAACTGCTGAATGAATAGAAAGTTTAACTCTGTGAGAGGAAGGCACTCTTCACAAAGCGGTTTCTCAGATAGCTTCCATCTAGTTTTTATCTTGGAATGTTAGCTTCTTTGCCTTTGGTCTCAAAGAGCTACCAAATGTCCATTCACAGAATGAACAAAAACAGTGTTTCCAAACTGCTTAATAAAAAGAAGGGCTTAAATCTGTGAGATGACTCCACACATAATAAAGCAGTTTCTCATAAAACTTCTTCCTTGTTTTTATCTGAAGATATTTCCTTTTTCACTCTAAGCCTCAATGTGCTCCAAAATATCACTTCGTAGATTCTACAAAACCAGTTTTTCCAAACTTCTGAACGAAAAGAAAGGTTTAACTCTGTGAGATGAATACACACATCAAAAAGCGGTTTCTCAGATAGCTTCCTTTTACTTTTTATCCTGGGATATACACTTTTTTGCCGTTGGACTCAAAGATTTCACAAATGTCCATTTGCAGGATGGACATAAACAGCGTTTCCAAACTGCTGAATCAAAAGAAAGATTTAATTCTAGGACATGCATGCACAAAACTTCAAGCAGTTTCTTAGAAAGCTTCTTTCTAGTTTTTATCTTAATATGTTTCTGTTTTCACCAGTGGCCTCAATGGGCTCCTACATACCCCTTTGCAGATCTTACAAAAACAGTGTTTCCAAACTGCTGAATGAAAAGAAAGGTGGAACTCGGCGAGATGAATGCACACATGACAAAGCAGTTTCCCAGAAAGATTCTTTCTAGTTTTTATCCTGTGATATTGGCTTTTTCACCTTTGGCCTCAATGAGTTCCCAAATGTCCATTCACAGAATGGGCAAAAAAGGTGTTTACAAACTGTGGAATTAAAAGAAAAGGGTTATTCTCTGAGATGAATACACACATCTCAAAGCAGTTTCTGAGAAAGCTTCTTTCTCCTTATTATCTGAAGATATTTCCTTTTTCACGAGAGGTCTCAACACGTTCCCAAATATCCCTTCACAGACTGTACAAAAACAGTGTTTCCAAAATGCTGAATAAAAGCAAAGGTTTAATTCTGTGAGTTCAATACATACATCACAAAGCGGTTTCTCAGATAGCTTCCCTCTAGTTTCTATCCTGGAATTTTTGCTTTGTCACCACTCACCTCAATGGGCACCCAAATATCCCTTGGCAGATTCTACAAAAACAGTGTTTCCAAACTGCTGAATGAATAGGAAAGTTTAACTCTGCGAGATCAATGCACTCATCAGAAAGCCAGTTCTCAGCTAGCTTTCTTCTAGCTTTTTATCCTTGGATACTCACTTTCTCGCCAATGGCTTCAGGGAGCTCCCAAAAATCAATTTGAAGATTCTACAAAAACAGTGTTTGCAAACTGCTGAATGAAGAGAACGTTTTATTCTCTGAGATGAATGCACACATCTCAAAGCAGTTTCTCAGAAAGCTTCTTTCTCCTTTTTATCTGAAGATATTTCCTTTTCATCATAGGCTTTAATATGGTCCCAAATATCCCTTTGCAGATTCTACAAAAAGAGTGTTTCCAAACTGCTGAATAAAAAGAAAGGTTTAACTCTCTGAGATGACTGCACACATCACAAAGCAGTTTCTCAGATAGCTTCCTTCTAGTTTTTATCCTAGTATATTCACTTTTTCACCATTGGCCTCAATGATCTCCCAAATGTCCATTCACAGACTGGGCAAAAGCAGTGTTTCCCAACTGCTGAATAAAAAGAATGGTTTAACTCTGTGAGTTGAATGCACACATCACAAAGCAGTTTCTCAGAAATCTCCTTCCTAGTTTTTATATGAAGATGTTTCCTTTTTCACCATAGGCCTCAATGCGCTCCGAAATATCCCTATGTAGATTCTATAAAAACAGTGTTTCCAAACTGCTGAATGAAAAGAAATGTTTAACTCTGCATGATCAATGCACACATCACAAATCAGTTGCTGAGACCAGATCCTTCGAGTGGACCCTAACCCAGTTGCACTGGAGGAATTAAAGACACATACAGAGAAATATAGAGGTGTGAAGTGGGAAATCAGTTGTCTCACAGCCTTCAGAGCTGAGAGCACTGAACACTGAATTACCCACATACTTATTAACTCTTAGCCAGTCATCAGCATTGTTTCTATAGTCATTCGATTAACTAAAAGTGTTTCTTATGGGAAATGAAGGGATGGGCTGAAATATAGGGTTGGATCTGGTTAGCCATCTGCAGCAGTAACCTGCCCTTAAATCACAGATCACTCATGCTATTGTTTGTGGTTCAAGAATGTCTTTAAGCTGTTTTCTGCCATGGGCTGGCCAGGTGTTCCTTGCCCTCATTCCGGTAAACCCACAACTTTCCAGCGTGGGCGTCATGGCCAACATGAACATGTCACAGTGTTGCGGAGATTTTGTTTATGGCCAGTTTTTTGCTAGTTTATGGCCGGATTTTTTGGGGTCTTGTTCCCAGCATGTCCCCCTTCTTTGATTTGCAAATCGATAAAAGCAAAGGCAGCTTTGTCATGGTGAGCTACTTCTCACATGAATCAGGATCTGCATCTGCAGACTATACAAAGACAAACAACATAGATTAAAATCACAATCATCATTGAAATCACAGAGCTCCCAAATGTTTTTTATCCATTTTAATGGGCTCCTAGCTGATCATTTTTCTGCAGTTCCTTCAAGCACTCCAGTTCCTGGCATTAAGGTCAGGTGTGACTGGGATGCCTTAATTATTTTTCTTTTAATTTTGCAATATCCAAAAACAAGTTTGTAGAGTGTCCTTCTAGATGCTTTTTTATTATTTCCTAAATTTTGACCTTATTAATACCTATTAATAGTTTCCACAAATCCTTATGTTTGGCTCCTACAATGGGCCATATCATTTGATATTGAGGTGCCACTATACCTCCATGATTCCAGATAATAGGAATTCCTGCCATACTTCTTATCATTTCTACCTTCTGACCTTTTTTTCAGACCAGTTGAACATAGTTTGGCCGTGGCACACACACCGAGAGGGGCAGTTCAAGCTAAACATCCCCTTAGGAGACCAATCAATAATGATTCCATAGGAATCACTGTGCAGCACCTCTGACTGTTCTGCAATACACTCTTCCTAAAAAAGTACGTTCATTATTTCTGGCCAGGTTCTATTTTGTTTACAAATAGGTTTTGGAGGGCAGTATGCCTCTATTATAGGAGCAGACTTATTATGGTAAATACTGAGATCAGAAAGCATGTGTAACTGCATCATAGAGTGATTACATCCAGGCATTATTATCAGTCAAGATAGATAAATATGACCAATAAGTATAATTGTTCTCTGTGTCAGCCCTTATTTAAGGAATACTCATGGCAGTGGTGATAACTGCTATCATAGCTACCATTAAATTTTTCATTGTGACTGGTTGTCCTGCTTTCCTCAGGTTTTCTTCTGCCACCTGTGAGAACTTCTTGATCTGTCCCCAGGTGGGTGACTCTGTTCAACGGGTGTTGCTCATGACCGTTATAGTCCTCCTCAATGTCAGTCTTGGCATGGGTGCAACTGGTGGGTCCTCAGGATCCTCCTGGTATATCTTCCTTGACATATGGCTTATGATAAGGTTTCAGGTATCTTGATGGTATCAAAATCGGCTGTTGATTTTGGTCTGGAGAAATGCAAGCATAACCTCTACCCCAAGTTATTGTTTAACCTATTTCCCAATTTTTTGTTATCGGATCTCTCCACCAAATCAGTTGTTCTGCTTCTTTGTAGATGGTTTCTGTAGATGCTATTCAGCTACTGATAACATCTGCCCTTGGGCAGGCTCAAAACTTTTAAAGTTAATAATGCCAGATTCAGTCGCATCTGTGGGGTTCCATATACTCTGTCTCCCCCTTTCTGCTTTTGCAACTGCTGTTTTAGGGAAAGATTCATTCTTTCCACTGTGGCTTGTCCTTGATAATTGTATGGGATACCAGTAACGTGTTTAATATTCCACATAGAGAAAAAATTAGCTAGAGCTTGTCTAGTATAGCCTGGGGCATTATCTATTTTAATAGAAGCTGGAATGCCCATCATGGCAAAACACTGCAAAAGGTGACACTTAACACAGGCAGAAGACTCTCCTGTTTGACATATAGCCCAGATAAAGTGAGAAAAGGTTTCCACACATACATATACACAAGCTAGTATCCCAAATGAAGGAACATGTGTGACATCCATTTGCCAAAGAGAGTTAGATTCCAATCCTTGAGGATTAACTCCTCCTGTAAAATATTAGGAATGTACCATTTGGCAAGTTGGGCATCTCTGGATAATAGCTTTAACTTCTTTCCAGGTAATGCTGTATTTGTGTTTGAGACCAGAAGCATTAACATCGGTTAAATTGTGAAAGTGTCTAGCATTAGATATTGCATAAGCAACTAGGTGATCAGCCATTTTATTTCCTTCAGTCAAAGGTCCTAGAAGGGGTATAGGAGCCCTAATGTGAGTGATGTAAAAAGGGTGCATTCTACTCTTAACTGCTGTTTGAAATTGGGTAAATAAACTCATCAGTTGTTTATCTGTATGAAATTGTAACTGAGCATTTTCGATTAACTGTGTGGAATGAACCATGTTTGAAGAATCAGAAATCACATTAATAGGCATATCAAAAGCAGTCAATACCTCAATTACAGCTACAAGCTCAACTTTTTGAGTTGAAGTATAGGGCACCTGGAAAACTTAAATTTTTGTGCCAAAATAAGAACATTTACCATTAGTAGACCCATCTGTAAAAACATTCTCAGCATCTTCAATTGGTTTAAATTTAGTTATTGCAGTGAGATTCCAATTAGTTAATTTCAAAAACTGAAACAGCTTCATTTTAGAAAAATGATTATCGAAAATAACCACAAACCAAGCTAAATGGATTTGCCAAATAAGACTACTTATAAAGCTTGCTGTATTTGTGTCTTCGTGAGAGGGACAACAATTAATTTTTCCAGGATCATAATCATGTAATTTAACAAACTGAGTTTTCCCAATCCCTATAATAGTAGCAATTTGATCTAAATGAGGAGTTAGAGTCCATGAATTAGTATGTGGAAGAAAAAGCCATACTACTAAGTCCTGTTCTTGGACAATAACACCAGTAGTTGAAGGCTGAGTTGAAAAAATTAGCAAATCTAGAGTCTTCTCTGGATCTACTCTATTTATTTTAGACTTATGGACTTGCTTTTCAATCAGCTGTCACTCGATCTCGGCCTCCTTTGTTAATTGCCAAGGGCTAGTGAGACTAGGATTTCCTCTAAGGATAGAAAACAGATTACTCATGGCATAGGTAGGAATTCCTAGAGCAGGTCTTATCCAATCAATGTAAGCTAGTAATTTTTGAAAGTCATTTAATGTTTTTAATTGATCCCTATCAATTGTTACTTTCTGTGGCACAATGGTAGTGTCATTTACTAAGGTCCCCAAGTAGGAGTAAGAAGTAGTAGTCTGAAATTTGCCAGGAGCTATAATTAAACCAGTGCAAGAAATCGAATTTTGCAAGTGATCATAACATTGGAGTAATACTTCTCAAGTGGGGGCAGCACAAACTATAACATCCATATAATGAATAATGTAACACTGTGAATTTTTTTATGAGTATGTTCAATTGCTTGTCCTACACACGTCTGGCAAACTGTTGGACTGTTTAACATGTCTTGTGGCAACACTTTCCAATGATAACACTTAGCAGGCTGCAGGTTTTTTTACTGCAGGAATTGTAAACGCAAACCGTTCACAGTCTTGCTCAGCTAAAGTGATAGTAAAGAAATAGTCTTTTAAATCTATGACTATTAAAGGCCAATTTTTTGGAATTATAGCAGGAGAAGGCAATCCTGGCTGTAATGTTCCCACAGGTTGTATAACTGAATTGATGGCTCTTAAGTCAGTTAACATTCTCCATTTACCTGCTTTTTTCTTAATTATGAAAACTGGAGAATTCAAAGGAAAAATGTTGGAGCTATGTGCCCATTTTCTAATTCTTAAGTAACTAATTTCTCTAAAGCCTCAAGTTTCTCTTTACTTAGTGGCCATTGTTCTATCCACATTGGCTTATCTGTTACTGTTAACCATTTTAAAAGTATAGGTTCTGGAGGATTAACAATGGCTGCCATCAAAAATTATTTCCTAATCTTTGGCAGGAACTTTGTTTTTCCACTTGAAGGGGTTCTTTCAAACCTTGCAAATTTTTTTCTAGTCCCATACCAGGGACATACCCTATTTCATGCATCATATGTTGACTTTGAGGGCTATATAATTGTTCTGGAATTAGAAATTGTGCCCCTCATTGTTGTAATAAATCTCTCTCCCATAAATTTATAGGTATAGAAGTTATAATTGGTTGAATAGTCACGGGTTGTCCATTGGGCCCTTCACAATGCAAAATATAACTACTTTGATATACTTCAGGGACTTTACCAACTCCAACTATGTTAAATTGAGTGGATTGAATTGGCTACACGGACGGCCAATGCTGTAGAGAAATGATTGAAATGTCCACTCCTGTATCTACCAAACCTTTAAATTTCGTTCCCTGAATAGTTATTTCACAGGTAGGAAGTTTATCATTAATTTCATTTACCAATAAGTTGATTTTCCTTGTTTATTTGTGCTTCCAAATCCTCCTGTTCATTTAGTTTCACTTTTTCCCATTCCCGCACATGGCACAATCAGGAGATGTGCTAGCACTCTCCTCACTCTGCTTTGCAGGGAACAGAAGTTGATATTGTTGTAACCAAGCGAGTTAGAGAGAAACCCCACACTTTGAGATGAATTCAGGAGTCTTTTATTAGCCAGTAACCAAGAGACAGCTAACACTCAAAATTCTCTTGGCCCCAAGGAAGGGGCTTGATTTTCTCTTATGCTTTGGTTTAGAGAGGGGAAGGGGAATCTAGCTGAAGCAATCTTACAGAAGTAAAACGGACAAAAAAGTTAAAAAGAAAAATGGTTACAGGAAAACAAACTGTTCCAGGTGCAGGGGCTTTAAATTTATCACCAAGGTGATAGGTGTGGGGGTTCTGGGTGTCATCTGCCAGACACAAACGCAGGGCCGTTATGGTACCATCTCCTGAGCAAATTCCTGGGAACTGCGGAAGTAACTTGCCACAGTACCTTATCAGTTAATTGGACCCTTAGATGTGCTGAGAGTCAGCTTGCACAAGTTAAGTCCTTGAGGGAGGGAGTGGGTAAGGAGCCCTTAATGTCTTGCAAGCGAAGGAGCCAAATGGAATCCCTCTGGCTTTTTCAGCTAAGAGAGAGTCTATCAAGTTAATACAAGATAGGGTACCACATACCCCACTTGTGATTTTGGGGAATCAAATCAATGTAAGAAGGGGGTTACATTGGGTTTTAAGATACATAATAAGTTTGACAGAAGCTGTGCATTGCTTTACAAAGTTAAGAAACTAATTTTAAAATAGAAGGTTTGAAGACTAAACTTAAGAGGAGGAGAAAAGGAGTCCTGCTAATCCAATAATTAGAATAGTTAGTCAAGGATTACAGTTAAACATGCTTTGGTACTGGGTGTGTTATGAATCTTAGCAGGAATGGTGTCCACTTTCAGAGTCATCAGTGTGGTGAGGATGACAGTATGAGGTCCTTTACAAGCAGGAGTGAGTTCCTCTTTATGGAACTTTTTAACAAATACCAGGTCACCTGGCTGGAACGAGTGGCAGGGCTCTGTCTGGTCAGTAATTGGATTGGGATAAGCTCCCCGGACAGGTGGCTGGATGATATCTTGTACCTATTGGAGAGACTATAGGTACTGTAATAAATTAGCATGTGAGATTTTAGGCAAGATGGGCAGAGCCCTCATAAACATGAATTTAAAAAGTGAGAACTCAGCTCGGTAAGGGATATATTTTACTTTAAGAAGGGCTAGAGGAAGGAACTTTACCTAATCTTCACCAGTCTTTAAGATTAATTTCGTAAAAGTACTTTTAGGATGCAGTTGTTCATGCATTCTACCTGTCTAGAGCTCTGAAGTTGATAGGCACAATGGAGCTTTCATTGAATGTTTAATGACTGACTGAGGTATGGACAAGGTGAAGGCTGGTCTATTATCAGACCTTATGGCAACAGGCAGCTTATGTCGATGGATGAGTTCATTGAGTAAAAATGTAACTACTGTGGTGGCAGTCTCATTTTTGTTGGCAAATGCCTTAGTCTATCCACAAAATTTGTCTACTAGCACTAGGAGATAGTTATACCTTGCCCAATGTGGTTTTATCTCTGTAAAGTCAATTTCCTACCTTTTTCTTGGTGAGCCTCCCTGGAGGCAGTGGCCTCGGCTGGGTTTAGGGCCTTGCTGGTCGTTTATCTGAGTGCAAGCTGTATACCAGGGAGCTGCTTGATCCATTAAGTTCTGAAGGCAGGGGATCTTGAAAGGGCTCCTTAGGAGCTGGGCCAATTTTACTTTTCCTTCTTGATTTTCACTTGCTTGAAGATTTGAAGCTTGTTTATCTTTTTCTGAGGCTGGCAAATTGGGTTTTGGAAAGGACACAATGGACAGCTGGATCGACCAGGAGCTGAGCTGTCTTTTGAGCTGTAGAGTTTGCTCTTTGGCTGTTACTAGCTACAGCCATGCCTTCTCTTTGATGTCCTTTGTAGTGAATTACAGCCACCTGCCAAGGAAGCCAAACAACTTCAAGCAGGGCTAAATTTTTCTTTGTTTTTAATAGTCTTTTCTTCCGGGGTGAGTAGTCTTTGCCCTTGGTAGATGGCTCTGTGTACATACACAGTAGCAAAAGCATATCTGCTGTCAGTGTAAATGTTAATAAGTTTGTCTTTACTTCATTGGAGGGCTTGTGTAAGGGCAACCAACTCAGCCCTCTGAGCTGAGGTGCCAGCTGGTAGAGTTTGGGCTGATAGAATATCCGTCTCTGTAGTGACAGCCGCACCAGTCTTTTGAACTCCCTGCTCAAGGAAGCTGCTACCATCTGTAAACACGGTGTTGTCTGCCTCCTTTAAAGGCACATCTTTGAGATCATGTCAGCTAGTTTTTGTAGTCTTCAACAGTTCTTTGCAGTCATGGACAGGTGTGTAAGATCTGGATCAGTGAGCAAGATAGCTGGATTTAAACACCCTATGGGAAAGTTAAGGCTGATCTAACAGATACTGCAGGTTGCGAGTGTTTGAAATTCATTTGTCAGAGGCACTTTGTAGCAATGTCTCTACGGCATGAGGAACCATAAGGGTTAAATTCTGGCCTAGAGTCAGTTTATTAGCCTCCTGGATTAGGCTTGCTGTTGCCGCTATGGCTCCGCAGACAACTTGGCTACCTGGAGGCCACAGGGTCTAGCTATGGCCTTCCACAGTTGTGGTCACCATGGGCTCCCAGGGGCTAAGTGAGAGGGAGCCTTGGCCTTATCAATCATCAGATTCCTCTGCTGTGGGGAGGATGAGGCCTTTTTTTATTTTCTGGTTTTTCTTCTGGCTTTAATGGGCATTCTTTCTTCCAGTGTCCTATCTGCTTGCAATAGGTGCATTGGTTTCTTTGTAGGGAATCTTGTTCACTTTTCTTGCCTTTCTGGCATAGACCCGGGGTCTTCTGGACAGTGTTCTGTGATGGGGGCCCTTCATTTCTGGCTTCTTGAATGGCTGCCACTAAGATTTTTGCTTGTCTCTCTGATGCTTTGTCAGCAGCCTTTTCAGCTGCCTCAGCTGCTTGTTTTTGCTTTTCAAACTCTTGATTGTCAAAAACTTCTTGGGCTATTTCTAAAAGTTGACCGATATTTATCCCAGCAATTCCTTCCAGCTTTTGTGGCTTTCTTTTAGCGTGAGGGGCTGCCTGAGCCACTGAGTCAATAGGGGTGTAAATCTGATAGGCCTCCTGGAGGTGTTCTAAAAATGCTCCAGGTGACTCATCAGGCCTCTGGACAACTTCAGTTGTCTTAGACAGATTCATGGGTTTTCGAGCAGCTCCTTTGATACCCACAAGAAGATACCAGTGAAAATTATCTAAATGTTTTCTCCCACCCTAGGAGTTAGGATCCTAACTAGGCCGGGTAGAGGGGAAAATTTCCTCAAGGAGGTCTCTGTCTTCCTCTTCTGGCCTATCGGCTGATGTGAGGAAATGCTTTCTAGCCTCTCTTCGCATACGTTCCCTCTCTTCAGAGGTGAAAAGTGTCAAAAGGAGCTGCTGAAAATCGTCCCAGATGGGCCAGTGAGTCCAGAGCACGGGCTCCATCAGTGAGGTCAAAACCTGGGTTTTTTCAGAAAAGGGGGGATTATAAGCCTTCCAGTTACAAGTCAGAAGTAGAGAAGGGGACATAAACTAAAAATACAGCAGTGTGCTCATCACCCAGAGGGATTTGTGCCTCTCTCTGTGGGTGGAGGGGGCTACCTCCTTCTGCCATGGCCACAGTCTGGAGGCTATGGGCAGAGAGCTCACAGGGGATGTAGTTGAGGAGACAAGAGAAGATTCTGGGGGAGCAGGAGGGTTACAGAGTGGCAGAAATGGGTGAGGAACACTCTCCTCTTCTTCAGAAGGAGGCAGTACAGGAGGAGCCGAGGGAGCTGAGGGTTGGAGTAAAAGTGCGGTCTGGCTCAGAAGGACCTTGGAGGTGGGATCATGAAAGACACATGAGTGGAGCCAAGGGGGAGGGCTTTGGACCAATCGCAGCCATTGATCAATGTAGGGAAACTGATTGGGGTGACCAGGAGTTCCAGCAACACCCCACCACACAGCCTGAACAACTGTGGGGTTAAGTGACTCTTCTTAGGGGCCAACTGGTTCTAAACTGTGGCCATTCCACTTCACTGATTGTCCAGAGTTTGCCTTTCTTTAGGTGGACTCCATAATCCTCTCAGAAGCCTAGAGAGAAATTTTGTAACATACATTGGAGAGGGCTCCAATCTTTATGAGGCTGGGAAGAAGAATTTCCAATTCTGGAGGTGGGTCTGGGGCCAGAGGGACTTATGTGATTTCCTATTTCCCTTTGATTTATAGACTAAATATCTTTGTTGTCTCCATGACTTAAAGGCAAATAGTTCCAACTTGGCCTTTTCTTTTAAGGGTTTGAGGAGGGAGAGCAGAGCCAAGTCTTGGAGATTATGTACTTGCTGCAACACAGGAAAATGAGATGTGCAGGGCAAGGGACGAGGAAAAAAGGGGTTACTCAGATCTTTTCAGGCTGGGAGGAGCCATGCCAGGCAGCACTGGGTTGTCAGGATGACTCCACAGTCCCCCGCCCTGCCTCCAGGCCTTGTCAGGTGCTGAAAGCCTGTTTCAGAAGCCTGGCCCAGGGCCTAGGTCACTACAGCAGGCCAGGCCCCTGCATTCCAAACCAGGTGTGGATTCACTGGTGCTCGGGGAAGTTGGGGACTTTGACACCTGAAGGCACAGGAGCCAGGCGCCTTTGGGGGTCCCTGGGGGAGGGTGTCTGGTGCTGTCACCTCCTACTCCCCACCTGTCCATCGGGGAACCTCTGCTGTGGGGGACTGAGGCTGTTTCTTTTGTAAACTGATGGAAGTATGCCTGGCCCCTGGGCCAGGCAACCTGAAGAGACATGCCTGAGACCTCCTGTGATAGAAAATCTGCACTGAAGACTTTGAAGAAGTCATTGCCCACTCGTCTTGGGCAATATCTATAACTTGACATCTGAAACTCAGACACCAGACAAGACAATAGACACTAAACAGGACAGCAGACATAAAAACAGGACAACAGACACAAAATCAGGCAATAGATAAAAAGACAGGCAATAGACTCCAAAATAGGCAATAGACACAAAAACAAGCAATAGACCTAAAAACAGGCAATAGACACAAAAACAGGCAATAGACCTAAAAACAGGCAATAGACACAAAAACAAGCAATAGATCTAAAAACAGGCAATCGACACAAAAACAGGCAACAGACACAAAAACAGGCAATAGACACAAAACAGGCAGTAGACCCTGGAGAATATAAACAATTATGGCAGTTTTCATAGACAGACAAGGGGAGGGGGTCCCACGATGGGATCAGTCAGATGCCCACCTGGCTGCTTTCCCTGAGGGGACTTGGGATCCTCTTAGCATTGGCAGGCCCGTGTAAACCCCCAGCTGGGATCAAGCTATGCCCGATGCTGCCTTAAGCCTTATTAGGTTGCCACAGGACCACAAGTGAGGACCCACTGTAACTCTGTAGCTTTCACGGTGGAGCTACAAAATGGAGATTCAAGGGCAAGCCCTTGAACTTCCCATTCATGCACACATTCACACAGAGTTTATAACAATTTTTCTTATTTCTGTTCTAAACAGAGGTCTCCAGGAGACCTGAACGAGAGGAGGAGAAGAGATAGAGAAAAGGGGAGGGAGAGAAAGAGAGAGAGAGAGACAGAAAGAGAGAGGGAGAAACTAATCTTAATGGAGAGGCCAGCCTGTCAGAAAAGAGGACTCTGTCCTCCAGCGTCCTGGAACATGGACAGAGTCAAAGAGAGAGACGCCCTCTTTAGGGAGAGTTTCCTCTCACCAAACCAGAACCAAAAGCATCTAACAGAAAACCAGGGCTCTGCCCTCCAGTGTCCTGGAATGCAGGCAGGGTCAAAGAGAGAGACACCCTCCTGAGGGATGTGTCCCTCTCACCAAACCAAAGTCAGATCTGACTTACCTTCCCGGGACCAGAAGCTGAGGACTCAGAAGGTTAATTTTTGTGGGCACACACCGGTAGTCGATCCTCTCTCCTCCAGAAGACGGTCGCCTATAGGGACCTGGAACTTTTTCAGGTGGCACCCCCCATAAGCTGGCCAGCCATCCAGGGGAGCCTAGAGCGAGTCTGGCTCTCACTCAGTGGTGAATAATCTAGCTGGGGCCTCCAAATGTTGTAACAAAGCGATTTAGAGAGAAACACCACAATTTGAGACGAATTCAGGAGTCCTTTATTAGCCAGTGACTGAGAGATGGCTGACGCTCAAAATTCTCTCAGCCCTGAACAAGGGACTTGATTTTCTCTTATACTTTGGTTTAGAGAGGGGAGGGGGAATCTAGCTGTAGCAATCTTACTGAAGTAAAACAGACAGAAAAGTTAAAAAGACAAATGGTTACAGGAAAACAAACAGTGCCAGGTGCAGGGGCTTTAAATTTGTCACAAGGTGATAGGTGGGGTGGCTCTGGGTGTCATCTGCCGGACACAAACGTGGGGGCTTCATGGTACCATCTCCCAAGCAAATTTCTGGGAACTTCAGACCTAACTTGCCACAGTACTTTATCAGTTAATTGGACTCTTTGATGTGCTGAGAGTCAGCTTGCACAGGTTAAGTCTTTCAGGAAGGGAGAGGGTAAGGAGCCCTTAATGTCTTGCAAATGAAGGAGCCAAATGGAATCCCTCTGGTTTTTCAGCTAAGAGTCAAACATGTTAATACAAGTTAGGGTATCACAACATAAAAATTTGAATTTCCCATTTATAATCTGAATCAATGACTCCTGTATGTATTTGTACACTTTTTAAACTTAAACTAGACCTTCCTAAAAGTAATCCTATCATCCCCACTGGCAAGGGTCCACAGACTCCTGTTGGGACCTTTTGCAGGGTTTCCCCAGGCAGAAGGCTCACAGCTTTTGTGCAGCTTAAGTCTACTGCTGCACTAACGCCTGTGGTGGGGGACAGACATTGTACAGGGGTGAGGGAATGGCTTGAGCTTGAAATGCCCTGGTTTACAATGGTGTCCAGGAAGGGCCCCTCATGTTGTTTCCTGAAATCAGGTTCCCTTCTTTACCAAACTCAGACTGACACTGATTGGCCAAATGTTTTCCTTTTTTACATTTCAGATATATTTTTGGCTCAGCCGTTTTCTTCTTTCCCCTATCTGGCAGCCTGACTTGCTGATTTTTTCTGGATTATTTTTTAGTATGACCATGCTTCCCACAGTTAAAACAAGCTCCAGGAAATGGAGTATTTCCCTTACCCACTCTCAGTCCTGCCATTGCCTGTGCCAACCAAGTAGCTTTATGCAGATTACCTCTGATACAATCACAAGCCTTTATATAATCAACTAAATATGCTTTCCCAAATTTAAAAGGAAAAGGCTCAAATGTAGCTATAATACTTCCCTGTTGATCTGGGGGGTGTATTCTAACAGTGAACTACCAAGCTTCTAAATGACCCTCTCATCTAGTTTGCTGAATTCCTGCCTGAATAGAACTAAGAGCAGTCACTTGAAGTGCTGCTCGAACAGTCACGGGGGCCACTAACTTTCGCCCAGAGTCCTCCAGAAAAGAAAGACCTAGAGGATTTTTTTCTTCAAAGTAATAATGAGGGGGTGCAGAAGGATAGGGATGAACCTCTCTCTCCTTTGACACTTCAGTTTTAGCTGGCAAATAAACCTTGTTTTTAACCTCTTCTATTACTTCTTTATACTCTCATTCCTCCTTATCATCAGTGTGAAAAAATTCCCAGGTGGAACGAACCACAGTCCACACTTGTCGCATTTTTACCCTGATGCTTCTGAGCTCCCCTTTTTACTCACCATGGGAATTGCTTTAATAGTACTCGGGTGTCCTCCAGCTAGATCCACAATCTCCAACAGTTGCTCCGGTGACCCTTCGACCTAGGTTTGAGCTCACACGATGGACGCCACTTAATGAGACCAGCTCAATCAGGGAGACCCTAACCCAGCGGCCCTAGAGGAATTAAAGAGATGCACAAGGAAATATAGAAGTGTGAAGTGGGAAATCAGGGGTCTCACTGCCTTCAGAGCTGAGAGCTCTGAACAGAGAATTACCCACGTATTTATTAACAGTAAGCCAGTCATTAGCATTGTTTCTATAGATATTTGATTAACTAAAAGTATCCCTTATGGGAAATGAAGGGATGGGCCAAAATAAAGGGGTGGATCCAGCTAGTCATCTGCAGCAGGAAAATGTCCTTAAGGCACTGATGGCTCATACTATTGTTTGTGGTTTAAGAATGCCTTTAAGTGATTTTCCACCCTCTGTGGGCCAGGTATTCCTTGCCCTCATTCTGATACACCCAAAACCTTCCAGGGTGGGCATGACAGCCAACATGAACATGTCACTGTGGTGCAGAGATTTTGTTTATGGCCAATTTTGGAGCCAGTTTATGGCCGGATTTTGGGGGGCTTGTTCCCAACAGCAGTTTCTCAGATAGCTTTCTTCTAGTTTATATCCTGTGATATATGCTTTTTCGCCATTGTCCTCAAAGAGCTCACAAATATCCATTCACAAAATGGAAAAAAAGTCTGTTTCCAAACTGCTGAATCAAAAGAAGAGTTTAACTCTGTGAGAACAATGCACACATACCAAAGTAGGTTCTTAGAAAGCTCCTTTCTGGTATTTACTTTAAGATGTCTCCTTTTTCATGATAGGCCTCAATGCACTCCTAAATATCCCTTTTCAGATTCTACGAAAACAGTGTTCCCAAACTGCCAAATGAAAAGCAAGGTTTAAGTCTGCGAGGTGAATGGACATATCACAAAGTGGTTTCTCAGATAGCTTCCTTCTAGTTTTTATCCTGGGATATTCACTTTATTCCATTGGCCTCAATGAGTTTGCAAATGTCCATTTGCACAATGCACAAAAACAGTGTTTCCAAATTGCTGAATGAAAAGAAATTTTTAACTCTGCGAGATGAATGCACACGTCACAAAGGGGTTTCTCAGATAGCTTCCTTCTAGTTTTTATCCTGGGATATTCGCTTTTTCACCATTGGCCTCAATGAGATCCCAAATGTCCATTCATTGAATGAACAAAAAGACTGTTTCCAAACTGCTGAATCAAAAGAAGGGTTTAACATTGGGAGATGAATTCACACAACATGAAGCAGTTTCCCAGAAATCCTCTTTCTAGTTTTCAACTGAAGCTGTTTCCTTTTTCACCTTACGCATCAAAGCGTTACAAAATATCCCTTTGCAGATTCTATTTTAAAACGTTTCCAAACTGCTGGATTAAAAGAAAGGTTTAACTCTGCTAGGTGAATGCACACATCACAAAGCTGTTTCTCAGATAGCTTCCTTCTAATCTGTATCATGATATGTCCCCTTTTTCACCATTGGCCTCAACGATCTCCCAAATGTCCATTCACAGAATGGACAAAAATCTCTTTCCAAATTACTAAATCCAAAGAAAGGTTTAACTCTGTGAGATGAATGCACATATCACAAAGGAGTTTCTCTGAAAGTGTCTTTCTGGTTTTTATCTGAAGATATTTCCTTTTTCACTGTAGACCTGAAGGCACTCACAAATATCCCTTCGCAGATTCTCCAAAAACAGTGTTTCCAAACTGCTGAATGAAAAGAAATATTTAATTCTGTGAGATCAATGCACACATCACAAAGAGCTATCTCAGATAGCTTCTTTCTAGTTTTTTATTTGAGATACTAGATTTTTTGCCATTGTCCTCAATGAGTTCCCAAGTGTCCATTTGCAGAATAGACAAAAACAATGTTAACATACTGCTGAATGAAAAGAAAGGTTTAACTCCGTGAGATGAATGCACACATTGCAAAGCAGTTTCTCAGAAAGTTTCTTTCTAGTTTTTATCTGAAGATGTTTCCTTTTTCACCATGTATCTCCATGCACTCCCAACTATCCCTTTGCACACTTTACAAAAACAGCGTTTCCAAACTGCTGAATGAATAGAAAGGTTTAACTTTGCGAGAACAATGCACACATCACAAAGCAGTTTCTCAGATAGCTTCCTTCTAGTTCATAATATCGGATATTACCTTTTTTGCCTTTGGCCTCAATGAGCCCCAAATGTGCATAAACAGAATGGACAAAAACAGTGTTTCCAAACTGATGAATCAAAAGAAAGGTTTAGCTCTGTGAGACGAATGCACACATCAAAAAGCATTTCTTAGAAAGCTTCTTTCTAGTATTTATCTGAAGATATTTTCTTTTTCACCATAGGACTAAATGTTCTCTCAAATATTCCTTCGCAGAATCTACAAAAACAGTGATTCCAAACTGCTAAATGAAAAAAATATCTATCCCTGAGAGATGAGTGCCCACATCACAAAGCAGTTTCTCAGAGAGATTCCTTCTAGTTTTTACCCAGGGATATTCACTTTTTCACCATTGGCCTCAATGAGATCCAAAATGCCCATTTGCAGAATATACAGAAACAGTGTTTGGAAACCTCTGAATCCAAAGAAAGTTTTAACTCTGTGAGATGAATGTGCACGTGACAATGCAGTTTCTCAGAAAGCTTCTCTCTAATTTTTATCTGATGATATATTCTTTTTAATTTTAAGCCTCAATGTGCTCAGAAATATACCCTTGCAGATTCTACAAAAACAGTGGTTCCAAACTTCTGAATGAAAAGAAAGGCTTAACTCAGAGAGATCAATGCACACATCATGAAGCAGTTTCTCAGACACCTTCCTTCTCGTTTTTATCCTGGGATGTTTGCTTTTTTCACCATTGACCTCAATAAGCTCCCAAATGTCCATTCACAAAATGGACGAGACCAATATTTCCAAACTGCTGAATCTAAAGAAATATTTAACTGTGTGAGATTAATGCACACATCACAAAGCAGTTTCTCAGTAAGTTTCTTTCTAGTTTTTAACAGAAGATGTTTCCTTTTTCACCGTAGGCCTAAATGCACTCCCAAATATCACTTTGCAGATTCTACAAAAACAGTGTTTCCAAACTTCTGACTGAAAAGGAAGTTTTAACTCTGAGAGGTGAAAGGACATAACACAAAGTGGTTTCTCAGGTAGCTTCCTTCTAGTTTCTATCCTGGGATACTCAGTTTTTCACCATTGGCCTCTGTGAGCTCCCAAATGTGCATTCTCAGAATGGACCAAAACAGTGTTTCCAAACTGCTAAATCCAAAGAAAGTTTAACTCTGTGAGATGGATCCATGCATCACAATGCAGTTTTTCAGAAAGCTTCTTTCTAGTTTTCAATGAAGATATATCCTTTTTCACCATAGGCCTCATGGCACTCCCAAATATCCCTTTGCAGATTCGAAAAAAACAATGCTTACAAACTGCTGAATGAAAAGTTAGGTTTAAATCTGTGAGATGAAGGCACACATCAAAAAGCAGTTTCTCAGATAGCTTCCTTCTAGTTTTTATCCTGGGATAGTCACTCTTTCACCATTGGCCTCAATCATCTCCCGAATGTCCATTTGCACGATGGACCAGAACAGTGTTTCCAGACTGGTGAATCAAAAGAAATGTTTAACTCTGTTAGATGAATGCACACATCACAAAGCATTTTCTCAGATAGCTCCTTTCCAGTTTCTATCCTGGGATATTCACTTTTTTGCCTTTGGCCTCAATGAGCTGCAAATGTCCATTCACAGAATGGACATGAACAGTGTTTTCAAGCCGCTGAATAAAAAGAAAGATTTAACTCTGCCAGATGAATGCACACATCACAAAGGAGTTTCTCAAAATGATACTTTCTAGTTTTTATCTGAAGATGTTTGCTTTTTCACCATAGGCCTTAAAGCACTCCCAAATATCCCTTCTCAAATTCTACAAAAACAATGTTTCCAAACTGCTGAATGAAAAGAAAGGTTTAACTCTGAGAGGTGAATGCACACATCACAGATCGGTTTCTGAGGTAGTTACCTTGTCTTTGTTATCCTGGGGTATTCTCATTTTCGACATTGGTCTCAATGAGCACCCAAATGTGCATTTGCAGAATGGACAAAAGCAGTGTTTCCAAACAACTGAATCAAAAGAAAGATTGAACTCTGTGTGATGAATGCAAAAATGTAAAAGCAGTCTCTCAGAAACTTCTTTCTAGTTTTTATCTGAAGGTATTTCCTTTTCACCATAAGCCTTTGAAAATCCCTTTTCAGATCCTACAAAAACAGTGTTTCCAAACTGCCAAATGAAAAGAAAGGTTTAACACTGCGAGATAAAGGCACACATCATAAGGTCGTTTCTCAGATAGTTTCGTTCTAATTTTTATCGTGGGATATTTGCTTTCTCCCTATTGGCCTCAATGAGCTCCCAAATGTCCATTGGAAGAATAGATAAAAACAGAGATATCAAACTATTGAATAAAAAGAACCATTTAAATCTGTGAGATCAATGCACAACATCAAAAAGCAGATTCTCAGAAAGCTTCTTTCAATTTTTAATCTGAAGATATTTCCTTTTTCACCATAGGCCTTAATGCACTCCCAAATATCCCTTTGCAGATTTTACAGAAACAGTCTTTCCACTGCTGAATGAAAAGAGAGGTTGAACTCTGCTAGTTGAATGCAAACATCACAAAGCGGTTTCTCAGATAGCTTCCTTCTAGCTTTTATCCTGGGACTTTGTTTTTTCACCACTGGCCTCAATGAGCTTCCAAATGTCTATTCGGAGAATGGACAAAAACAGTGTTTCCAAAACGCTGAATCCAGAGAAATGTTTAACTCTGTGAGATGAATGCATGCATCACAAAGCAGTTTCTCAGAAAGCTTGTTTTCCTTTTTTGTCTGAAGGTATTTCATTTTTCACCATAGGCCCTAATGCACACCCAAATATCACTTCACTGATTCTACAAAAACAGTGTTTCCTAACTGCTGAATGCAAAAAAATGGTTTAAATCTGTGAGATCAATGCACACATCATAAAGCGGTTTCTCAGATAGCTTCCTTCTTGTTTTTATCATGGGATATACTCTTTTTTGCATTGGACTCAAAGAGCTAAAAAATGTCCAATTTAGAATGGACAAAACTGGTGTTTCCAAACTGCTGAATCAAAAGAAAGTTTTAATTCTATGAGATGAATGCACACATCACAAAGCAGTTTCTGAGAATGTTTCTTTCCAGTTTTTAACTTAAAATGTTTCCGTTTTCACCATAAGTGTCAATGCACTCCCAAATATCCCTTCACACATTCGCTAAAAACAGTGCAGGACATAGGCATGGGCAAGGACTTCATGTCTAAAACACCAAAAGCAATGGCAACAAAAGCCAAAATTGACAAATGGGATCTAATTAAACTAAAGAGCTTCTGCACAGCAAAAGAAACTACCATGAGTGAACAGGCAACCTACAAAATGGGAGAAAATTTTTGCAACCTACTCATCTGACAAAGTGCTAATATCTAGAATCTACAATGAACTCAAACAAATTTACAAGAAAAAAACAAACAACCCCATCAAAAAGTGGGTGAAGGACATGAACAGACACTTCTCAAAAGAAGACATTTATGCAGCCAAAAAACACTCGAAAAAATGCTCATCATCACTGGCCATCAGAGAAATGCAAATCAAAACCACAATGAGATACCATCTCACACCAGTTAGAATGGCAATCATTAAAAAATCAGGAACAACAGGTGCTGGAGAGGATGTGGAGAAATAGGAACACTTTTACACTGTTGGTGGGACTGTAAACTAGTTCGACCATTGTGGAAGTCAGTGTGGTGATTCCTCAGGGATCTAGAACTGGAAATATCATTTGACCCAGCCATCCCATTACTGGGTATATACCCAAAGGACTATAAATCATGCTGCTATAAAGACACATGCACACGTAAGTTTATTGCGGCATTATTCATGATAGCAAAGACTTGGAACCAACCCAAATGTCCAACAATGATAGACTGGATGAAGAAAATGTGGCACATATACACCATGGAATACTATGCAGCCATAAAAAATGATGAGTTCATGTCCTTTGTAGGGACATGGATGAAATTGGAAATCATCATTCTCAGTAAACTATCACAAGAACAAAAAACCAAACAGTGCGTATTCTCACTCATAGGTGGGAACTGAATAATGAGATCACATGGACACAGGACGGGGAATATCACACTCTGGGGACTGTTGTGGGATGTGGGGAGGGGGGAGGGATAGCATTGGGAGATATACCTAATGCTAGATGATGAGTTAGTGGGTGCAGCGCAACAGCATGGCACATGTATACATATGTAACTAACCTGCACAATGGGCACATGTACCCTAAAACTTAAAGTATAATAATTTAAAAAAAGACAAAGGCAAAAAAAAAACCACACAAAAAAACAGTGTTTCCAAACTGCTGAATGAAAAGAAAAGTTTAAGTCTGTGAGATGAATGCACACATCACAAAGCAGTGTCTCAGAAAAATTCTTTCAAGGTTTTATCTGAATAGTTTCCTTTTTAAGCATAGGCATTCTTCCACTCCCAAATATCCCTTCACAGATTTTACAAAGACAGTGTTTCCAAACTGCTGAATGAGAGAAAATTTTCACTCTTTGAGATGAATGCACTAATTGCAAAGCAGTTTCTAAGAAAGGTTTATTTCTTCAAGATGAATGCTCACATCACCAAGCAGTTTCTCAGATATATTTCTTCTAGTTTTTATCCTGGGATATACACTTTTTCGCCACTGGCCTCAAGGAGCTCCCAAGTGTTTTTCAAACTGTGTTTGCAAACTACTGAATCAAAAGAAAAGTTTAACTATGTGAGATGAATGCACACTTCTGAAGGAGTTTCTCAGAAAGATTCTTTCTAGTTTTCACCTGAAGACATTTTATTTTTCACCATAGGCCTCAATGCGCTACTAAATATCTCTTCACAGATTCTACAAAAGACAGTGTTTCCAAAATGCTGAATGAAAGGAAAGCTTTAACTCTGTGAGATTAATACACACCTCACAAAGTGGTTTCTCAGGTAGTTTCCTTCTTTTTTATCTTGGTATATTCACTTTTTCTCCATAGGCCTCAATGCGCTCCCAAATATCTCTTTTCAGCTTCTACAAAAAAAGTGTTTCCAAATTGCTGAGTGAAAAGAAAGGTTTAACTCTATGAGACGAATGCCCACATGACAAAGTGGTTTCTCTTTTTGCTTTCTTCTAGTTTTTATCCTGGAATATTTGCTTTTTTGCCATTGGCTTTAATAAGCTCCTAAATGTCCATTCGTAGAATGGACAAAAACAGTATTTCAAAACTTCTGAATGAAAAGACAGTTTTCACTCTGTGACATGAAGGCACGCATCACAAATCAGTTTCTCAGATAGCTTCCTTCTTTTTTATCCTTTATATTCACTTTTTGCATTTAGCCTCAATGCCCTCCCAAAAGTCCATGTGTAGAATGGAAAAATATAGTGTTTCCAAACTGCTGAATCAAAAGGAAAGTTTAACTATGCAAGGTGAATGCACACATCACAAAGAGGTTTCTCAGATAGCTTCCTACTAGTTTTTAACTTGGTAAATTCGATTTTTGCCATTGGCCTCCATGAGATCCCAAATGTCCTTTCACTGAATGAAAAATAAAAAACAGTGTTTCCAAATTGCCGAATCAAAAGAAAGGTTTAACTCTGTGAGTTCAATGCACACATCAGAAAGGAGTTTCACACATAGCTTATTTCTGGTTTTTATCCTGGGATATTTGCATTTTCTGAGAAACTGCTTCATGATGTGTGCCTTCACCTCACAGAATTAAAACTTTCTTTTGATTCAGGAACTTGGAAACACTGTTTTG
This sequence comes from Homo sapiens, assembly GCF_000001405.40. Taxonomy (NCBI): domain Eukaryota; kingdom Metazoa; phylum Chordata; class Mammalia; order Primates; family Hominidae; genus Homo; species Homo sapiens. Next base: position 39,218,162 of record NC_000010.11, read on the forward strand.
TCCATTCTGAGAATGGAAATTTGGGAGCTCTTTGAGGCCAAGGCAAATAAGCGTATATCCCATTATAAACAGTAGAAGCAAGCTATCTGAGAAACCATTTTGTGATTTGTGCATTAATCTCACAGAACTAAACCTTTAATTTCATTCAGCAATTTGTAAACACTGCTTTTGTCCATTTTGCCAGTGGGCCTGTGGGAGCTCATTGAGGCCAAAGGCGGAAAAGCGAATATCCCAGGATTAAAACCTATAAGGAATCTCTCTGAGAAACTGCATTGTGAAGTGTTCATTCATCTCACAGAGTTAAGCCTTTCTTTTCATTCAGCAGTTTGGAAACACCGTTTTTGTAGAATCTGCAAAGGGATGCTTGGGAACGCATTGAGGCCTATGGCTAATAATAAAGTATCTTCAGATGAAAACTAGAAAGAAGCTTTCTAAGAAACTGCCATGTAACATGTGCATTCAGCTCTCAGAGTGAAACCTTTCTTTTGATTCAGCAGTATGGAAACACTGTTTTTGTCCATTCTGGGAATGGACATTTGGGAGTGCATTGAGGCCAATGGCAAAAGAGCAAATATCCCAGGATAAAAACTAGAAGGAAGCTATCTGAGAAACCTCTTTGTGATTTGTGCATTCATCCCACAAAGTTAAGCTTTACTTTTCATTCATCAGTTTGCAATCAGTGTTTTTGTAGAATCTGCAAAGAGTTATTTGGGAGTGCATTGAGGTCTATGGTTAAAAAGGAAATAACTTCAGATAAAAACTAGAAAGGAGCTTTGTGAGAAACTGCTTTGTGATGTGTGCATTCATCTCACATAGTTAAACCTTTCTTTGGATTCTGCAGTTTGGAAAAACAGTTTTTGTCCATTCTTTGAATGGACATTTGGGAGCTGATTGGGGCCAAATGTGGAAAAGGGAATATCCCAGGATAAAAACAAGAAGGAAGGAATCTCAGAAGCTGCTTCGTGATGTGTGCATTCATCTCGCAGAGTTAAACCTTTCTTCTCATTCAGCAGTTTGGAAACACTGTTATTGTAGAATCTGTGAAGGCATACTTAAGAGCGCATTGAGTCCTAGGGTGAAAAAGGAAATATCCTCAGATAAAAAATAGAAAGAAGCTTCCTTAGGAAATACTTCGTGATTTCTGCATTCATCTCACAGACATAAGCCTTTCTTTTGATTCATCGGTTTGTTAACACTTTTTTTGTCCATTCTGCAAATGGACATTTGGGAGGTGATTGGGGCCAATGGTGAAAAAGTGCATATCCCAGGTAAAAACTGGAAGGAAGATATCTTAGAAACTGCTTTGTGATGTGTGTATTCATCACACAGAGTTAAACATTTTTTTTTCATTCTAGGGTTTGGAAACACTATTTTTAAAGTAATTTCGAAGGGATATTTTGGTGCACCATAATTCCTATGGTGAAAAAGGAAATATATTCAGATTAAAAACTATGAAGAAGCTTTCTGAGAAACCGCTTTGTGATGTGTGCATTCATCTAGCATAGTTAAACCTTTTTTTCATTCAGCAGTTTGGAAAAACTGTTTTTGTAGAATCTTCAAAAGGGTATTTGGAAGCACACTGAGGCCTGTTGTGAAAAAAGATACGTTGTAGGTAAAAACTAGAAAGAAGCTTCTGATAAACTTCTTTTCGATGTGTGCATTAATCTCACAGAGTAAAACTTTGGTTTGGATTCAGCAGTGTGGAAACACTGTTTTTATCCATTCTGTGACTGGAAAATTGGGATCACATTGAGGTCAATGGTGAAAAAGGAAATATCTTCAAATAAAAACTAGGAAGAAGCTTTCTGAGACACTACTTTGTGTTGTGTGCATTCATCTCACCGATTGCAACCTTTTTTGGATTCAGCAATTTGGAAACACAGTTTTTCGTAGTAGTAATGGACATTAGAGAGATCTTTGAGGCCAATAGCAAAGAAGGAAATATCCCAAGATAAAATCTATAAGTAAGCTATCTTAGAAACTGCTATGTGATGTGTGCATTCATCTCACAGAATTAAAACGTCTTAGGATTCAGCAGTTTGGAAACACTCTTTTTGTCCTTATGCAAATAGACATTTGGGAGCTCAGAAAGGCCAATGGCAAAAAAGTGAATATCCCAGGATAAAAACTAGGAGGCAGCTATCTGAGAGACCGCTTGTGATGTGTACATTCATCTCACAGAGATAAACATTTCTTTTCATTCAGCAGTTGGAAACACTCTTTTTGTAGAATATGTGAAGGGATATAAGGGAGTGCATTGAGGCCTGTGGTGAAAAAAAAAACTTCTGATAAAAATTGGAAATATACTTCCTGAGTAACTGCTTTGTGATATGTGCATTCATCTCACAGATTTATACCTTTCTTTGGATTCAGAAGTTTGGAAACCCTGTTTTGTAGAATCTGCAAAGGGATATTTGGGATCGCATTGAGGCCTATGGTGAAGAAGGAAATATCTTCAAATAAAAACTAGAAAGATGCTTTCTGAAAAACCACTTAGTCATGTGTGCAATCATCTCTCAGATTTCAACTTTTCTTTGGATTTAGCAGTTTGGAAAAACTCTTTTTGTCCATTATGGGAATGCACATTTGGGAGATCCTGAGGCCAGTGGCAAAAAAGTGAATATCCCAGGATAAAAACTATAAGAAGCTACCAGAGAAATTGCTTTGTGATTTGCAGTCATCTCACAGAGTTAAATTTTCTTCTGATTCAGGAGTTTGAAACACTGTTTTGTAGTATCTGAAGGGACATTAGGGAGCACATTGATGCCTACGGTGGAAAAGAAAATATCTTCAGATAAAAACGAGAAAGAAGCTTTCTGAGAAACTGCTTTATTGTGTGTGTATTCATCTCAAAGAGTTAAACCTTTCTTTTGATTCAGCAGTTTGGAAATCCTGCATTTGTCCAAATGAACATTTGGGAGCTCATTGAGGTCAATGGAAAAAGAGAATATCCCAGGATAAAAACCAGAAGGAAGCAATCTGAGAGAGCACTTTGTGATTCGTGCATTCATCTTGCAGATTTAAACCTGACTTCATTCAGCAGTTTGCAAAACCTGTTTTTGTAGAATCTGTGAAGGGATATTTGGGAGCCCCTTGAAGTCTATTGTGAAAAACAAAATATCTTCAGATAAAAACTAGAAAGGAGCTTTCTGAGAAACTGCTTTCTGACGTGTACTTTCATTACACAGGGTTAAAATATTTTTTGATTTAAAAGTTTGAAAACACTGTTTTTGTAGAATCTGCAGTAGCATGTTTCTGAGAGCTTTGAGGGCTATAGAAAAAAAGAAACAACTTTAGAAAAAAACTAGATATAAGCTTTCTGAGAAACTGCTTTGTGATGTGTGCATTCATCTCACATAGTTAAACCTTTCTTTGGATTCACCAGTTAGAAAGAGTGTTTTTATAGAAACTTTAAAGTGATATTTCGGAGACCATTGAGGCCTATGGTGAAAAAGGAAACATCTTCAGATAAAAACCAGAGAGAAGCTTTCTGAGAAACTGCATTGTGATGTGTGCATTCTTCTGACAGACTTAAACCTTTCTTTGGATTCATTCGTTTGCAAACACTGTTTTTGTGCATTCTATGAATGAACTTTTGGGAGCTCTTTCAGGCCAAGTGCGAAAAATCAAATATACCACGATAAAAACTAGAAGAAAGCTATCTAAGAAACCGCTTTGTGATGTGTGCATTCATCTCACAGATTTAAACATTTCTTTTCTTTCAGCAGTTTGGAAAAACTGTTTTAGCAGAATCTGCAAAGGGATATTTCAGAGAGCTTTGTGGCCTATGTTGAAAAAGGCAACATATTCAGATAAAAACTAGAAAGATGCTTTCTGAGAAACTGGTGTGTAATGTGTACATTCATCTCATAGACTTAAACCTTTCTTTGGATTCAGTAGTTTGGAAACACTGATTTTGTCCATTCTATGAATGGACTTTTCAGAGCTCTTTCAGGAGAAGGGTGAAAAATTGAATACACCAGGATAAAAACTAGGAGGAAGCTATCTGAGGAACAGCTTTGTGATGTTTGCATTCATCTCACAGAGTTAAACGTTTCCTTCCATTCAGCAGTTTTGAAACATTGTTTTTGTAGAATCTGTAAAGGGATAATTCAGGGACCATTATTGCCTATGGTAAAGAAGGGAACATCTTCAGTTAAAAACTAGATAGAAGCTTTCTGTGAAACTGCTTTGTGATGTGTGAATTCATCTCACTGAGTTGAACTTTACTTTGGATTCAGTAGTTTGGAAAGAGTGTTTTTTTTCACTCTGTGAATGTATATTTGGCAGTTCATTAAGGCCAAGGACAAATAGCAGATATCCAAGGATAAAACTAGATGAAGCTAACTGATAAAGTGCTATGTGATGCGTAAATTCATCTCACAGAGTTAAACTTTCTTTTCATACAGCAGTTTGGAAATTGTGTTTTTGTAGAATCTTCAATGGGATATTTAGAAGAGCATTGATGTCTATGGTGAAAAAGCAAACATCTTCAGATAAAAACTAGAAAGAAGCTTTTTGAGAAACTGCCTTGAGATGTGTGCAGACATCTCACAGATGTAAACCTGTCTTTGGATTCAGCAGTTTGGAAAATCTGTTTTTGTCCATACTGCAAACAGACATTTGGGAGCTCATTGAGGCCAATGGCAAAAAAGGGAATATCCCAGGATTAAAACTAGAAGAAAGCTATCTGAGGAACCGCTGTGTGATGTGAGCATTCATTTCACAGAGTTAAACTTTCCTTTTCATTCAGCAGTTTGGAAACACTGTTTTTGTAGAATCTGCAAAGAGTTATTTCTAGGAGAATTGAGCCTTATGGTGAAATAGGGAAAATCTTCAGATGAAAAAGAGAAAGAAGATTTCTGAGAAACTGCTTTGTGACGTCTGCATTCATCTCAAAGAGCTGAACCTTTCTTTGGATTCATCTGCCTTGAAACACTTTTTTTGTCCACTCAGTGAATGGACATTTGGGGGCTCTTTGGGGCCAAAGGCAAAAATGGGAATAACCAAGGATAAAAACTTGAAGGCAGCTATCAGAGAAACCGCTTTGTGATGTGTGAATTCATCTCACAGAGTTAAACCTTACGTCTTATTCAGCAGTTTGGAAACACTATTTTTGTAGAATCACCAAAGGGATACTTCGGAGACCATTGAGGCCTATGGTGAAATAGGAAATATATTCACAGAAAAACTAGAAAGAAACTTTATGAGAAATTGCTTTGTGATGTGTACATTCAACTCATAGAGGTAAGACTTTCTTTGGATTCATCAGTTATGAAACACGGTGTTTGTTAACTCAGTGAAAGGACTTTTGGGGACACTTTAAGTCCAATGGTGAAAATGGGAATATCACAGAATAAAAACTAGAAGGAAGATACCTGAGAAACTGGTTTGTGATATGTTCATTCATCTCACTGTGTTAAATCATTCTTTTCATTCAGCAATTAGGAAACACTGTTTTCATAGAATCTTCAAAGGGATGATACAGACAGCCTTGAGGTCTATGGTAAAAAAGGAAATGTGTTTAGAGAAAAACAAGAAAGAAGCTTTCTGAGAAACTGCTTTGGGATGTGTGCATTTATCTCACAGACTTCAAGCTTTCTTTGGATTCAGTAGTTTGGAAACACAGTTTTTGTCCATTCTGTGATAGGACAGGTTGGAGCTCTTTGGGGCCAATGGCAAAAAAGTGAATATCCCTGAAAAAAATTAGAAGAAATCTATCTGAGAAACCACTTTCTGATGTGAGCATTCATTTCACAGAGTTAAACCATTCTTTTCATTCAGCTGTTTGGAAACAGTGTTTTTGAAAAGTCTGCAAAGGGACATTTTGGGGAGCATTGACGCCTATGGTGAAAAAGGAAACATCTTCAGAGAAAAACTGGAAAGAAGCTTTTTGAGAAACAGCCTTGTGGTGTGCACATTCAGCTCACAGACTTAAAGCTTTCTTTTGATTCAACAGTATGGAAAATCTGTTTTTGTCCATTCAGCGAATGGACATTTGGAAGATCATTGAGGCCAATGGCCAAAAGGGAATATCCCAGGATTACCACTAGAACGCAGCTATCTGAGAAAACCCTTTGTGATGTGAGTACTCATTTCACAGAGTTAAACTTTTCTTTTCATTCAGCAGTTACAAATCACTGTTTTGTAGAATCTGCAAAGGCATATTTCAGAGAGTATTGAGGCATATGGTGAAATAGGAAACATCTTCAGATAAAAACGAGAAACGAGCTTTCTGAGAACCTTCCTTGTGATGTGTGCATCATCTCACAGAGTTAAACTTTTCTTTGGATTCAGCAGTTTTGCAACACTGTTTTTTTCCCCTCAGCAAAAGGACATTCGGGGGCTTATTGAGGCAAATGGTGAAAACAGGATTAACCCAGAATAAAAACTAGAAAGCAGCTATCTTAGAAATAGCCTTGTGATGTGCACATTCAGCTTACAGAGTTAAAACTTTCTTTTCATTCAGCAGTTTGAAAACACCGTCTTTGTAGAATCTGCAAAGGGATACTTTGGAGAGCATTGAGGACTATGGTGAAAAAGGAAACATCTTCAGTTATAAGCTAGAAAGAACATTTCTGAGAAACTGCCTTGTGATGTGTGCATTCATTATACAGAGTTAAAGCTTTCTTTGGACTCAGCAGTTTGGAAAATCTGTTTTTGTCCATTCTGTGAATGGACATTTGGGAGCTCATTGAGGCCAAGACAGAAAAGATGATATCCCAGGATTAAAACTAGAAGGCAGCTATCTGAGAAACAGCTTTGTGATGTGAGAATTCTTTTCGCAGAGTTAAACCTTTCCTTTCATTGAGCAGTTAGAAGTCACTGTTTTTGTAGAATCATCAAAGGGTTATTTTGGAGAATACTGAGGCCTAAGTTGAAATAGGAAACATCTTCAGATAAAACTGAGAAAGAAACTTTCTGAGAAAGTGCTTAGTGATATGTGCATTCATCTGACAGAGTTAAACTTTTCTTTGGATTCAGCAGCTTTGAAACACGGTAATTGTCAACTCAGTGAATGGATATTTGGGGGCACTTGGAGACCAACTGTGAAAATGGGAATATCCCAGGATAAAAACTAGAAGGAAGATATCTGAGAAACAGCTCTGTGATACGTAAATTCATCTCACAGAGTTAAATCATTTTTTTCCTTCATCAGTTTGGAAACACCGTTTCTGTAGAATCTGCAAAGGGATATTTCTTAGAGCATTGAGGCCTATGGTAAAAATAGGAAACATCTTCAGAGAAAATCTAGAAAGAAGCTTTCTGAGAAACTTCTTTTTGATGCATGCATTCAGCTCACATACATAAAGATTTCTTTGGGTACAGTAGTTTTGAAACATAGTTTTTGTCCATTCTGCGAATGGACATTTTGCAGCTCCATGGGGCCAATGGGGAAAAAGCAAATATCTCTGAATAAAAACTAGAAAGTATCTATCTGAGAAACCTCTTTGTGATGTGAGCATTCATCTCACAGTGTGTAAACATTGTTTTCATTCAGCTGTTTGGAAGGAGTGCTTTTGTAGAATCTGCAAAGGGATATTTTGGAGAGCATTGAGGCCTACAGTGAAAAAGGAACCATCTTCAGTTAAAAACTAGAAAGAAGCTTTCTGAGAATCTGCCTTGTGTTGTGTCCATTTGTCTCACACAGTTAAATCTTTCTTTGGATTCAGCAGTGTGGGAAATCTGTTTTTGTCCCTTATGCGAATGGACATTTTGGAGCTCATTGAGGCCTATGGCAAAAAAGGGGATGTCCCAGGATTAAAACTAGAAGGCAGCTATCTGAGAAACCACTTTGTGATGTGGGCATGCATTTCAGAGCTAAACCTTTCTTTTCATTCAGCACTTAGAAATCACTGGTTTTGTAGAATCTGCAAAGGGATATTTCGCAGAGTATTCAGACCTATGGTGAAAGAGGAAACATCTTCAGATTAAAATGAGAAACAAGCATTCCGAGACACTGCTTTGTGATGTGTGCATTCATCTCACAGAGATAAAGTTTTAATTGGATTTACTAGTTTGGAAAAAGAGTTTTTGTCCATTCTGCGAATGGAGATTTCGGAGCTCTTTGGGGCCGAAGATGATAAAGCAAATATCACTGAAGAAAAGCCAGAAAGAATATATCTGATAAACCAATTTGTGATGTGAGCATTCATTTCACAGTTAAGCCATGGTTTTCACTCAGCTGTTTGGAAGCAGGGTTTTTGTAGAATCTGCAAACGGATATTTTGGGGAGCATTCCGGCCTATGGTGAAAAAGGAAACTTCTTCAGTTAAAAACTGGAAAGGAGCTTTCTGGGAATCTGCCTTGTGATGTGTCCATTCGTCTCACAGAGATAAAACTTTATTTGGAGTCAGCAGTTTGTAAAATCTGTTTTTGTCCATTCTGTGAATGGAACTTTGGGAGCTCTTGGAGGCCAAAGACAAAAAAGGGGATATCCCAAGATGAAAACTAGAAGGCAGCTATCTGAGAAATGGCTTTGAGATGTGAGCATTCATTTCACAGAGTTAAACCTTCTTTTTCATTCAGCAGTTAGAAATCACTGGTTTTGTAGAATCTGCAAAGGTTTATTTTGGAGAGTACTTTGGCCTATGATGAAATAAACATCTTCAGACAAAAACGAGAAATATTCTCTCTGAGAAACTGCTTTGTGGTGGGTGCATTCATCTCACAGAGTGAAACCCTTCTTTGGATTCAGTAGTTTGGAAACACAGTTTTTGTCTGTTCTGCGAGTGGACATTTCAGAGCTCTTTGGGGCCAATGGTGAAAATGCTAATATCCCTGAAGAAAAACTAGAAGGAATCTCTCTGAGAAACCACTTTGTGATGTGAGCATTCATTTCACAGTGTTAAACCAGTCTTTTCATTCAGCTGTCTGGAAACAATATTTTCACAGAATCTGCAAAGTGATATTTCTGTGTGCATTGAGGTCTATGGTGAAAAAGGAAACATCTTCAGTTAAAAACTAGAAAGAATCTTTCTGGGAAACTGCTTTGTGATGTGTGCATTCATTTCACAGACTTAAAGCTTTCTTTGAATTTAGTAGTTTGGAAAAAGTGTTTTTGTCCTTTCTGTGAATGGATATTTCGGAGCTCTTTGGGGCCAATGGTGAAAAAGCAAATACCCCTGAATGAAAACTAGAAGGAATCTCTCTGAGAAACCACTTTGTGATGTGAGCATTCATTTCACAGTTAAACCATTCTTTTCATTCAGCTGTTTGGAAGTATTGTTTTTACAAAATCTACCAAGGGATATTACGGAGAGCATTGAGGCCTATGGTGAAAAAGGAAACAACTTCAGTGAAAAACTAGAAAGAAGCTTTCTGAGAAAATGCTTTCTGATGTGTGCATTCATCTCACAGATTTAAAGCATTCTTGGATTCAGCTGTTTGGAAAATCTGTTTTTCTCCATTCTGCGAATGGACATTTGGGAGCTCATAGAGGCCAATGGCAAAAAAGGGGATATCCCATGATTAAAACTAGAAGGCAGCTATCTGAGAAACAGCTTTGTGATGTGAACATTTATTTCACAGAGTTAAACCTTTCTTTTCATTCAGTAGTTAGGAAACACTGGTTTTGCAGAAGCTGCAAAGAGTTATTTTGGAGTGCATTGAGGCCTGTGAAATAGGAAACACCTTCATATAAAAACGAGAAAGAAACTTTCTGAGAAACTGCTTTTTGGTGTGTGCATTCATCTCAAATAGTTAAACCTTTCTTTGGATTCAGCAATTTTGTCACACTGTTTTTGTCCACTCGGCAAAAGGACATTTGGGTGCTCTTTGAGGCCATTGGAAAAACTGGGAATGACCCAGGATGAAAACTAGAAGGCAGCTATCTTAGAAACTCCTTTGTCACGTGTGCATTCATCTCACAGATTTTAGCCTTCCTTTTCATTCAGCAGTTTGGAAACACTGTTTTCATTGAATCTGGAAAGGGTTAGTTCGGAGAGCAGTGAGGCCTAAGGTGAAATAAGAAACATCTTCAGATTAAAAACTAGAAGGAAACTTTCTGAGAAACTGATTTGTGATTTGTACATTCATCTCACAGAGATAAACATTTCTTTGGATTCAGCAGCGTTGAAACACAGTGTTTGCCAACTCAGCTAATGGACATTTGGGGGCGCTTTGAGACCAACTGTGAGAATGGGAATATCCCAGGATAAAAACCAGAAGGGAGACATCTGAGAAACATCTCCGTGATATTTTCACTCATCTCACAGAGTTGAATCATTCTTTTCATTCAACAATTAGGAAACTTTTTTTTTGTAGTATGTGCAAAGGGATATTTTGGAGAGCATTGAGGCCTATTTCAAAAAAGGAATCACCTTCAGAGCAAATCTAGAAAGAATCTTTCTGAGAAACTGCTTTGTGATGTGTGCATTCATCTCAAAGAGTTAAAGCATCCTTTGGATTCAGTAGTTTGGAAACACAGTTTTGTCCATTCTGTGAATGGTCATTTCAGATATCTTTGGGGTCAAAGGCAAAAAAGCAAATATCCCAGGATAAAAACTAGAAGGAATACGTCTGAGACACTGCTGTGTCATGTGAGCATTCATTTCACAGAGTTAAAGCATTCTTTTCATTCAGCTGTTTGGAAGCAGTGTTTTTACATAATCTGCAAAGGGATATTTCGGAGAGCATTTAGGCCTATGGTAAAAAAGGAAACATCTTCAGTTAAAAACTAGAAAGAAGCTGTCTTAGAAACTCCTTTGTGATGTGTGCATTCAACACAGACTTAAACCTTTCTTTGGATACAGCAGTTGGCAAAATCTGTTTTTGTCCTTTCTGCAAGTGGAGATTTGGACACTCATTGAGGCCAAAGACAAAAAAAGGGGATATCCCAGGATTAAAACTAGAATGCAGCTATCTGAGAAAGGGCTTTGTGATGTGAGCATTCATTTCACAGAGTTAAACCTTTGTTTTCATTCAGCAGTTAGAAATCACTGTTTTTGTAGAATCGACAAAGGGTTATTTCAGAGAGTATTTTGGCCTATGGTGAAATAGGAAACATCTTAAGGTAAAAACGAGAAAGAATCTTTCTGAGAAACTGCTTCATGATGTGTGCATTCATCTTACAGAGTTAAAGCTTTCTTTGGATTCAGTAGTTTGGAAACACAGTTTTTGTCCATTCTGCGAATGGACATTTTGAAGCTCTTTGGGGTCAATGGCGAAAAAGAGAATATCCCTGAATAAAAACTGGGAGGAATCTACCTGAGAAACCGCTGTGTCATCTGAGAATTCATTTCACAGAGTTAAACCATTCTTTCCATTCAGTTGTTTGGAAGCAGTGTTTTTGTAGAATCTGCAAAGGGCTATTTCAGAGAGCATTGAGGGTTATGGTGAAAAATGAAACATCTTCAGTTAAAAACTAGAAAGAAGCTTTCTGAGAATCTGCCTTGTGATGTGTCCATTCATATCACAGAGTTAAAACTTTCTTTGGATTCAGCAGTTTGGAAAATGTTTTAGTCCATTCTGTGAATGGACATATGGGAGATCATTGAGGCCAATGTAAAAAAAGAGCATGTCCCACTATTAAAATTAGAAGGCAGTTATCTGAGAAACCACTTTGTGATGTGAGCATGCATTTCACAGAGTTAAATCTTTCTTTTCATTCACCACTAAGAAATCTCTGTTTATGTAGAATCTGCAAAAGTTTCTTTCGGAGAGTATTGAGGGCAATGGTGAAATAGGAAATATCTTCAGATAAAAATATGGAGGAAGGTTTCTGAGAAACTGCTTTATGCTGTGTGTATTCATCTC